>NC_000004.12:32500609-32833016 GCF_000001405.40 Homo sapiens | reverse complement strand
TTATAAATAATATATATTATAAATAATATATATTTATATATAATATATATTCATAAATAATATATATTTATATATAATATATATTTTATATTATATATATTTATATATTATATATATTTATATATAATATATATTTATATTATATATATTTATATATTATATATATATAATATATATTTATTTTATATATATTCATGTATAATGTACATTTATATGTTATATATATTTATATATAATATATATTCATATTATATCTATAATATATATTTATCTATTATAGATATAATATATATTAATCTATTATAGATATAATATATATTTATATATTATATATAATATATTTTTATACATTATATATAATATATATTTATACATTATAAATTATATATAAATATATAATGTATAATATATAATATATAATGTATAAATATATATTATATTTATATAATATATAAATATATGTTATATCTATAATATATAAATATATATTATAGATATAATATATATTTATTTATATATTATATATTATATACATTTATATATATTCATATATTATATATATTTATATATATTTATATATTATATATTTATATATAAAACATATTTATATATAAAACATATAAATATATATATTTATATGACATATATTATATATAATATATATTTATATTACATATAATATATATTATATATGATATATGTCATATAAATATATATATTATGTATAATATATAATATTTATATTATATATTTATATATAATGTATATATATATTTATATATATATTTTATTTATATATATATATTTTATATATATATATTTCTAGATACATGTATCTCTCTCCGGAAAACTGCCTTTGGACTTCATCTTTACTATTAGCTTTTCTGGATCCCTGGGCTCCAGGCTTCAGACTGGAACTGCATTATTGGCTTTTCTGGATCTTGAGCCTGCCAACCCACACTAAAGATTTTGATTTGTCAGTATCCAGAATTGCATGAACCAGTTCCTTTTAATAAATCTTTTTTTCTATCCAGAATTGCATGAACAAATTCCTTTTAATAAATCTCCTTCTATATATACATATGAATACATACTGTATTGGTTCTGTTTCCCTAGAGAACTCTGAATAATAAAATATCTCTTCATTGTTGCCGTGCATGGTATGCGAAATAAACGTTCTTACATTTGCCATGATCTGGTAACATTTAAAGTAGTCAGTATTTTTTTTTTTTTTTTTGAGATGGAGTCTCGCTCTATTTCCCAGGCTGGAGTGGTGACAATATATCAGCTCACTGAAACTTCCGAGTTCCAGTTTCAAGTGATCCTCCCACCACAGCCTCCCTAGTAGCTGAGACTACAGATGCCCACCACCATGCCCAGCTAGTATTTGTCAAATATATGTTAACTTAGGTGCCTAATATTTGAACTCGAGAAACCCCATCGAGATATTCTACAGTCTGCTGTTACCATTCCAAAGCTAATTGCCTTATGAAATACAAATTTAACATTTATATAATGTGTGTGGGCATGTGTATATGTGTGTGTGTAAAAAGTCTACTTATAACCTACATAAGTAAAAATAATGTCTAAGGAAACACAGTTTTTATAAAAAATAGATTTAGAAATGTCTTTTTCATTATATATCTTCTAAAGGTTTTATTCAGCTCTTTCTATGCCACAGGTTTCATGTCATATGTGTATGAGCATCTGCAACCAGTGACTCAAAAACTACACCAACTTGAGACTAAGTGGTTGCAAAGTCCATTGTTATCCTCTTGTGGAAGTTAACTATTCAGTTGATTGTCAAACCTTACCCATTATCAGCCCTAAAAATAAAAATAATGATATATCTGCAGATGGCCTTTTCATTGTAAGTAACAGGAATTTGACTTGCTCCAAAGTACACCTTATTTTTAAAATGTTCCGTATATATATTTTTAAAGAAGCTGCTGCCAGTATAATTCCCTGTGGTGGTCCTTTGGTAACAGACCAAGAAACAATTTTAAGTGCTGAAAAACTGAGAGATGTTGACAGGGTCACTTCAAAGAAACTCAAGGGATTAAAAAAATAATATGTTAACTTTTTTCTTCAGTTTCTGAAAATATGTTATAACCAAAATTCATTAGCCTATTTTTTAAAGCTTATTTTGTAGACAGAACACAAGACAAAATAAAGAGAATCTAAATAACTTCATATGACTCTTTGTATTATGTACAATAGGTTGAAACATTACTTTCTGGGACTTTTGTAAGAACAACTTAGAAGAAAATTTATTCTAAGTACATCCTGCATACATTCCAGAATTATTCAGTGACTGCATCATAGACAGTGTTTAGATTCTGTAAATACGATGGTAAGCAATATAATCATGTTTCCTACTCTCATGGAACTTACAAAACTATTAGAGGAGAATATTTCATAAATATAGAATTACAAATTGTGAAAGGGAAGAATGAGGAAACTGGAAGTAAAGAATAATGGATAGGGGTGGTAATTAAATGATATGAGTCGGGAAGGTCTTTTGGGGAGATGAAAGCTGGCTGAGACATTATGAGACATTAGAAACAAAAAGGTGAGCCACAACACTGGAGTGAGTCCTTGCATATGGGGTGTGGATACTGTATCTACAGGCAGAAAAAACAGTCTAAGCCTAAAGGACAGCATTCTTGGCATGTTTATACAACTGAATGGAGGACAAAATGTATGCTAAGTAAAGGGAGTAAGACTAGAATGACAATGTTATATTTGCATTAAACAATCAAGTTACCTTTAAGAATATTTTAAAATTAAACATATATTATAATATATAAATATTATACTAATATGTATTATAATATATAAATATTACAATAATATATATTATAATATATAAATATTATAATATATATTATAACATATAAATATTATACTAATATATATTATAATATATAAATATTATAATAATATATATTATAATATATAAATATTATAATATATTATAACATATAAATATTATAATAATATATAAATATTATAATAAATAAATATTATAATAATATATAAATATTATAATAATATATAAATATTATAATATACATTATAATATATAAATATTATAATAATATATAAATATTATAATATACATTATAATATATAAATATTATATATTATAATATACATTATAATATATAAATATTATATATTATAATATACATTATAATATATAAATATTATATATTATAATATACATTATAATATATAAATATTATATATTATAATATACATTATAATATATAAATATTATATATTATAATATATAATATCATATTACACATAATGCATATGTAACATATCATATATTATATATTATAAATATCATAAGTATATATTACATATAAAATATAAAAATATATTACATATAATATTTGATATATACTATATGATATATTTACATATATAATACATAAATATATATGAATATTGTGATATATATATAAGGGGAAAAAAGAGGAAAGATTTTTGATTACTAACAGACTTTATTTACATAACAAGGCCACCTTTTTGCAACCCAGGACAAACTGAAAGAGCAATGGCTGTACTTTTGAAATAGCAGCAATTTGTCCTAGGTGAAACATGGTAATGAGATTTTAAAAGATTTTTTTTAAGGAAGCTCAGTGGTAAAAAATCAGCTTAATTAAAAGCTAATATCCATGATGTGTGTTTGCATGTGTGCATATGTTTGTGTATTGTATTTAAAAGGCCTTCATGTTTTTGCTTTTGTTTTTCTCCTAGGACTTTGTCTTTTTTTGAGCAACAGTTTTTTTCTTCTCAGTTGACTGAATTATGTTTTCTTCATTTGCTTCTGCTGTCTCTTCTTTCTCTTGCACCCTCTGCTGAATCAGGGACATAAAATAGTTTATAATAGCCTGAGGTTCCTTAAAGAAAATAAAGGTACCAGACTCCCTTTGGGGAAGAAACCTGTTTTTCCTTGTGGAACCCCAAGAATGTAAACAGAGAAGTTCATCTTAGCTCTTAAACTGCTTACTTGTACTGTGTTAACTGTTTCCTTTTTCTTTGCCTAAAATAGTTATTGCAACAGAGGTTACTCTTAGGTTTTTAAAGAAGAATATGGTTTAGACACTTAGAAATGTTTTTGTTTTAAAAAAAATGTTAAGTGCACTGTAAAAGCATCACGCGGTCTAATCTCATAAAAATTATTCCTTTTTGGAAACCCAGGATTCAGTGTGGGCTCTGACCAGGGCTCAGAGACCCAGTTAAAAGATGGATAGTCCCTATGTAAATAAAATCGGTCTCCTTGTACAATCTTATGATACATTTCTATACTTTTATGTTTGATTTGGCATCCATCTTTAATCTCCCTCTAATACCACCAGACTTTTTCTCTCTCTATCTTATTATGTAAATTTTGCTATTTGATTTTCACCTGAGCTGTTTCCTTTAATATGCAAATTTAATGTAATTTAGCTGACAACTGTCTAGACTTGTGAATCTGAAAGTCTAAGATAGGAAAACAAAAGGTGTTTATAAATCTATAAGATGTACTTCTATTGGCATACCTAATATGTCTATGTATGTATGTATTGGATACACAATTTTTCACTACTGAAAATATATAAAAGAACTCTAATTAATGGGCTAAGAAAATAAAAGTGCTTCATGTATGTTTATTGCAGCACTATTTACAACAGCAAAGACTTGAAACCAACCAAAATGCCCATGAAAGATAGGCTGGATAAAGAAAATGTGGCACATATACACCATGGAATACTATGCAGCCATAAAAAAGGACGAGTTTGGCCAGGAGCTGTGGCTCATGCCTGTAATCCCAGCACTTTGGAAGGCTGAGGCAGGTGGCTCATGAAGTCCAGAGATCGAGACCATGCTGGCTAACATGGTAAAACCCCATCTCTACTAAAAATACACACACACTCACACACACTCACACACACACACACACACACAAAATTAGCCAGACATGGTGGCAGACGCCTGTAGTCTCAGCTACTTGGGAGGCCGAGGCCGAGGCAGGAGAATCATGTGAAGCCGGGAGGCAGAGCTTGCAGTGAGCCAAGATTGTACCACTACACTCCAGCCTGGGCAGCAGAGCAAGACTCCCTCTCAAAAACAGCAACAACAAGAACAACAACAACAAAGGATGAGTTCATGTCCTTTGCAGGGACACAGATGAAGCTGGAAGCATCATTCTCAGCAAACTAACACAGGAACAGAAAACCAAACACCTCATGTTCTCACTTGTAAGTGGGAGTTGAACAATAAGAACACATGAACACAGGGAGGGGAACATCACACACGAGGGCCTATCGTGGGGTGGGGGACAAGGAAAGGGAGAGCATTAGGACAAATACCTAATGCATGAGGGGCTTAAAACCTAGATGATGCGTTGATAGGTGCAGCAAACCCCCATGGAACATGTATACCTATGTAACAAACCTGCACGTTCTGCACATGTATCCAAGAACTTAAAGTAAAATAAAATAAAATAAAAAGAAATAGACCATTGGCAACATCCTATAACTTCTAGATTTAACAGGTAATTAAAGAAAAAGAAATAAAAAAAGTGCTTGCATCAAGCACTTTATCATAAAAAAAGACTAGTCAAAAGCTTTTTCAAATTTACATAACAAGTAAAATCTTTAATGAATAAGCTAGCTTTAAATTATTGGTAAAGTAATACTAGAAATGTCTTAAGAATTGCCGGCATACATTTTTGTTTGCAATTATCCATCAAGCAGTTTGATACTTATCCCTGCCAAATACTGTAACATGTCAAAATTTGGCATATGGATTACAAAACTATACACCTAGCCCAAGACAGAAAGATCTTCACTGTGTAATCTTTAATAAATAAGACATTTATATTGGTTTAATAAAAAATAGCTACATCTTGAATTTAGCAACATTACCATAACTTTAACCTTGTGGCTTTAGGTGGTCTAGTCCATAAACAGTATGGTTCGTTTTGGGAAAGGACTGTTATCATCTCCGTTTCAAAGCTAAACTATAAACTAAGTTCCTCACAAAGTTAGTTCAGCCTACACCCAGGAATAAACAAGGACAGCTTGGAGGTTAGAAGCCAGATGGAATCAGGGAGGTCAAATCTTTTTCACTATCTCAGTTATAATTGTGTGCAATATGGTTCCATAACTTTAAATAATGACAATCAAAGATATTATCAATAATTTAGGTAAACAACTAAAATAAAATAATTAGGAAAAAATAATAGAATAGATATTTGTAGACAAACTCATCATAATTTAGAATTTAAAGTTATATTAAATTAAATAATACATATGCCTTTATCTGTGTATTTTCTCTTAAAAGTATATTTGTAGGAAAACACTCTTTAAAAAATTGTGTCCTTAAAAAAAAGTGAACTATTTTTATCTATTTAAAAGCTTATTTAAATGTCATGTATAAAAATGAGGTAAAAGGCACCAGGAAATAAAAGAAAGAAAGTTGTAAAAAATATAGAGGGTTTTTTTTGGTAAAAAAGCTTAAAGGGAAATAATTTCAGATAAGAAAGGCTCTTGTATGGTAAATTTAGTCTTAGAGTAAAATGACTAGTTGTTTTAAAAAGTGGGATGTTCAGGACAAACCAGAAAGTCCAAGCATATCATGAACGGTCAGTGTAAGTCGCAATAAGAGGATTTATAAACAACAACAAAAAAATTTCTATAAAATCAAGTTTGTATATCATTATTTAAGTTTTAGTTTGCTTAGGAAAAAATGAGATTAATATTTAAAAAAATTAAGGTTATTACATCCATGTATCCCTCTGCGTGTGCTTTTAAAGTACTGTAACAATGATCTACAGGGCTTTGACACCTGGGATCAAAAGGACACCAATCCTGCTAAATTTGAAACACTAATAGCAATTAAATTCCCATCTTCAGACCCTATAGAAGATGCCAATCAAAATTAGCACATTCCTGAGACACAAGGCCAGAAATTAAAGCTATTTTAGCTCAAGACCCAGGGACTATCACCGAAGAGGTGGGTGCATGAAATTGTAAGGGCCGATTTTGAAGGATAAAATATGTTTATTTACTGTATAAATTAATCATGAATGTTAAAGACACTGAAGCACGATGAGCATATTGGCCCCTGTGTCAAATTAACAAGATTTTCTTGAAGCATTAACTGACTCCTTAATAATGTTTATAAAGGTTATAAAAGGCTTATGGAAGTTGTATCTTGTGGTCAAGATTAAAATTTTATTGACTGTTTATAACATTTTCAAACACAAATTTAACTGGCTTAATGCTGTTTTTATTAGGGCTTATTGTATGGAATATTTAGTCTCCTGTCTCCAAGAATGAAGGTTTTTGCCTTTTTTGAAATCCTTCTTATCACTTTGGTCAAATGAATGATCCTATTTTGTTATATCAAGAATTTTAAACCTTTGATATTTGACAAATTTTCCAAAATCAAATTATAAGATTATATGTTATATATTTTTCCAACCTAATTAACTCTTTAAGATATTATGTTCCCTAAAGTCAAAAAATTACATAGTTTGGCTTATTTGGTACAAAAATTATACAGGAAACATTTTCAAATTTGAAATGGTGCTTGATTTACTCTAGGCCATATTTATATAAATATGTTATTGGTATGTGATCCAAAATCATGGGAAACTCCTATAATTCTGATGTGACTTAGTATATGTTATCAGTAATAATTATAATTGCTATGTTAAGTTATTGTGTGCCACAAAGGTAACAAATTTCCTTGTCAATTGTGTCTTTGACTGTGGCTGCCCTGAAACATTTTGTTACCCACAAACAATTGTTATCCTGTTTTGATCCTCCTTAGAAGATGGTTTTATTATCAGCTATAGACCTCTAACAGGTATTCTAAAATGGAAGTTTCTGGTAACTTTGGAAATTGTGACATTAGAATAGAGGAAAAAACTTTCAGAACTCTCAAGGAGAGCTGAAATGTTCATGAATATCAAGCAGAACAGAAGTTAAGTGCATAAACTGAATGGTTAGAAAACTAAAGTAATCTCTTTGGCTTTTTTTGCTTTAAATGTTGCTGATTCTTTGTTTTTTTTTTTCAGAGTCAATGAAACTTTTTTTTGAGCTATTGATCAGGTTTAGTATACAATTTGGTATACTCTTATGAACAAAATTTGGAGCATATGTTTTATCTCTCTACCTGATTTCTCCAGAATTTGAAAACTATTTGTAAATATTCCTAACTTATGGCAATACAGTTATTTGCATAAGTGCAATAAGAATCTGTTTTCATTTTGCAACAGGACACAATTGGAGAAACTGGTTATTTTACCAAGGCTTTGACTAGAATGGTGTCTTTCCTTTAAGTAATAAAACTTGACTTATAAAGCCAATAAAGCCCCTTGGGAAACTGGCCTCATACCTTCACTGTACAGGGTTCCTGACCTGTGGTAAGTAAAGAATGCCACTTTCTAACTGGCCCAGGAGCCCCAAGTTCATCTTGGAACTTAAAGACGAAAGGATCACTCAACTCATAGATATTTGATTGCACAATTCTATGGCTTGGCTTGGTTTCAAAAAACTCTTATCTGAGATTCCTTCTATGGAACAAAGTTCCATCAAAGCCAATTTAAAAGCCCACGTTAAAAACAATTATTCTTGCTGTACTGTATACAAGATATTAGGCCAAGTACAATAAAGCAAATCAGTCATATCATGATTTGCTTTTAGTAAAAATGGGTAACTGGAGAAAGAAAAATTATGTTTCAAAAACTATAGTACGGCTATTGTTAGATTCTTAGTCTTGCTGAATGTTTTTCAATTTTATTATTTTCTACACTTTGGATGGAATTCTAACTTTTCTTGGCTACAAGTTCTCAACTTTGTTTTTCCCATTTTTCCTAATTTGGAGTTACTGGAAACTAAGCTGTACTTTTGTAAAGCCCTGCAAACTAAGCTAGAAAACCTAAATTCAGAAGAAAGTAATGGCAATCTATTTACGTACATATACCACTTTCATACTGTCTACTGATGCATGGACTTTGGAGTAATGTGGGCTATATCAATTTTCCAGAATTGTTATTTTGTTTGTTGTTGTTTTTCTCCCTTCCTCCCCCTATTTTATCTTCGCAGAACATGAGACTTCACAACCTTCTAAAAATGAGCTTTCCTAATAACTCAATACCTACCTGTCTAGGAATAAAACATCCTAGTTATGAGAGTTCAGATGAAACCTGGAAACAGAGACTCATTTTCTTCTAAAATGCTTTATCCAAAAGATTTTAAAAAGGAAAGGGGGGGAAGTGTGAAAGAAAATTATATTGGGCCCCCAAAATCACTAAACTAAAGGGAAAAGTGAAGCTTGGAACTGTTTAGAGCAAACCGGCCTCCCATTCTATTCAAAGTTATCCTTCTGTTCAGTGAAATAAATTCGTATCTGATTGCCTCCTTTGGAAAGGCTAATCAGGAACTTCAAATAATTCAACCATTTGTCTTGTATCTACCTACGACCTGGAAGCCCCCTCTCCACTTTGAGTTGTCCCACCTTTCCAAACCAAACTAATGTTCATCTTAGATATGTTGATTGAGGTCTGATGTTTCCCTAAAATAATTAGAACCAAACTATGCTCTGATCACCTTGGGCACATGTCATCAGGACCTCCTGAGGCTGTGTCATGGGCACACATCCTCAACCTTGGCAAAATACACTTTCTAAATTAACTGATACCTCTCTCAAATTTTGGGAATTCACATTATCATATCTAATACTGTTCATTTTCTTGAATTAATCTAGATTTCTATTTAAAAATATTTTCCCTCTTTCTGAAGTATTTCCTTTAGAAATAGCATAAAAGCCGGAAGAAATGACATAGAAATACAGCGCTATCAGTTTCTTATATCAGAAGTGTCATAACATTACTTTAAGGAAGATGGCAATAAGTGTAAAGGTTTATACTATAAAACCTAAGGCTGAAATATTAATTTATAACATAGAAAAGTATAGCTAATATTGAAACAAGGAAATGCAATGATACCATAAAAAACACTCAATTAATTTGAAAGAAGATATATTTAAAAAGAGGGACAAACTACTAGGTCCTTAAAATAAGCAGGCAGATAATGCAGGGTTTTTAGTATCTGTTAATATTTTGGATTTTATTCTAAGTCAGATAAGAATGTCCTGAATGGTTTTCATCAGAGAGGTAATCCAATAAGATTTACTTTACTAAAAATAATAAAGAAAGAAAGAAAGAAAGAAGAAGGATGAAAAGAAAAAAGGATGCAGTGGTTGCCTGAACACAATACAAAATCTTCGCTGACTGCCTTGAGATGGAATTAATAGGGAGGCAGTTTCAATTTGGGAGATATGCTAGCAGGCTACTTTTATAAATAGACTAGGGTAAATGTCTTCACTAACAACTCAACTAACATAATAAATGCAACAGATTCCTGCTGTGTCTACACATTTTCTATCGAAATTAAAGAATAATTTGATTCAGGGTATTCTTAAACTAGAATAGCTGCCCTGCCCCTGGGTGTTTGCAGACTCTTTTATACATATTTGAACTAACAGCACTCACATTCACACAACTTGCAGTGAAAAATCCTTCCATACCTGTTAGGTGCCTGAGGCTGAAGACCTTCTCCTTCTGGTAAAGAAATTAGCTTCTTTAGTATGTATAATACCTTAATTTTAATTAATAGAAAATAAAGTGACAGAAGAAGTTTAACAAATTATTGAAAGATAGCTTTCAACATCCATTTCATTACAAATTTAAATTTGATCACCATTTTCAGACTTTCCTTTTAAGCCATGGCAGAGTAATGAGTAATGACTTAATCTCTTGCCTTAAGCATATCAACAAATTGACAAAATATATTTAAAAAATAGATTGCAGACATTGGATAATATGCAGCACTAGATAGTGGTTGTGAAAGAATAAAAAACAAGGTGAGCCCTCCACTTTGCTAGTTTAATGCCTAGAAAGAGTGTCCAGGCCACATTACTAGGGAAGGTCATCCAAACAGAGCAGGATGTCTTCCTGGACTGGAGAGACAGAGGGAAGATTTTCAAGCCACAATGGCATTCGGAGTTTACAGAGTAGATAACTGTGAACTGTGTGGAAATTAGATTATTGCTCAGAGTTCAGGAAGCTCAGGAGACCGGCAAAGCATTCCCTTCTAGACTTCAATTGAGTAATTATCAGCAAATATCTGTGACTACATAGCACAAGGCAGAAAGAGGGTGTTGAGAGGATACACCAGAAACAAGAGTCTGGAAAAATCATAAGAGATCGTAGAATTTGGAATAGTTTGTGTTCCACTAGCAAGGGTTGAATAAACTTGTAATATGTGGGGCATCAAGTAGAGTACTCAGAATTCTATTGCCTCATTAGTAGGCAAAAAAGATTACACCTAAAGACTGTTCTTGCCCTACTCATCTGATGATTAAATGTAAGCCTTGAAAGATTTATAATATTTTTGAGTAACTTCACTGTGTCCCAAAATGGAAATAAAATGTGTTTTTTAAATTACAAAATATCCAGCATTCAAAAAGATACATTATAGACTATCTGTACCCCAAGCATACAAATAAGCAAGAAAATGTAGCCTATAAGCAGATAAATGTTAATTGGGCAGGGGATGGTGGCTCACATCTGTAATCCCAACACTTTGGGAGGCTGAGGCAGGCAGATTGCTTGAGGTCAGCAGTTTGAGACCAGCCTGGCCAACATGGTGAAATACCATCTCTACTAAAAAATACAAAAAATAGCCATACGTGGTGGTGCATGCCTGTGATCCCAGCTACTTGGGAGGCTGAGGCAGGAGAATCCCTTGAACCTGGGAAACAAAGGCTGCAGGGAGTCAGGATCCCGCCACTGCACTACAGCTGGGATGAAAGAGCAAGACCCTGTCTCAAAAAAAAAAAAAAAAAAAAAAAAAAACTTAAAAAAACTTAATCAAAACTAACAGAGAAATGATAAAATCTTATAATTAGTAGTCAAGGGTATTAACAAAGTTATTATAATCATATTTGACAGTTCAAGAATGAGGAGGAAAGCATGAGATGTTAACAACAGAGAATATTGGAAAAACAAAATAAAACACCCAATCAAACTTTTGGAGAAAAAAAATATAATTTCTTGGCTAAAAAGTGCACCGGAGGGTATCAACAACAGAACAACATGGAAGAAAAGGTAAGTGAACTTGATGACACAGAAAGGAAAACCATGAAAAATGAAACAAAAGATTAAAAA
This sequence comes from Homo sapiens, assembly GCF_000001405.40. Classification (NCBI taxonomy): domain Eukaryota; kingdom Metazoa; phylum Chordata; class Mammalia; order Primates; family Hominidae; genus Homo; species Homo sapiens. The sequence continues at coordinate 32,820,778 of NC_000004.12, read as the reverse complement.
GACAGAAAAAAAAAGAACGAGAATAGAGCATCAGTAAGCTGTGAACAATTTTAAGTTGGCTAATATACATGTAATTAAAATTCTTATAGGAGAAAGGGGCGCAGAAAAATATTTGACAAAAGTAATGGACAAAATGTTTCAAATTTTATGAAATTTGTTGAAAACTATGAACATATACATTCAAGAAACTGAAAAAAACTACACGCAGACAAAATAAAACAAAAAATGAAGGCTATTACGTGAAATCACTAATATGACATTGCTTAACAAAAGAAATAATAAGAAAATCTTAAAAGCAGCCAGAATTAGAAAGACAGATTATTTACAGACAAATAAAGAATGACAGAATATTCCCATTCAGTCTTAACAAGCCAGAAGAGTCATACAATGCCTTATTATTCCATACTCAGCAAAGAAAAAGAGGAAGAAAAAAAGGAAAAGTTAATACTTTCCTATATCTTCAAAAGCTGAACAAATTTATCTTGAGTCAAGCTATCAGAAATTTTGAAAGACATCTCAGGCAGAAAGAAAATGATTTCAGATAAAAATCTGGATTCATGTAAATGAATGAAGATTCATAGAAAAGCTAAATATGAGTGTAAATATAAAATATTGTATTTTCCCTTTACAAAGCTCTTTTAAAATAATTGTTAAAAGCTAAAGAATTAGCAAGTATTGTGGGTTTTATAACATATGTGTAATTAACATGTATGACCATAGTAGCACAAAGTCCAGAAGAGTGAAAATGGAAGAATTATGGGATTAATTTCTTACATTGGAGTATAAGAAGTAGTATAACATTACTTAAGGTAGACTATAATAAAGATATTTAGTATAAAAACTATGGCAATCGCTAAGAATAAAGCACAAGCAGACATAATTAAGGAGCCAAAAATGACATAAAATGGAGTCCTAAAAATAACCCAAGAGTGCACAGAGAAACAAAACAGAGAATAACAAAGAATAGAAGTCACAAATAAAAGAAAAGAAGCAATGTGGGAGATTTAAGCTCAAATATAAAATAATCACAGCAAAATATATATGGTCTAATTACATCTAACCAAAGCAGAAGTTAGATCAGATATAAAAGCAAGATCTAAGAAACTCACTTTAAATGTGAATAATTAAGTTAAACTTTTAAATGTGGCACAAATTCCAAGAGAGTGGAAATAGAAAACTGGGGTTAGATTCTTGCACTATACGATAAGAAGTAGTATAACATTACTTAAGGTAGACTATAATAAAGCTATTTAATAAGTGGGAAAATATCTACAATGATAATACTAATCAAAAGAAGTCTAGAATGACTTATATTAATATCAAAGTTAGACTTTAGATTAGATAATATTACTAGATATTTTTAAAAGTAATTTTATAATGATCAATTCATTGAGAAGACATAACAATATTAAACTTCTATTCACCTAATAACAGATGTTCATAATACATGAAGCAAAAATGATAGGACTGAAAGGAGATATTATTAATTTATAATTAATCAAAGAAGTAAACACTCTTCTGTCAAAAATTAGTAGAATAAGTAAACAGAACTTTGTAAGAATTCTGATGACTTAAACAACACCATAAACCAACTTGGATAAAGTGACACCCATAGAACACTGTAACCACTGCACAATAACAGGAAAGTGCATATAAGGAACATTTACCAAGATATACAGTTGTATAGCCCAGAAAATAAGACTTGACAAATGTATAAGTATTGAAGTTATACAGTGTGTGTCTTTTGACAACAATGAAATGCAGTTAGAGATGATTTACAGAAAGATGTCTAAAACATCTTAAATTATTTTAAAATGAAGTGACATGTGTCTAAATAACTCATTTGTTAAAGAAAAAAACACCAGGAAAATGAACAAGTCTATGAAATTAAGTAAAAGTAAACACAATAAATTAAAGAGAAATTATAGCACTAAATATCTATCTTAGAAAAGTTCATAAAGCAATGATATAAATTTCCACCATAAATAATGAAGGCCAAATTAAGGGCAAAATAAAGTGAAGAAAGAAATTCGTAATTGGTATGTTTTGGAAGTTTATCCCCATCAAATTTCATGTTGAAATGTGATTCCCAGTATTGGAGATGGGGCCTAGTGGGAGGTAATTAAATCATGGGGATAGATCCCTCTTGAATAGTTTAGCACTATCCCCTTGATGATAAGTGAATTCTTGCTCAGCTAGTGCATGAGAGATCTGGTTGTTTAAAAACATCTGGGACCTCCCTCTTCTCTCTCTCTTGCTCCTGCTGTCACTATGTAAGGCACTACTCCCCCTTTGCCTTCCACCATGATTAGAAGCTTCCTGGGGATCACCAGAAGCTAAGCAGAGTACCACACTTCCTGTACAACCAGCAGAACCACAAGACAAACTTCTTTTCTTTACAAATTACTCAGTCTCAGATATTCCTTTATAGAAACACAAAAACAGACCGACACAGAAATAAAGAACAGAAATCAGTGAAATAGAAAACAGAAAAATGATGTAAAAAATCAATAAAACAAAAGCTGGCTGTTGGATATCAATACAATTGATAAACAACTAACTTTCCTATACAGGCAAAAAGAGAATACATGAATTAAGATTATCAGGAGTGAGAGGGAAGACATAACTACTGACGTTACAATTGTAATAGGGCAATACTATTAGCAATTTTAAGTGGGTTTTATTCATATTATTGTTTCAAGGTTTGGTTTATAAGATTGAATAATAGCTTGGACTTAGAGACTGAGAGAAAAAAATTCAAAAGTTAAATCCATAGATTTTTTACTTTAGGTATTTGTAAATGGCACTGAGATGGGAATTAGGGCTGAGACATTTTGTTAGAAAATTAAGAAATGCCTTTTAGAAATTATTAAGTTTGAGATGCCTATGTAACATTTAATTAGAGATGTCATACAGACATTACAATGATCAAGAAGTCAATTGCGCATAAAATTCTATAGTTAAGAGAAGATGTAACTTGAGACAGAATAATTTTATATTCCATATGAAAATAGCATAGCTACAGTTAGTCATCATTTCTTTGACATATAAAATCAAATACAGAAAAAGGAAATAAAACACAGCTATTTTAAATATTTAACAATTTTTGATTTAATAATCTAACAAAAAGTAATTATCGATTATTATCTTACCTTTAAATGTTTGGAGTACCAAAAATTGTAAGAGACAAGGAAGTACCATAAACTCTGAACATTTTTGAAATTACATGGAGCCGCTAAAGATTGAACAAAAGTAGGAAGCTGGCAGAAATAAGATGGCTAAATCTCTGATAGAAAATAATCATTATACAGACACCTGATGGGGATTATTTAAATATGAGAGTCAAAGATGTGGAACCTAATTTCTGCCTATAAACACTGCTCATATCTCTGAACCATATATGTGCAAGACGGATACCAGCTAAAGTTTAAACAAACTTACGGGAGGTTGGAGATGTCATTTAAGAGTGAGAGAGAGTATTCAATGTGAGTTTATTTACAAAAACTGCCTGCTTTTAAGCAAAATGATTAACATTCTTCTGAGGAATATAACAAAATGTACTGTGTATTATAATATTCAAAATGTTCAGAATACAATAAAAATACTCAGCACAATGAGAATTAGAAAAATATAACTCAAAGCCAATCAAAGGGAAAAAAGAAACCCATGATGACCCAAAAGTTAATATTAGCAGACAAATATTTAAAAATACATATTTTAACAATGAGGTAGAAAAATATAGAGAGATAAAAAAATCTCAGCAGAGAAATAAAAACTATTAAAAGATACGAATGGAAAATATACAAATCTCTGACATTTCTTTGTTGTGGATTAATGAAGGATTATAAAAGCAAATATTGCCCCAACCTATTTTTATGTCTACAGGTTACCTATGCCTTGAGATATAGTCACTAAAATATACAGTTATTTTAAAATTATCCTTCTCCTAACAAGAAAAGATGCAACAGGTCAAACTGTTAAGGAAGTTTCTTAAAAAACAAGACAAATTTCCAATACAAATATTTTATATTTGAAACAGCTAAGTTATTTTGCAGTATTCAATATAGTATCTCTCTATGTCACGGCAACTATTAATGCAAAATGATCTCTTGTTTAGGAAATATAAAGAGAATACAATGTTTTCAGTCTGCCCATAAATGCTTTGTATGGTAATACATGTATAGTAATCACAAAATAAATGATAAATACATGAGTAAGTGAAATTATAATTCTGTCTCTTAGAGAATTATCTGTAGAAATACAATCTGTGATATTAGCATGTACTGTAAACACTGAAAAAATGCATCGCATATTGAATTTGATAAAAGGAACATCTAAGCATAACAGTCAAAAATATAAAAAAAAGTTAATTTGATTTTTCTCTCACTATTTCTACTGGGAAACAGAAATTATACAAATAAAACTACTAGTAAATGCGGAGCAAAATGAAAAGGAGATTCATAGATGTGCTACCATGAAGCTACAATGTCAGATACATTAATAAATACTATTTTATAATGTCAAAATAGGGTGCTTTAAATTGTTAAGTAATATACCTTAAAATATCTTATATCTATCCTGTAGGAAAAGGTTTCTCGACCTAGAGTATGATTTAAAATTATGCCTAAAATTCATAAAAATAGTCCTATTTGCAATAAATTAAATTAAAAATAATGAACTGTATAATGACAGTATTGAAAATGATTTAAATTACTTTCTAAATCAAGGGGAAATATAATCAAAATTCAGCAAAATATATTTGTTCATTTTTATCAGAACTTTATAATTTCTGTTAGCCTGGCAGATATTATTTTCTGAAAAAATGATTTGTCGCAAATTGCCCCAAACACAAACCATGCTAATTTTTGGCTTTGGTTAATTAATCTGCAATAGCAAATGAAATGCTAATCCAAAACTTTTCATCAGGTGAATTTCTGTGTAACTCCCTGATTTGAAGAATTGGCACAGGAAAATCCATTGCCATGGGGAAAAATTATATAACCAAGAGTGAAGGGAAAAATCATTTTAACGGTTTCATTTTGGACTCAATCTCTTCATACAGATACTTTTTAAAATTTACTGACACATTTATTTATTTACCATAGTGTTATTTAGCAGCTACTATGTGTTAGACATTATTCTGGGGATAGATAACAAAAACAATCTTTGCTCTCAAGTACAATACATTATTATAATGGAAGAAAATAAAAACAAACCTGTTATACATATATACCCACACACGTGCATGCATATATATACACATATATGATATATAAGATATTACATATGTATTTTATATATTATATATACATGTACTATAATATATATTGCCTAATATAAATAAATATATTTATTATAAACATATATAATATATAATATAAATATATTTATATTTAAAAATTTTATACATAGATAAAATATATATTCACCATCAAGTGGTGATACCTTTTATGGAGGAAGAAGTAAAATAAGCTTGGAAGAGAGAGAAATAACGTATTTGTTGTGAATATTGAGCCTTCTTACACATTGTTTCTCTTTTCTTTTTCTTAGCACCTTGCCTGTTTCAGGTGGTTCCCTTATACTTTTGGGCTTGGCTGAAATACTGCCCCCATGATGGAAGAATCTAGATTTCTAAGAAGTCACTGAGGGGCCAGCTGATGATACTGAAAAGCATGAAGGAAACAGCTGTTCACTGAGTGAGAATTGACAAGCTTTGAAGATAATCCCTTTCTCTCTCTCAAGGTTAACTTCAAGAGCCTTTCCCTCTCTCAAGGTTAACTTCATCCTTGCACCTTTTCATGAAAAATTTAGTTCATTGTGACTACACATCAGTGAAACATTTTTGACAATTTTAACTCCTTGCAGTGAATGTCGTAAAGAATCATATTTCCTCGCTTCTTTCCCTCTTTTTTCTTTCTCCACTTTTCTCTATTTCTCATTCAAACCACTCGAGGCTTACGAATTGCAAATAAAATGTGGGCACTTTCATCTTTACTTGAGGCTCTGCTTTCCAGCCATTCCTACTTCAAGTATGAATTAGGAACAGCATCTCGGAGAAATCCGTTAAAAATGCAGAATCTCCGCTGGGCGCAGTGGCTCACGCCTGTAATCCCAGCACTTTGGAAGGCCGAGGCAGGTGGATCTCCTGAGGTCAGGAGTTTGAGACCATCCTGGACAACATGGCGAAACCCCGTTTCTACTAAAAATACAAAAATTAGCCAGGCGTGGTGGCACACTCCTGTAATCCCAGCTACTCCGGAGGCTGAGGCAGGAGAATTTCTTGAACCTGGGAGGCGGAGGTTGCAGTGAGCCAAGATCGTGCCACTCCACTCTAGCTTGGGTGACAAAGCGAGACTCTGTCTCAAAAAAATAAAACTAAAAAAAAGGATGCAGAATCTCTGGCCTCATCACATGTCTACTAAAATAGAATCTTCAATGTAACATGATCCCTAGCTAACATGTATGCATATGCAGAGTTTATAGTACTTCCTTGTCTCTTACAATTTTTGGTACTCCAAACATTAAAAGGTAAGATAATAATCGATAATTACTTTTTGTTAAATTATTAAATCAAAAATAATTAAATATTTAAAATAGCTGTGTTTTATTTCCTTTTTCTATATTTGATTTTATGTGTCAAAGAAATTGATGACTAACTGTAGCTATGCTATTTTCATATGGCATATAAGATGAGACACAATGCTGGTCTACATAACTTTGTGGCAATAGTATACTGAGATAAATACAGAAAGTGAGAGTAAATGCTTAAAAACTTTTATAGCAATTTTATATTATCATACAATTATTACTTTATTTTACAAATGCACCTTTCTGCAAAACATTGAATTTTTAAAGAGCTGTTTCTTCAATGTAGGTAACTCATGAAGTCTTCTTCTGGAAGACCCAAACTACGTAATTGATTTCTGTCTTGATAAGGTATTTAAAGATAACCATATTGATAATATTACCAGAGATTTAAAGGAGATAAAGGAGTTAGCGGTGCATACAACTGAGAGGAAAGAGTTCCAGGCCAAAGAAGCAATAATTATAAAGGTCCTGATTCAAAAGTGTCATTCTGGTTGATTTCAGAATAATAACAAGGAGGTTGTATTGACTGGGACAAAGAGTTAAAGAGGAATTGGGGAGAGAAGGTCAGAAGTGTGTTTGTAACTGTTTGCATGTGTATGAGGGCTGGATCCACTTTCTCTGGGTCTTTGTGGGACATGCTAAGATTTCTCACTTTTTATTCTAAGTGAGATGGAGGAATTGAAGTGAGGAAAGATATGATTAATTTGCCATTTAAAAAGATAACTCTGTTAATTCTTTTAGGAATAGAATCAATGTAGGCAAGATCGGAAACAGGACGAGTTAGGAGATGGAGACTATTGGAATGATTCAGGTGAGAGTTGAGGGCATCTGGTATCACTAAAACCTATAACAAAGAATAAGCTGTGAAGTGGATGAGCACTGAATGCACATTAAGGTTAGTGCCAAGAGAAAATTAAAGAAAAACGTAAGTTTTCTGCCTGAGCAATTGGAAAGATAGAGTTGCCATTAACAAAGGTGAAAAGAGCAGGTTTGACTCACAAGATATATCCAAAGTTCTGCCCACACACTTGTAAAACTTTAATGTGCAATAGTAAAGACAAATGCATCTATTGACTGTAGAAATCTTATAGTCTCATGATGCCTTATGAGCACAAGTATAAAAATGAAAACAAAGATGATATATTAGAATGCAGGTAACAGCGTTGAAAGAAAGTCTTGAAAGAATTTCAGACAAAGGTTAATATCCCGATTATATCATTTACTAGGTGAATCACATTATACCATTTGTTAATCTGAGTACATAGTTTCAGTTTTAAAATGGGCATATTATTTACACCTTAGATATCTTAGAAAAACTAGAATTACTTATCATTGGTATAACTGGCATTTAGTACATTCTGTACCACCATAAAAGGAGCAAAGGAAAGTAAATTAGATATGTTGACTCTTAGGAACTTGAAAAATATGAGTGAGGAAATAACAGTTGGAATTGAAAGCACCACTTACCTTTCATAATCCTCTTAAAGGGATAAAATAAAAACAGGTGTGTTTTAAGTTTCTCATAGATTTCTCCTACTATAATTTCCAAGTTTTTTTTAAGCTTTTCCTGTGAAAATTCACACTCTGTCTTTTGTGCCCTTATTACAAAATGTTATTTTTATGGTTTGTTAATCACTGCACTGGGAGTTATGAAGATGCTAACCTCGGCATTTGAACATTATCAAATACTTGAACATTTCTTAACTCTGTTTCTTCAACTCTGAGGTACTTAGAATAGAGTATATTTAGGACTCCTACCAGTTCATAATAAACTGTATGATTTGAAAAGTAAATAAGTATTACAAAAGAACAATCAGTAGTTTGTAAAGACTGGTTTCTTCAGCATTGTATAGTTAGAGAACTCTTCCTGTATAGACTAATCAGGCTGTCTAAAGGCGATGTGCTTCTTAGAACTTCATAGTGCTCAACTCAGACATTTACCAAATATTTTCTGTAGCTGATATTGTTGGCCTTCTATAATCATAACTACAAAAAAGTAAACAGGTTTCCCTCAGTGCAGTCCACGGAGATTGATTCATTCAGAAACTTTAATATTTGAAACTCTAAATAAATTTACAATTATCTTAAAAGCAGAGAGATAGAAGTAGGTATCACTCTATCATTCATCACTTACATGAAACCTATAGGAACAAAGCATGCATTTTGTATGTATGCATATTCAACACCTATTTATTCAGAATATTAAGGGTATATAAAATTCAAAATGAAGGTATTTTCTGGCTAATGATGTCATACGTGTCATCCATATGTCATTAATTTCAAGAAATCAGAAACAATACAGTGTACTTTGTGTAAAAATATACTTCAAATTTATAAGTATAATGTATGTAGACTGATGAATCAGGAGCCATTTTAAATTCTTTTCACAACCCTTATTATTAATATAAATAATCTGTCTAACCTTTGTCAATGAAAGATAGTATGGGAAAGAAAAATCTGGCTAAAGGTGATATATGACTATTTAAAAAAACACAGAAACTGTAGTTAACCAAGTATCATTGAGTTCTACTTAGCTGTCAATGATACGACTGATTATTTAAGAACTGAGTTTCAGTACAACAGGAGTTAATTACTAATGAGATTATTGTTTTAAAGGTTCATGTCTCTTTATATTTACATAAATGGTAGTTATCCAGTAATCAGAGACTCTCTTTGACATGCTTTGGTTCTGTGTCCCCATACAAATCTCACCTTGAATTGCAATCCCCATAATCCCTATGTGTCAAGGGCGGGACCAGGTGAAGGTAATTGAATCATGGGGGTGGTTTCCCACATGCTGTTCTCATGATAATGAGTGAGTCTCACGAGATCTGATGGTTTTATAAGCATCTGGCATTTCTTCTGCTTGCACTTTGCCTTCTTGCTGCCTTGTGAAAAGGTGCCTTGCTTCCCCTTCCCCTTCTGCCATTTTTGTAAACCTCCTGAGCCCTCCCAAGCCATGCTGAACTGTGAGTCAATTAAACTTCTTTCTTTTACAAATTAGACAGTCTCAGGTATGTCTTTATAAAGCAGTGTGAGAATGGACTAATAAAGTAAAGTGGTACCAATTGGGTCAAGTGCTGCCATAAAGATACCCCAAAATGTGGAAGTGACTTTGGAACTGGGTAACAGGCAGAGGTTGGAACTGTTAGGGGGGCTCAGAAGAAAGTTGGAAAATGTTGGAAAGTTTGAAACTTCCTACAGACTTACTGAATGGCTTTGACCAAAATGCTGATAGTGATATGGACAATGAAGTCCAGACTGAGGTGGTCTCAGATGGAGATGAGCAACTTGTTGGGAACTGGAGTAAAGGTCACTCATTCTATGCTTTAGAAGAGAGATTGGTGGCATTTTGCCCCTGCCCTAGAGATCTATGTAACTTTGAACTTGAGAGAGATGATTTAGGGTATCTGGCAGAGGAAAGTTTTAAGTGGCAAAGTGTTTAAGAGGGAGCAGAGCATAAAAGTATGGAAAATGTACAGCATCATGATGGGATAGAAAAGAAAAACCCATTTTCTGGTGAGAAATTCAAGGCAGCTACATCAATTTGCATAAGTAACCATGAGCTAAATGTTAATCACGAAGACAATGAAGAAAATTTCTCTAGGGAATTCAGAGACCTCCACAGTACCCCCTCCCATCACAGGCCTGGGGGTCTAGGAGAGAAAAATGGTTTCCTGAGTTCATCCCAAGGGCTGCCTGCTGTGTGCAGCCTCAGGACATGATGCCCTGCATTCCAGCTGCTTTATCTCTCGCTGTGGCTAAAAGGGGCCAAGCTAGAGCTCAGGCCATTGCTTCAGAGGGGACAAGCCCCAAACCTTGGCAGCTTCCACATGGTGTTGAGACTGTGGGTACACAGAAGTAGAGAATTAATATTTGGGAATCTTTGCTTAGTTTTCAGAAGATGTGTGGAAGCACCTGGATGTCCAGGCAGAAGTTTGCTGCAGGGTCAGAGCCTTCATGGAGAACCTCTGCTAGGGCAGTGCAGAAGCAAAATGTGGCATGTGAGCTGCCACACAGATTCCCCTAGTGGAGCTGTGAGAAGAGGGCCACTATTTTCCAGATCCCAGAATGGTAGATCCACTGACAGCTTCCACTGTGTGCCTGGAAAAGCCACAGACACTCAATGCCAGCCTGTGAAAACAACTGGGAGGGAAGATTTAGCCTGCAAAGCCACAGAGGTGGAGGTGCCCAAGGCTGTGGGAGCCCACCTCTTGCATCAGTGTGACCTGGATGTGAGGCATGGAGTCAAAGGAGATAGTTTTGGAACTTTAAGGTTTAATGACTGCCCTATTGGATTTTGGACTTGCATGGGGCTTGTAGCCCTTTGTTTTGGCCAATTTCTCCCATTTAGAGTGGTTGTATATATCCAATGCTGGTAGCCCCATTGTATATAGGAAGTAACTAAATTGCTTTTGATTTTACAGGTTCACAGGTGAAAGAGACTTACCTTGTTTCAGATGAGACTTTGGATTGGACTTTTGGGTTAATGCTGGAATAAGTTAAGACTTTGGGGTATTGTTGAGAAGGCATGAATGTGTTTTGAAATGTGAGGACATGAGATTTGGGATGAGCCAGGGGCAGGATGATATAGTTTGGCTGTGTGTCCCCTCCCAATCTGTCCTTTAATTGTAATTCTTATAATCCCCACATGTCAAGGGTGGGACCAGGAGGAGGTAATTGAATCATGGGAGTGGATTCTTCCATGCTCTTCTCACAATAATGAGTGAGTCTCATGAGATTTCATGGATTTATAAGTTTCTGGTATTTCCCCTGGCTTGAACTTCTCCTTCTTGCTGCCTTGTGAAGAAAGTGCTTTGCTTCCCCTTTGCCTTCTGCCATGATTGTACATTTCTTGAGGCCTCCCCAGCCATGCTGAACTGTGAGTGAATTAAACCTTTCTCCTTTATAAATTACCCAGTCTCCGGTATGTCTTTATTAGCAGCAAGAGAACAGATTAATACGCTCCTACTATTCAGAAATCCCTTCCTCTATTGTTATACCTCATAAGCCATTCTGGGAGATCAATATTTAAACTGAAATTTGTTAATAAAGCTAAAAACCAAAATGAGATACTTCATGACTAATTAGAGATTTGATTAGACATAGCAAGTGAAAAGTACAATGGCATAAATCTGCTTAGTGTCCTAAAATTTAAGCTCACTGAGAAGCAACAGTCTCAGTATTAAAATGATTGAAAATTTATTACTCTCTTTTTCTTTTTCTAGAGACAGGGTCTCATTCTGTTTCCCAGGATGGAGTGCAGTGGCATGATCACAGCTCACTGCAGCCTCGAACTCCTGGGCTCAAGATATCCTCCCACCTCAGCCTCCTGTGTAGTTGAGACTAGAGGTGAATAACATCTTGACCAATTGATTTTTAAGTTATTTTCGTAGAGACAGGATCTTGCCATCTTGTCCAGGCTGGTCTTGAACTTCTGGGCTCAAGCAATCCTCCCACCTTGGCCTCATAAAGTGCTAGGATTAAAGGTTTATTTCTTTTGAGTTGGTTTGCAATACACTTTAAGTGGTAATCTATTAGTTCTTAAGATACAAGGCAAATAAAAGGAGGCAAAATGTTTAAAGACATGAAAAATACACTAAATGCTTTTGTTGTTCAAGCACAATGCCCTTAATATATCTTATAAGTATTAGTCAACTTGTACTGTAAGTTTTAATATGCAGCCCAAAATTTCAGACTGATGAGCTCACATTTCACAATGATATTCCAGTTTTGGAATTACAAGATAATACAGACTTAAGAAGTAAATTATTTAGAGATGATTGATCAAGCATTGTCTTAGTGTGATACTAACATAAGGTTAGACATATAGACCAATCAAAAAGAATTTCGATTTCAGAAATAAACCAATATATCAATGGTCAGTTGATGTTTGACAAATGTACCAAAATCCTAGTGATTTTGGTACATTTAATCAAATAGGAGAATGAATAATCTCTTTAACAAATGTTACTGAAACAGTAAGATATGCACAAGCAAAATAAGACACTTGAATCCATACCTCACACCACGTAAAAAAATAAGACACTTGAATCCATACCTCACCCCATGTAAAATGGGTCTAAGACCAAAATATAAGAAATAAAACCATAAAAACATATGGGTAAATTTTCATTACATTAGATATGTCTATGGATTCTTAGCAATAACAAGAGGAAGAGCAACAAAAGAAGAAAAGTAGATAAATTGAACTTCATCAGAATTTAAAATCTTTGTACATCAAAGAACATTATCAAGAAAGTGAAAGGCTATCTTTAAAATAGGAGAAAATATTTGCAAACCATGTATCTGCTAAGAGGCCAGTATCTTGTTTATATAAAAACTCTTATTCAACAACAGAAACATAAGAAACAGTTAAAATGAGAAGTGGTCTTGAATATACATTTATATAAGAAAGATATTCAATGTGACTAATGAGCACATGAAGAGATGCTCAACAGCGTTCATCATTGGGGCAATATAACTCAAAACCGTATTGAGGTACCGCTTCAACCAACTAGAAAAACTATTATTTATTTTTAATGAAAAACAATTGTTGGTGAGGATGTGAAAAAATAGAACCCTTGTACATCACTGATAGAAATGTAAAGTGATTCAGCTATTATGAAAAACAGTTTAGCAGTTTCTCAAAAAGTTAAACAGGATTATCCCTCGACTCAATAATTTCATTCTTAGGAATATATCTAAAATAATTGAAAAGAGGTACTCAAACAAATACACATATACACATGTTCATTGCAGCATTATTCACAAGGGCCAAAACATCGATGCCGCCGAAAAGTTCAGTGAATAAAAAGATAAACCAACCATGGAATATAAATTCAATGAAATGTTATTTAACCATGAAAATCAATTAAATATTGATACATGCTCCAATATAAATGAACCTCAAATATACGTTAAGTAAAAAAGTAAAACATAAAGTATCGCATATTGTATTATTAAATTTATAGAAAACATCTAGAATAGGTGAAAGTATAAAGACAGAAAGCAGATTGTGATACTCAGGGACTTGGTGATGGCAGTGACAAAATGGTGAATAACTGCTTAATGGGCATGAGGTTTCCTTTTGAGGTGATGGAAATATGATAGAAATAGAGGATAGAACTAGAGATGCAATTGTGCTGTAAATGTACTAAATGCTCCTGAATTTTTTACTTTAGAATGGTTAATTTTAGGTTTTATAAATTTAATCCCAATAAAATATCTTAAAAGATACAAGGTGATCATTCTTTGAAATATTTAGATTAATGCTCTAAACAAACTAGCAATGAAAGACATTTGTCATTTGTATTAGTCAGGGTTCTCTACAGGGACAGAACTAATGGAATAGATGTGTGTGTGTGTGTGTGTGTGTGTGTGTATATATATATATATATACATGTTTATTAAGTATTAAGTATTAACTCACACGATCACAAGTTCCCACAATAGGCTGTCTGCAGGCTGAGGAGCAAGGAGAGCCAGTCCAAATTCCAAAACTGAAGAACTTGGAGTCCAGTGTTCAAGGGCAGGAAGCATCCAGCATGGGAGAAAGATGTATACTGGGCAGCTAGACGTGTTTCTCTTTTCACATTTTTCTGCCTGCTTATATTCTAGCTGCACTGGTAGCTGATTAGACTGTGCTCACCCAGGTTAAGGGTGGGTCTGCCTTTCCCAGTTCACTGACTCAAATGTTAATCTCCTTTGGCATCACCGTCACAGATACACCCAGGATCAATACTTTGTATCCTTCAATCCAATAAAGTTGACACTCAGTATTAACTATCACAACATTCTAACACATCTTTCAGTTTTTGAAAAATTGTTTAGACAAAATCCATTAGACTAATTAATTTTAATGATTTAACCAAAAGATAATTGGCTGACACTACACTTTGGTAATAGAGGAATGAACCTCCTAGTCAAGCTTTCACTGAAACAGAGAGATACATATATATATACATACATACATACATATTGCACCAAAGTTTTCAATATATTTCTCATGGTAGTAATAGTTTGGTTCTATTTTAAGAAGAGTACTAATCACAAAAACAAACAAATGTTGGGTCTCCAAAAATGATAACCCAAAATATTATACTTTGAAATGCTAAATTAAAGAAGCAGCTTTAAGGTCACCCTGACCTTCCTACTACACCCTCTGACCTCATCCTCTGTCTCTCCCAAAAAGCACAGAATGAGGCTGTTTTGTGAAGTTACCTCCTCTACACAGAAATGGAAGACTCTGAAAGATGAACACAGTTTGCTTTGATATTTTTTACTAAAATTGTATTAACTGGAGAAGATTAAAATTCCTATCAGTCAGAGCCTGAATGAATTTTATTTCACTCTTATCTATTTTCAGGTCCCATTAAATTTCCAAAGAGAAGTGTTTACTAACCATTGTCTAAACATTAGGTCCATTCATTCTCCCATAAAAATCATTTACTCCTTCACCTCATCTCCCCTCCACTATGAAGAAGGGTATATAAGCCTCTGTACCCTACTGGGTTATTGGGTAATCATGCTCCTGTGTTCCCCTCATGCTATGCACAATAAACACATCTGTATGCCTTTTCTCCTATTAATCTGTCTATTGTCAGTTCATTCTCAATGAACCTTCAGAGGGCAGAAGGAAAGCTTTCCCTTGGCTTCTACATAAACAAAACTTAAAGTAAGAAAGTGATTTTTTTTCCCCTGGAATCAAAGAGAAAACCAAAACTTCAGTTAAGTAATAGTTAAGAAAAAGAAATAATTTTATTTTATAATTTATATATGTTTTAAATATATTTGAAATGTAATATACTTTATATATTAATAAGCATTTATGTTTTGAGTTAATATAGTTTATTTTTATTATTTTATTTTTATTATCTTATTATTTTTATTTTTTAACCAGAAATGTTACATTTAAAACTCATCATAAGCCACTAAGTGAAAAATTGTGAAAATTACAAGGGGATGTATATAACCTGGCATTTATTTGTGGACAAATAAATGGCAATTGGGTTTTTAGTATCAACACCACTAGTTAACATCAATAAATGCTCATTGGATATTTGAGGTGTCTCCTTGTTATCCAAATGACTATATTGTGCAGACTGTTATGTGTGTGGTCAAACTGAAAGAAAAGAATAAGTTTGTCCAGTAAAACTGTATAAATTATAAAAAACAAAAGAACATCAACAATGTAAAGAATGGACAGAGGAGAATAAAGAACCTGGGAAGTTCACTAAGAAGTAAGAGCCAGAGTTGAAGAAACCCACCAACATAGTTCTTTCTGCCATGGCAGCCACAAGTCCTACATCATGAAGAGTCCACTATGTCACTTGAAGTTAAATACTATAATTAAATATGTCTACTTTTTTGTCAATCAGGAGGACATTGGTGACTCATAACAGTGGCATTTCAGCAGTTTGCTAGGGGGAGAGGCTAGGGTGCAGTGGATTAAGGATAAAGGACCCCCAAAAGAGGTCCTTTCATTCTGGTTATAATTGGTCTTCAGGGTGTCTTTCTTTCCAAGTTTTTAGCAAGATTAAGCCTCCTGGTTGAATAGGAGGGTTTATTCTTTCCCTTGTGGCAAGGGGCAATATTTTGTTTCCCTATGTTTGGAGGGCCTTTTGATCCTGGCCCAGGTTGATAATATGGCTGAGTATTCTATGTGTCTCTTCATCAAATAGGAGGTCTAAAGTTAAAAAGACCCTCCCATATGTCATCTCGAACTAAGTTTTAGAGTTCCCTTTGAGGCCATCCTTACCTATAAGTGGGCTATGAGTAGTAGAGAAACCAGGCCTATGGGTTCTCCTGATAGAGGAGTTTTTGAGTCTTGTTTTGAGTGTTCTTTTGGGTGTTGTTGAGTACCCCCACTGCTGTTAAACTTCATGGAATAACATGTTGAGTAGGCCGATCCAGGATTAAAACTGTTTCATATGAGTTGCAGGCACAGAAGGAGGACACAAACAACCTACATCTGTGAGCCTTTGAATGACCTCCGCTACCTGTTTAAAAGAATCAACACTCCAATCAAAGTCGTAATGTGATGCTGTGGGTGGGAATAAGAGCTTTAATTTTTTTCTTCTCTTTAATGTCTTTCTAAAAACAGGATTAGTTTTTTTCCACCTTACCTGAGGATTGAGGTCTCCAGGAGGAGTAAAGGTGACAGGGAATGCTGAAGGCTGAGGAAACCTGCTGGGTTACTTTAACTGAAAATGAGGGTCTATTTTCACTCTGCAGAGTTTTAGGTAATCCAAACCTTGGGATGATTTATTTAAGTAAAAATGTGGACACTTCTAATAGCTTTTCTGTACTTGTGAGGAAAATCTCTATTCACTTGGTGAAAGTATCGATGAATACTAGCAAACATTTTCGTCCCCTGTAGGGTGGCATCTGTATAAAATCTATTTGCCAGTCTTCCCTAGGATATGTTCCTTTATGTTGTACAGGTTTGAGTAGGGGAGGGGGGATGCAGTGTCTTCGGGGTCATTACAGGCAAAAAATTCACAAACCCTGGTGACACTCTTTGCAGTCTAGAATAGATTCCTTCCTAAAAAAAATTGAGAAAATAATTTCAATAGGGAATTCCATTCCAAATGTAAGGAACCATGGAGATACTTAACTATTTTCCATTGCTTAGCCTCAAGGAGGGTTTGTTGCTTCTTCATAACCTTCCTGAGGGGTCCTTTTGTAAGACTTTCTACCCATTTAATTTCCTCAGGGGTATAGTATGGTGTTGCTGACCTGGATGGAGTACCTGGCATTAATGAAGTGGACTGTATTACTGGTATTGTTTTAGCTGTGGCCTTAGTTGCTCTGTCTACCAGAGCATTTCCTTTGATAATAGAGGTCTCCCTTATGGTGTTCCCTGCAGTGAATAACCGCTGCCTCCTTTTGGAGCTGGACAGCATCTAAAAGTTCCAAGATCTCAGAATGATGTTGTATAGGGAATCCCTTACCCATTAGTAGTCCCCTTTCTTTCCGTACAGCCACATGAGCATGGTGCACTAGAAACCCATATTTGGAATAGGTAAATATATTGACTCCTATTTTTTTCCTAATTGGCAATCCCTAATGAAAGCTTTTGCCTCAATGACTTTTCGTTGGCTAACTACTGAATAACCTTCCTTTCTTACTCTTTCATGCATAAAACTACTACCATCTGTAAACCACTCAATGCTGGGAATAGACAGGGGCTCCTCTGAAGTCATCTTCTAGAGTAGGTCTGTTCTATGGTTTCCCCACAGGAGCGAATAAGTTGGGGATCTGTATCCTGGGAAGTGAAGTCTGGCAACAGGGTAGTGTGGTTTAAAGCTCGACATACTTTAAGGGTAACATCTGTGGCATAAGCAGAAGGGCCTTACATTTAAGTGCATGACTTCCTGTTAGCCATTGGTGTCCTATTGCTTCTAGGACCCTCTGTATTTGGTGTTGGGATTGGAGGTAGGTGGTTGGGTCATGACATATAATTGTTGTCCCTAGGTGAACTTACTGGCTTCTTCCATCAATAGAGCAGTAGTGGCCACAGCTCACAAACATCCTTGCCACCTAGCTGCCACTTGCTGTAGCTGTTTAGAAAAGTAAGCCACTGGTCTAGAGCTATTCCTGAGCATTCGAGTTGGGACATCCAAAGCCATCCCTTGTTTTTCAGCCACGCAGAGAGTGAAAGGCTTTTCTAAGTTAGAGAGTCCCAAATCAAAAGCTGTTCCTAGTTTGTATTTAAGGGTTAAGCATGCATAATGGCAGGTTCCATTCCAATTCAAAGGCTCATAATCACCCCTTTTAGAGATTCATAGAGTAGCTTTGCTATAAGCTCAAATCCAGGAATCCAGATCCAGCAGAATCTAGCCATTCCCAAAAAGGCTCCTAACTGTCTCTTAGCCTGAGGAGGCTGCAATTCCATAGTGCTTTCTTTTTGGGTTTTAAAATAACATGGACTTGGGGCAGATTCACAGCTCTACTGGGAACTTTCATGTCCCAAACACAAAGATCTACTTGAGATGCAATATGTGGTGGAAGGGAAGTCTTCTTATCTGTGTTAAGGCAAGCACACAGAGCTAGGAGAAGCATCACTTCCTGGACTGTTGCCTTCTCATGAGGCACCCCAAAACTGAATTGTAGCCCCTAATGGGGTAGAGGGATAGGGCACTCAGGCATGAGTAAAAACCTGTGGGAAAATATATGATCCCCCATGGTGCAACCAAGGGGGTTGGTGAACTTTCTAACTTTTGGCTGGCCATCAATTCCTCTTACTGTACAAGACTGGGAAGACAGTGGCCCTGAGAAATATGTTACAACTGAGTACGATTCTCCTGTGTCCAATACGTACGATTGGACTGAGTATGATTCTCCTGTGTCCAATACGTATTCTTGCCTGCTACATCAAGGGTTAATGAAGGCTCCTCTATGGAGATGGTAAGGTGTCCAGTGGGAGCTGTAGAGGACCTCAGGCCCCGTCAAACCTCTGCTTTCTTGGCCACTATGGGTCTGGGTATCTCAGGATCCCTCGTAAGCCTGGGGCAGTTCTCTTCCAGTGGCCTTCTTGCTTACATAAGGCACACTAATTTTGGCCTCAAGGCCAGCGAGTGGGGGGCTCTCATCTGAGTGTCCTAGGTGCTGATCTCACTCATTCCTTGAGATAAATAACTCTGAGGCAGCAGGGGGCCTAAAGCAGCCTCTAACAATTGTACTTTTAGGCCAATTCTTTGTATTTTTACCTCTTTTTCTGCCCTGTCCCCATTATTATAAACCCCAAAGGCAATGTGTAAGAGTTAGCTCATGGAGGTTTATGGTCCCAATGCTCCTTTTGTAGATTCCTCCTAATGTCAGAGGCAGGCCGAATAATAGAATGCACACCCAGAAGAGCTCATGCTTCTGAAAAGTCTGGGGCTATGTTAGTATATTTCCTGAGTGCCTCAACCAAGTGGCCCTGAAATAGAGTGGGATTTTCATCTTTCTCCTATTTCTCTCACCTTATTATAGTTAACGGGCTTCACCACACGCTTTTCCATATCATCTATTAAACAAGTTAGTATATGATATCTGCATTTAAGATTTTGTGATCCTCTCTGGAAATCCTGTCAAGGGTCTAGATCTAGAACTGCACCTCCTGCCACACAATAAATGTCATGGCCTGGGTTATGCATAGCCGCTCCATCTGCATGTTGATGATCAGTACTTAGAATTCTTTGTTTTTCCTCTATGGTGCAAGTGGATAATAATATTTGCATGTCATGCTAAGTCAAGTTAAAGATACCGTGAACTTATCAAACACCTTTACAAACTTCCCTGGATCCTCCAAAAACTGATCAAATTTTTCCTGTCATAAAGCCAGATCAGACATGGAAAAAGGCACCTATACTCATTGTTCCTCCATCTTTGTCAGCTATCTTCTGGAATGGACACAAGTTCAATTTGGGGGGCTGATATGGGGACCCAGTCCTGGCAGACTCATTGGGCTTACCTCTCAGGCAGTAGGGGATATAAGCCAGGGTTTGTTGGATAAGAGGAAGGGGTGTCTGATGATCCTGGGTGGAATCCTGTGCTGGAGGACTGGTGGAGCACCCCTCAGAACTAGGGGACTGAGGAGGTTCTGAATGAGGGGGAAGCATAGGCCTCCTAGGGGGAGCAGCTAGGAAGGGGTCATCTAGGATGTCCGGTAAAGCTTCTGGGTGCCTGGGAGTATCACGAGCCAGACACATTCTACAGCTAGCCTTTAGGTTAGGATCTTGGTAGAGGGCCATAAAATCCTGCACATCAGAAACTTCTCATTTTCCTTAATTTTTACAAAGCCAATGTAAGTGTACAATATCATTAGAACATAAAGAACCATGCCTAGGTCAATCTGTTGGCTTACCAATTTGTATTGCATCCAAATATTATTACAGTAGTAAATGAGTTTTCTTTCTTTTCAATTTGTCCAATAATTGGAATTTTCTCCATTTGTCTAAAGAACACCCCAGTGGCAAGACTTTTGGGATGCTTGCTGTTGTCCGCATGTCTAGTAAAGATCTCTACAGTGAGTTACAGTTAGCCTACATGTAGCAAATACTTAGTTACTTTTCCCTTCTAATTTCCCACTTTCTACAAAACATACATAGCAAGGTGTTACTAAAGTAGATTACCAGCTACAAAAGGGCAGTTGCATGTTGAGTCTAAATTCCACAGAGTGAGGGTTGGGCAGAGAGAGGCTAAACAAATAGTGACAGTGGAAGGGAGGAAGGGAAGGGAGTTAATAGTGCTCCCCAAGGGAAGACCTCAGGGGCTGTGACCTGTTGGAGAACCTACCCAGTATCAGAGACACCAAAAAAAGAAAAAAAAATCAGGTCTCCGCTTGTCTACCGCTGTATATGCCTATCAATCTGTCCAGGAGCCTGGGAACTCCCAGTTCCTTTGACCAAGAGGGACTTGAGCAAGGCAGTTGTGAGACAACACACAGAAAGGGGCTTGCAACTGGCTATTAGAAAAATAATATATCTAACTTCAAGGCATCAAAAGGCAAGACTGATACTTCCCTAAGGGGAAGGTATATAACTCACAATCCAAGAGAGAATTTCAATGCTGAATACCTCAGAGCATCCAGTGGTGGTTAAAACCAATGCTGAAAACCCAGAGTGCCTGAGTTTCAGCCAGTGAAGTTTCCCACATCAAATGCGAAGACCCCTGGGACACCCAAGGGGGTGGCTGACGGTGAACCCAAGACCAAGTTGCGGTCACCAAACAATACGACTGTAACATCCCAGAGCCAACAAAATGGGGGACCTCTCAAAACCAAGTGTCCTGCCTTAAACAATTGCCAAAACACAGGTAACACAAAGTTAAAAGCAAACAAGACTGCAAACAAAACATACATTTTAAAACTGAAAATAAAATGACTGATGGAACAGTAAAATGGAGTCAGAGGAGAAAGGAACAGGGGAAGGGGTGATGAGGACATGCTTTGGAGCACTCAAACCATGGGGGCTTCAAACTGATCACCTGGCCAAAGGCTTTTATTTTATTCCTTAGTTCTCCTGATACTATGGGGGTGGGGGCAGAGGGGACACTTACCCATCCACCAGAGCCAAATGGTGCTGACAATATTCCACATGGAAACCTGCATGATGATCTCTCCAGGATCCCTCAGCTTGGGTGGGATTAGCTGCCATGGTGAGAGATGCCAGCATGGAGACTGTAACCCACCAGTCTGCCAGTTGGAGCAGCGTGTTTCACACGAGGCAGTGGCACTATGGCTGCTGATGGGCTCAGCTGCAGTGGTGAGAGAGGCTGGCACAGGGGCTGGTTACCCACCCACCTGCTGATCAGCACTACAAGTCTCACACGAGACAGTGACACTATGGCTGCTTGCCTGTCTGCTCAATTCCCCTGTTGGCCAAGGAAAACGATGGCTCTGAAAAGAGCCTTTGGTTGGTGTTTTAGCTTTTAGGTATTAACAGCTCTGCTTCACCACCTTTCATCGTCTCCCAGCTTGTCGTGCTGCAGATCGCTTTTTCTTGCCGTCTTGCTTACTGCCATCCTGCCAACTTCCATACCACTGACTGCCAACCAGCCATTTACCAATGCCACCTGCTGATTGCCAACTGCCGACCCTTGGATCACTGACTGCTGCTTCTCTCACTGTGGTTTTGCTAACTGCTACTTCTCTTGCTGTTTCTCCTGCCACCATCTTCTCTCTTTGCCCCTGGCCAGGCACCACACTGATGCAGGGCCAACAAGCCACAAGGTGGGGCTTATCCTGCAAGGGTTCTGGGCTTGCCCAGGAAAGAAGACAAGGGTGAGCTGGTCATAGGGTAGGAAAAAAACGGCTTTATTAAAGTGGCAGTATTACAGCTCCTGAGGTGTTATAGCTCTGTGACTGCGCCTGAAGAGCAAGGCTACCCCACAGGTAGCATGCTGAGTGTAGCAGCTCAGGGCAGTTTTGCAGTCATATTTATACCTGCTTTTAATTACATGTAGATTAAGGGGTGATTTACACAGAAACTTCTAGGTAAGGTGTAGTCACTTTTGGGTAATCAGCTCATTGCCATGGAAAGAGACGGTAACAGCCCCCAACCCAGTGTTGCCATGGCAACGGTAAACTGACATGACACACTGGTGGGGGTGACTTATGGAGAGTTGCTTCCTCCCTATCCCTTTTTTAGCTAGTCCTCAATTTGGTCTGGTGTCCGAGCCCTGCCTCCAGAGCCGAGTCCCACTTCCTACCTCATAAGTATTTATTGTATAATGTGTCATATCCAAAATGCCAAATTCACCAGATCAAATGTATTATGTCTATTATGTCCCTACAAAAGCAGCAACACTAAGTTCAAACTTTTTTTTTCCATAAAATTTTGGGAATTCCTAAGTTTGGAAAGTGTTAATATAAATATAAACTGTGTCTTCATAAAACCCCCTGAATATTATATAAGATTAAGATAAATTGTTAACGGTTTAGTTGGTAGGATAGTGTTTAGTAGCTAGACAGGTAAGCCAATCAAAACTTGGGTTTTGTTCTTTTAATTAGAGCTGATTATCTTTGTAGGCTTGGATTAGTTAGAAAATATTTCTATTTCTCATCTTTTCAACTACAGTACAATGTGGATTTGAATATAATAATAGTAATCATCTTTATTTGTTTACTGAATGCATGCCACCAACTTGGATCACTGACTCAAGAATCAAGTGACGAAGTCCATTTTGTTACTTTCTTACAGCCTTGAAAATATCTTTCTTTGAGCATTTAATAAAATATGTATAGAATGCTCACATTATGTTACCTTCAGCGCCTCGTGAGAGGCCAACAGGGTCACTGGGTAGACTCAATGATTTCTCTTAGTCCCCTGTTCCCACCTGCAGTATCTTCTGGTTTCTCTTTTTAACCTTTGGCCAGTTGAAGAGGAGATGTTTATCTCTTGAATAATATCAGGCCCAATTATACTAGGCATTGGAATAGGAAAAAAAAAGTATGATATCTACACACAATCCAAAAGCCCACACAAAATCTTTTACCAAAGTTATTGATAAGCAAACAGAGAGAGAGAAAGAGAGAGAGAGAAAGAGAGTTTCAAATTCTCCATACAGTGTTAACCCTTGACCAATATAAAGGACATTTCTGGGGAAAAAACAAACAAACAAAAAAAAGCCTAGCCTCACAGCTGTGATTCTTATCACCTACTTAACAAAAATAAAGTCTACAGAACATTTTGTCTATTGAAACTTAAATGTTTTGTTCAATCAGCACCCCAAAATAAATAAATAAATACATAATAATCATGTTAAAAGAGAAAGCTGAGCTGTTTTGGTAGCTATTTTACTACAGAATACTAGATAAATGGGAGACAGAATTTTAATTAAACTCTCCCTAGCCTCATCAGATTAACAGTGTTTAAAGCCAGTTTATTTATTAGAAAGGTCTGTCTTAGCTTTTCTGGATTAATTTCAATCATTTACATTAGTGAAATCTTTAATCTGTTCTTTATTACAAATGGAAGGGGAGAGATTCACATCTATTGAATCAGAGATATAATCTTGGGTTTCAAGCTGGTGAATTATTTAAGCACAGGCATATTAACAAATTTAAAGACCTAGAGTCCTAGAACAATAATATATCTATTCTGACTTCATTTGTATAGCATTTTGTGTATTATTCTGTGTAATATTACAGCATCTAGAGGGATCATAGGCATGGATATGTGTCTGCATGTACATATGGCTGTGGGTGCATTTGGTGGTGCTGTGTTTGCCAAGTCTATAAATTTACATATATTTAATAAATCAGAAATTAAGGATTCCCTTTCCAGAGCTAACATAATTTGAGAAATGTAGGAATATTTTTGTTATTTTTACATGTAGCTAACACATCATTGAGCTTTTTATTTAATTTTCACCCTGAGGAAATTATCTAGTCCAACATTTATAAATGTTTCTTATAAAATTCTAAATCATAATTCACCACAGAGTACCCCTTACATTGCTCCCTTTATAATACACACTTATCCAAATGTTTATGTAGTTTACTGAAACCAATTATTGTATCAGATAGCACAGCTAAAGGCAGAGAATTTTTCCTCAGAAGAATCAAATATAACAGACACTGGATTAAACATGGAATCAATGATCTTATATTTGAGTCTCTTTCATTGCTTGTTTTGCTTTTCTTTCACATGATTTGGGGAAGCTATTTACCTTCTTTATGTATGAGATTCATCATTTTTAAATGGATACAAAAGATCTACTTTGTTTACAGGAGTGTTGCCAGATTGAAAAAAACAACTGTAATATAAAGCGCCATAAAACCATTAAAAATACTGCGTTGTAATGAATATCCCTGAGGGACTGTTCATGTTATTATTGGATGTGATTTTAAACAGCATATATGTTAACAAATATCTGACCAGAAAAATTATTTTTCAGTTTGTAAAAGATACCTGGGCCATATAAAATAAGAAGATACTATGTTATAAAATGTTTATATTCCTTATCATATACATCAATTTATTAATATTAGCTTGGCTGTACTCATTTAAAAAATGAAGGAACTGTTAAAACACAGATCTCTACAAGATACTGAGAAACATATTTATTTGTTAAGTGAATCTGATTTTTCACGAGTACCTAAAAGGGTCAAAAAATAGAATTCTAGTTTTCCTACTGTTCTACAACACTCTTTCAAATGTGTTTTCTCTTTTACTCTCCTGTGTCACCCTTTTTGTCCTTCCAGGTGCTAGCTGTGCAGCTTTGGGCAAATTAATTCCTGTTTTTGTGTTTCTTCATGTATGAAGTACGGTACTAATTTTACTTCATAGGTTGGTTTTCAGCAATATGTGAATACTGGAAAGCATTTAAAGTAGCATCTGGCAGCAAAGTGTTTAAGAATTTTAGGATAAATATTTGGAAATCAACCATGATATATTGCATTTAGTATGTTTTTAGCACCATTATTTTCAATTACATAAAGGAACACACTTTGCTTCTGATATATATAAGAAACTTTGTTCCAAAAATGTGTATGTGTGTGTTACTCTAAAAACATGTTTCACTCTGTTTCCTTAGGCTGTTGTTATTTTTAAATAGCTTACTACGTATGCTGCTCATTTGCCAATAATACGTTATTCTATGTTATGAGCAGCATAGATACCAGATACCATATAGGAGATGAAGTATCCAAGTTCTAATCTATATTTCTACTAGTTCTGAGTGTGATGTCTTTAATATAGTGGATTCTGATCTTTTTTCTGTAATTAATATTTTGAATTACAATATATACAGAAATAAATTAGTGCATTTATTTTAATAACACAAAATAATACTGGGATCATAGCTTGTTCTCATTAAAAAAGATGAGATTTTTCGGCAAGGAAAATAACTAATGAGCCATTTTTCTACATCAAATAAGTTGATTAATGGGCTTACACATTTTTCTTTTCACTAAGGGCCCTTAAAGAAAAAATATATTTAACCCAAATTTCTAAATTAAAGAATATTTATTACTTAATCTGCTGAGAACCTCAAAGTCATAATTATATTCTACTTTCTTCTGGTGAATTTTTAGTGTTTCCTATTTGTATACCTTAAATTATTCAAGTCTTTTCAAACAGAAGTTATGTTATATCATATTCTTTTAGAAATAAGCAATATATAGGAGTTCATTAATATGTCTTTTTCTGTCTTTTTTTCTTTTTTAAAGTACAAACAGAATCACTGATTCTGGGTGTCCTATACTAATATGACCTGATCCATAGTTAAATCTTTAATAAAACTAAGATCATTTTTCTCACTATCAAGAGAATTTAGTTCATGGTCTGTATAGGCCAGGAACATAGTCACTCAAAATATAATTATTGAGCAAGTTAGTGTGTAAACATTTAGGTCACTTAATTCTCAACATATTTTACATCATGAGCTATAAGAAACACCACTGTTGTATCTGTCTTTATTTTGTGAATGTCTTGAATTTATCTGAACCAGTCCAGTATTTCAGAACAAGTTCACTTGGTTTTTTCTCTTAATTCTTTCTCTGAGAAGGATATTCAGGCCCTGACGTGGAACCAGGAATTAGAAGTACACTGAGAAAATTTTACACCCGCATCAATCAGAATGATGGAGGAGCCAGGATTATAACTCCCCGAACAAGCTTATAGTTAAATATCCAAGTATGTTTAATTACTCCATCTCCATCTAAAAAGGGCAAGTCCCTCATCAAAAATAGCCTATCTCAAATGGAATCCAGATGTAGAGAAAAATGCAGAATGTTGTGCTAGTGTTCTTACTTTTCTACACACAGTTCTTCTTGAGGTGATGAGGTGGTTGAGGTTGGTAACCATGTTTTCAAATTCAGCATTCTCATTATGTATAATTAATCATCATACTTAGTGATTTTTCTTATCCTCATTATCAGACAAGACAGGGAAGACAACATAGGTCCACAAATAATTAATTTCTTTTCTTCTTTTTGTTTTTTTTTTTTTTTTTTGAGACATAGTCTCTCTCTGTCACCCATGCTGGAGTGCAGTGGCAAGATCTCAGCTCACTTCACCTCTACCTCCCGGGTTCAAGCTATTCTCCTGCCTTAACCTCCAGAGTAGCTGGGGTTACAGGTGCCTGCCACCATGCTAGGCTAATTTTTTTTTTTTTTTTTGTATTTTTAGTATAGATGGAGTTTCACCATCTTGGCCAGGCTGGTCTCGAACTCCTGACCTCAAGTGATCCACCCTCCTCGCCCTCCCAAAGTGTTGGGATTACAAGCATGAGCCACCGCACCCAGCCTATTTCTAATGAATATAAAGCAAGTCAGTGGGAAATTTATCAGTTTTGCAATTTCATCACAAATTTATTTTTCAAAATCCTCCTCATGCAATCTCATGTTTTGCTGTGCATATTTTCTAAAAACTAATTTCTAGTTTTCCTTCCATGTATAAGATAGCTGGATCATATTGCTTTTCCACTAACTACAATTGGTTGGATACATATTTTTAATGACAATTTAAAAAAATTGTGGGTACATAATAGGTGTATATATTTATGGGGTACATGAGATATTTTGACACAGGAATGCAATGTGAAAAAAGCACATCATGAAGAATGGAGTATCTATCCCCTCAAGCATTTATCCGTTGAATTGCACATAATCCAAATACACCCTTAAAGTTATTTTAAAATGTATAGTTCAGTTATTATTGACTATATCACCCTGTTGTGCTGGAAAGGGTCGTGGGGAACTTCAGGGAAGGTGGACATGGTTAACGAGTACAAAAAAGAAAGAATTAGGAAGAATTTATATATATTTTTCTCATTGTATTATCATAGTCAGGAGGTGGGTAGGTTGCTGTAACTTAGATAACCAGAATGGTTCTTTGCAAAATAACTATTGGCATCTCTATATCTGTCCAAACTTCAGTCATATCTTCACTCAGTTGCAAGAACATTCTTAATATTCTTAAGAATAAGCATTCTATATCCTCACCTTCTCACCATAGTGTTTCATTTACTCATTTCTCCTCATAGTCTGGCTGACCTATAGACATTTCTTAAATTTAATGACATAACTCATTTTGCTACTAAGTTTCTTTCTACAATAAAATACATTTATCCTCATAAATTCTTTACTACCTATAGTGGCTTGAATTGTGGTTCCTAAAAAGTTATGTCCACCAGGAACCTGTGAATGATGCTTTATTCATAAAAACAGACTTCTTATTGCTGTAATTATGTTACTCAAGATGAGATCATCTTGGATACAAGGCCAGTCTACCCTAAATTCGCTGAAAGATATCGTTATAGGAGAAAGACACAGGGAGATCTGAGACTCAAAGTCACAGGGGAGTAGGCCAGGTGAGGATGAAAGCAGAGATTAGACCTATGAGATTGAAAGCCACGGAATGCAAGAAACCAGGAACAGCTAGAAGAGGCCAGGAAGGATCCCCTCCTGGAGCTCTTGGAGGAAGGCTGGCTCTGCCAACCCCTTGATTTCAGACTTCTGGACTTTTCCAGAACTATTAGAGAATAAATTTCTGTTGCTTTAGGCCACTATATTTGTGATATATTTTTGCAACCCTAGGCGATTAATACACTGTCACTCATTGTGAAGATTCTTGAAAGATTGTGACTGAATATACATGTGTTAAAGATAACAAGGAAAACGATTACCAAAATTCAGACCATGATTCTTAGCAAACAACGATTTCTGAAATGATTTTTATATTAGTATATAATTATTTTATAGTTGTTAATAGTAAATCATGTGTATTTACATACTTATTCAGTAGTAAAATTTATTGGGAAATTAAAAAGTATATGAATTATGGATGGGCTAGAAAAATTCAGGAAAGTCAGGAAAGAGATAGGAAATTGGAAAAGAATAGTCAGTTACCGTTCATAATATAAAAGCTGTTCAGAATATAGTTACAAAAGTCTTTACTAGGTGATTTACTCAATGATTTTGTATTGAATAACCATGTTCCTGGTCCATAGATCTTTATGACCTAAATTCTTATGATAGTCAGGTGAAGTGAGAAAGCCAATTCTAATTTTGGAAAAGAAGAATGGTTTCACAGAGCTCGTATTGGCTTATCATAATTTTATCAGTGAGTTATGCATGTGGAACAGATACACTCTTCAAAAAAGATACCTGCTTCTACAATTCAACAAAATATTTCCAACCTTATTGCAAACACATACAAACATAAATAAGCACTGCACATCTAGGCAAAAGAATAACCAACCATGCAACATTGCATTTGAACATTCTCAAGTACATTTTTATGCTTGCGGTAGGTAGCCAAATGCCTTCCGAATCAAGATAATCCACTTTAGAGCCAACACAATTGGTGATTTGAGGTTTGGATTTTGTATTTATGCATATGTACCACCTACTTAATATTACAAATCATTTTGATTTATAAATTGTATACATTGTCGTAAAAATACAGTGAGAAATCGTCGCCTCCTGCCAAGTTCGGGACACAAGAAAGATATTTTACTTTATTGTCCAAACAAGTGAAAAGCTTCTATTACACACACACACACACACAAACACACACACACACACACACACACTACTTGGAGTTTTAGCCACTGCCCTGTGTTTTGACTGTGAAATGTTAATCTGTTTGCTGTTGATAGAGATTACAGTAGGAAGAGCCAGGGCAGGCAGTTACAATGAGGTGCTGACACCTTGGCGTGCAGCCTGCCTGGATATTGCAAAGCTCTAAATCTGCCTGTTTGGAGATGGGACACAAAGGTAACAACTGCCAGTTAAATCAAATTGCTTAGAGTAAATTGGACAAATTTTGTTAGCCTCTTGCCTACCCTGGCTCAGAGCCACATCAGCAAGGGCAATGATGTTAAGTTTGGAATTGAACTTGTAGCTGAACAAAACTAATTCAGCAGATGCTTCCAGCAACTATGTTAGGCTGATTAAAAGCAGCTCCATGGTCAACTCAAATTGTTTTATATATTGATGTTTCATTGTCACCAAATGAGTTGTAGCTTCCTGGAGAAAAGGGAAAGATTCAAACAGTAGTGTTTCATTCATAGCGTTGAGCAGGGTGATCGGCACATGAAAACCCTCAGTTTATATTGTTTGAATGAAACTGAAATAAATCAATTCTTTATTTCAAACAAGCTCTGTTGACTTGGACTTTAATTACAAAAATTAACTAAGTACTATTATCAATATGTTTTCTTAATTTATAGCCATATAGCAATTTGATATATACCTTATCTGTTAAGCTGCCTAAATCCTTAAAACATGGGTTATGATAGAAGATTCAACTCCATTAATAATATTCTAATTTATAGATCTATTTTTATTGTTGCAGTGAGATTCCTCCTGGAACAAAAGAGAATAGCACTAAAATGAGCCTGTTCTTCTCTACTGTTAGCCTGCCACAGCTTAGACATATGTCATGGTATATGAAACAAAGCTCAACTCATTGGTCAGTTATTAATGAGAGTGGTAAATGACATGTCACATCTTCACATACTCACTTATTTTTACAGAAATTACTAAAATATATTGATAATGCTTATCATTATCTGTATAGCAAGTTATATAAAAGAGACAACACTAATTTATCTTGTACATTAATCTTCACTCTCTTTTCAATCAGTCTATGTAATTAAAGTCAAAATAGAATGGATGAGAGAATGTTTATTAAAACACACACACATGAATATACAAAAGCAAAACAAAATCAACAAATCATGAAACAAAAGTACAATAACTCAAGTAATTTTTTCAAAAATATATGATTTAGAATATTTCCATTCAACATTTGGCTGAACAACAAAGAAAACTTTGTTGATCAATCTCATGTCCATGCTAACAACTGATATAAAATTTTGCTTTAATTTTTGTTTTTATTTATGTTTTGTTATATTTATCAGTCGTTTTATAAATTAGTAAATCCAGTACCTAAGACCTAGTATCAAGTCATATTGCAGAAAAGAATATTGAAGAAGATACATTAGACTGAGCATCAGAAAGGTTATTCTAGACATGGAGAAAACATTCACAAAAGCATAAATAGCTCAAATAAGGTGGTTTTGTGAAAATGATGGTATCATAAGATGTATTAGACAAGAATGCTGAGAATTTTTAACGCATAAATTGTTTCTCTCTTTTGTATGCAGTGTAAGAAATCTAGACCATTCTTAGAAGAAAATTTTTGTATTTTGGGTGAAAATTTCAACCAAAAATAATTTCTAAAATTACCATGTAAATGACCTAAATCCAAGGTAGGACTATCTAATCAATACCACTAAGTCTGATACTGACTTATCCTGTCACCAAGTCTGGTTTTTGTGAATGGCCTTATGTAAACAAAAGATTATGAAAGAAGTCATTGTAGAACTTTAACTTCTCAGAATTTATCATTGGTTTGAATCCTTCCCCTTGGGAGCCATGCATGGCTGTTTGCCATGAATAATTTCAAATGTAAAAATCCTATTTAAGGTTCTCTTCTCAAGAAAGAGTGCCAAGAGTGACTCACTTAGTGAGTGCCTTCCTTGTGTTGCCCAGACCTTTTCATTTCAATGCTTTTCAGCTGACTTCCAACTGCAAGCATGCAACTTTTGCCTGAAGGCTTTTTCTGGGAATACAAAAAGAACCTCTGCTTAAGGAAGGGCTGGGGTAAAGAAACTCTCCAATCCCCAGAGGGAGAAGCCTGCTACTGACTGTTTTGGTATTTAAAATATCACAGCTTCTTTTTTTTTTCTTCTTTTTTCTTCTTTCTTTTTTATTTATTATTATTATTATTATTATTATTATTATTATTATTATTATTATTTGAGATGGAGGCTTGCTCCAGCCCAGGCTGGATCTCAGCTCACTGCAACCTCCACCTCCCGGAATCACACGATTCTCCTGCCTCAGCCTCCCAAGTAGCTGGGACTACAGGCACGCTCCACCACACCTGGATAATTTTTGTATTTTTATTAGAGATGGGGTTTCACAATGTTAGCCAGGCTGGTCTTGAACTCCTGACCTCAGGTGATCCGCCCACCTTGGCCTCCCAAAGCTTGGCATTACAGGCGTGAGCCACCGCGCCCAGCCTTACAGCTTCTTGTTTCCACTTCTCTGGTGGGATAATTCTGGTGTTTGTATTTGTACCATTTCTTACTCTTTTCTCACAAGATGAAGTTTCAGTAAACTCTCTGGTAGTTAGCTTCACAGCATGCCGCCTTAGTCCATAACAAAGAGCAATAGATCGGACTGCTTATAAACAACAGAAATTTATTTCTCATAGTTGTGGAGGCTGGAAGTAAGAGATCAGGGTGGCAGCATAGTCAGGTTCTGGCGAGGGCCCTCTTCTAGTTGCAGACTGCTGTTTTCTGGTATCCTCACATGGTGGAAGGAGGGGAGGAGAGCTGTCTGGTACCCTTGTTAACAGCAGTATTCTCGATCACAAGGACTCTGCTGTTATGATCTGATCACCTCCCAAATGTCAGCCCCTCCTAATACTAGCTCACTGAGGATTAGGATTTCAACAAATGAATTTGGGGAGAACACTTTCACTCTGGTGTACCTTTTATTGGCCATCTTGCCTTCTATTGTGTCACTTTTCTGCCTGTTGGCTGCTTCCTCAACCTACCAAATAAACTATCTGCACTTAAATTCTGATGTCAGAATCTGCTTTCAAGGTCATCCAAACTAAGACACTGAAGTTGTTATATAGACGGTTTTTTTTTTACAGCTATTATTAGTTATAGCATTAGATATTTTAGATATTTATTGTACACTTATAAGGTATTGGATCTTTAATCCTAAAATATACCAATTGGGTAAACAGTATTTATACCTTTCACGAAAATAGGCAAGGCTTGAATTTCGTAATTTGAAAATGGTGAAGTTGGGATTCAAAGAAAGACTGGTTAATTCTAAAATAAATATAATTAGGAATCATGCTTTAGTCCTCTTCCTATACTATATTCTCTCTAAATAATATAAATGTGTAAATGTGTGTACACATATATGTACCTTTGAATGTTATTATTCAAAGAAATTCAACAACAGAAAACAGCATGCAGGAACAATATTTATTAAGTATATTTTATATAAATAAGAAAAATATAAAAACAAAAACTTATTACATTTTGTTAATTTCTCTTTTTTAGGGCTTTGGTCTTCTTGATTTGTAGTATATAATTCTATATGCATAATACCATGTACATACCTACTTTGTTGTATTTTTATAATATTTTAGTTTTACTTAATAATACAATAAATATTCATTAATTAGCTACCCAAATTATAAGCAAGACCCACATTAGTAGTTGACTCTATAGCTCTAATTCTCCCTTACCTACCTGATAAACCCACACCTAGAGGTAACAGTCATTGTAAATTTTGTGTCAATATTTCTCTCTCTCTTGCCCCATTTTAAGTGTTCTTGTTTGTAAATTATAATTGTAGAATTTTTTAAAATATTATCATTTATATGTCTTTTTTTGTGAAATGTGTATTGTGTATGATTGCATATATCTACACTCAAAAAATACTATGTTGCTAAGGTATATTCATGTTGCTGCATTTACATTGTTTCATTAATTTTACTATTGTACACAAGTTATTTTTCCATATACTGCTGATGGGAATTGAGGGGATTTTGCTCTTATAAACAGTGCTTTTATGGGACTTCTTATACATGCTTTCAAGCTTACATATATGTTAACTTTGTCCTGGGAACACATCCATGTGTAAAATTCCTGGATATGTGAGAATATTTTTTTTTTTTTTGATGTGGAGTCTCACTCTGTTGCCCAGGCTGGAGTTCAGTGGCGTGATCTCACAACCTCCAGATCCTGGGTTCAAGTGGTTCTGCTGCCTCAGCTTCGAGAGTAGCTGGGACTACAGGTGTGTGCCACCACGCCCAGCTAATTTTTATATTTTTAATAGAGATGGGGTTTCACTATGTTGGCCAGGCTCATCTCAATCTCCTGACCTTGTGATCTGCCTGCCTCAGCCTCCCAAAGGGCTGGGATTACAGGCATGAACCACCTCACCTAGCCATGAGTATAAATTTTTAATGGTGAAATATTCCCAAAGAAACTGCTGTCAATTTAAAATATTTTCATCAAAGTATAAAACATTCAGATAATCTACGTTATTTAACACTTGATATTTTTGTGATCTTACTTTTTGTTACTTATTTTTTAATGCTGTCTCAAATTAGACTTGATGAAATGAAATATCTAGTCAATTTGAAATCTATGAATGATTGATATTATGAAAAAATATCCTATCCTTTGGAAGAATTTCTATAAAAGTTAGTTTCACTGAATGTAAGAAAGCTTGAGAGGGCTGGATATAAGATCAAACTATGACAGTTAAATTCAATTCATAGGCCAAAAATAAATGACTCAAAAACAGAATGAGAAATGTATTATCTAAAACTGCAAAATATATACAATGTGCATAGGAATAAATTTAGCAAAAGATGTGCAAGTTCTGTGCATAGCATATTCTAAAACTTTACTGAAAGATAATTTTTAAAAATCTAAACTAATGGAGAAATGTATCTCATGTCCACAGATAGGAAGACTTAATGTTACAAAGATAAAAACTCTTACTAAAAGTTATCTATAGAGCTAATACAGCTCCAATCAAAATACCATCAGGGTTTATGTTGCTGCTCTTTTTGTGACACTTGAAAAATTGTATTAAAATATGTATGAAAAATTTAAATCGCCAAGTGTAGCCAAGACATTCTGAAGGAGAAAAAAACAATAAGACGTCGACCTAGTAGATATAAAAACTCATTACAAAGATTTAGTAGTAAAATGACATGGTGCTTGTATAGCAAAAGAGAACAATAGAATAAATTAAGAGCCCTGAAGTGGTCCCAGAAGTACCCCCAAAAATGAAGTGTCAAAACAAAATTTTAAAACATTAAAAAATATATTATTTCACACAAAGGATGAGATATTTTTTAAAAGACAAGAAACACAATAAGCAATCAAAAAATTAATAAATTTAAATGGAAAGCAAAAAAGTTCTTAATAAAATGAAAATAAAATCTTCAAAATTCAAGGAACTCTTTGTGAAACAATGTAACCAACATAAATCTAATATAAAGAGTAGATTAAAAAATAGCAAAGTACACATACAAATGGAAGATTCAATTAAAAAAGGGCTAAAAAGAGGAAGTGATTATCACTAACAAGCATTTAGGTATCAAGACACCTAAATATATTAGTAGTCAGAAAAATGGAACTAAAGACAACTGCTTGTTTTCATACTTAATAGGTACACATGTAAAATTTTACTTGTTTCACTTAGTTTAGTGTGTGTGCATGTGACATGTGTGTCTATGTATCTGTGTGTGAGGGGTGAACTAGTATTTTCAAGTACATAACCTGAACTATTATATTGTGTCTAGGAATATTAAGAGTTTTAACATAGAACAAATTGCTTAAATTGCAGCCAGTTTATAAGCACCTATTTGTTTGCACTGCAGGCAGAAACTAGGGTGACCCCCCCCAATGATTTTCTGCCTTTTTGTGTTCATGCCTTTGTTTAACCTCCTCTTGCTTGAGTGATCAAACTAGCTTCTGGTAAAGAGAACATGGCAGGCTGGGCACGGTGGCTCACACCTGTAATCCCAGTACTTTGGGAGGCCAAGGTGGGCAGATCACGTGAGATCAGCCTGATTAACGTGGTGAAACCTTGTCTCTACTAAAAATGCAAAATGTAGCCGGGCATGGTGGTACACACCCGTAATCCCAGCTACTCAGGAGGCAGAGGCCGGAGGATTGCTTGAACCCCCAAGGTGGCAGTTGCAGTGAGCCAAGATCATGCCACTGCACTCCAGCCTGGGTGACAGAGCAAAACTCCCTCTCAAAAAAATAAAAATAAAAAAAAAGAGAGAGAGAACATGGCAAACAAAAAGCAATGTCACTGTTATACTTAAAGTATGTTATACAGCAAAGCTGATGGGATGATGGGAAGTTACCCCCTTGAATAGATTACCTTATATGGCAAGGTGAACAAAAATAAAGTTTCAATCAGATAATTTTTAATTAATCAAAAAGATTATTTTTTTGTGTTGGACCTCAGTTCATGAAGCAAGGGTCCTTTGAACTGTTCTCTCTCTACTATCAGAGAGAATCTCTTTGCTGATCTTGAAGGGGAAATCATTCCTGTAGGTGATAGGAGCATACTAGTTTTTGAAGAATTGGCTAGACTGAGGCCACCTGCCAAGTTGGAGATCTGAATATTGTCAAATATGCAGGGTTCTGAAATGTATATTCAAAGAATATTTGCAGTATGATACAGGAGGGGACCTAGAACCAGAAGAGGCAAATTGCCATGCTAGGAGAAAGCCATGTGGTGGGGTGGCTATGGGTGGCCTCTAGAATAGGAGAGCAAATTTCACCAAACACTCATTAAGAAGTGGGAGTGCTCAGTCATACAGTAGCAAGGAAATTAATTCTCTCACTATTCTGAATGAGCTTAGAAACATTCTCCCCCAGTGAAGACTCCAGATCAGAGTGCAGTCCAGCCTTGAGTCCCTCATCAGAGGACCAGCTAAGCTGTGCTCTAAGTCAGTGTTATTCTAAATCAATATATTTATGGTTTTTTGCTATGAATCAGTAGAAAACTAATATAGCTTTTAAGTCAGACATGAATCATGTACATTTTGGTAGCAGGACGTCTAAATTGAGAACCCAAAAATATTGCACGTATTTAACAAATTATTTATGATTATTTTCTATGTGCTCATCACTGTTTTAGGCACTTGGGATACATCACAGAATATGGAACTTACATTAGATGGGTGGATAATAAAAATGTAAATATGATAATTGGTAACATAGTATATTGGAAGGTAATAACTAAATGCCACTGTCTCAAGAAAATTCTAAGTGAGATAAAGAACATTAGGAATACGAAGCATATAAGCTGCAATTTTAAACATTGTGATTAGAATAAGCTCCTTTGAGTATATAATTTAAGGTGGTTGGCCAATGTATTCTAGCAGAGGTATTAGGTATGAGCAGTGACCTAAGGGAACAGTCTGTCTTCCACATCCAAGGAAAAGAAAGGTGGCCAATGGAGTTGGAACAGAATGACTGGGGAAGGGTACATGAGAGCAGGTCAGAGGGCAAGCAAGGCGTGAGAGAAAGTGAGATTCACCATGGATTGAAGCTTCTAACCTTATAACATGGAAGCCTAAAATTGTCTTCAACTGAGGCATGGAAAATTGTGAGTACATAGATTTTTGAGGGAAGACCAGAGTTCCTTTTTGGATATTGATATGGACTGAATTGTGTACACCCAAATTCTTATGTTGAAACCTTAACCTCCATTATGACTGTATTTGAAGATAGGGCTTTTAGGAAGTATTAAGGTTAAATGAGGTCATAAGTTTGGAGAGTCGGAATCTTATAGGACTAGTGGTCTTATATGAGGAGAAAAAGAGAGAAATTTGTTCTCCCTCCATGTGCACATACTGAGGAACGGCCATGTGAGGGCACAGTGAAAAGCCAAGAAGAGAGGTCTTACCAGGAACAAAACCCTACGGGACCTTGATCCAGGACTTCCAGCCTCTAAAACTGTGAGATATACATTTCTGTTGTTTCAGCCAACCAGTGTTTTATTATGGAAGCTTGAGCAAACAAACATAAACATTTTAAGCTTTAGATGATTATTAAAAAGGCAAGAGAAGCTGTTGAGTAAGCTACTATTTACATGAACCTTGGCCATCCAACAAAATTATTTCAAATAACTCACCAAAATGTTTAATTCTTCATTTTCTTTAATTAATATTGGCATCGCTTTATATCAGTAGCTGAAGAATTGATATTGTATAGTAGGAGAGCCACTATTTTCAAAGCCTTTGAATTTCCAAGTGTGACTGAGTGTGTGTAAATGTATGGAGTGTAGATACGTGCATCTATGTACTGGAGAGGGAGAAAGAAATAGGTGGAGAGAGAGAGAAAGAGAGAGGGGGAGAGAGAGAGAGAAAGAGAGAGACTGCTTATTGTAAATCTTCCAGAGAGAGAGAAAGAGACTGATTATTGTAAACCTTCCCAAGAGCATATTTAAATTGACACAAAAATAAATTCACCTTGATGATATTTAAAGCAGTATAAATAGAACTGGTTATATTCAAATGCATACATTTTTTATATTGCCACAGTTTGCCTGGATAAAAGTTCAGATGACTGAACAGAAATGTTAGGATCTTCAGGGGCTGACAGGATAATGGCAATCATACTGGTATAAAAATAAAAGTTGGGTCATGGGGACAAATCTAGGTGACAACAGAGAGTACAAATACTGTGGAAAGATTCTGTCTGGTGTTAACTCAGAGAATTTCAACTTCACTTTCAGGTTCAATAGTTAACCTTGTTAAGAGAATAACCTTATTGTTCCTCTGATTCTTTTGGGTGCCTTGCTCAAAATAATGTTATTAGAAGTCATAGTGACTAAATCCAGTTTTACTGATTCTTAATGAGGAAGCCGAAAGACAAGGGTATTTACAGATTTGAAAGGACTTGTTAGCTGGATGTCAGTCTCTAGTGAGATTTAATTCTGTTTTGTTTTCCAACCTATATGGTGTTTTTTGTTGTTGTTCTCATTCTGTTTCTATTATGATAGCACATGCCGAATCCTTATAAGAAAAAAATCTGGTCGATAATTTTATACAAACTCTCTCTGTTTCTAAAGCTCATAAGTAGTTACAGTGCATACAATGGCATATGCATTTATATCACCAAGGGCTAGAAGAAGGAGAGGTTTATAAAATTACAACAAATAAAGTTAAAATCAAATAGATAAGTCCGTCAAATAAGACCAATTGTGATAATATAGAAGTTTAAGATTTATTTTTAAGAGACTGACAGCTTGGAAAATCGTTCCTGTAGGTGATAGGAGCATACTAGTTTTGAAGGCTTCGCTAGACTAGAACACCTGCCAAGTTGGAGATCTGAACGTTGTCAATTATGCAAGGTTCTGAAATGTATATTCAAAGCATATTTGAAATATGGTTCAGGAGAGGACCTAAAACCAGATACAAATGTGGATGACACTTATGAGTCAGAATGGGGACAAAAAATTCAAACTCATATATATATAGTTTTCAGCTGTGAATTAATATGAACATAAAAATGAATTATTCATACACCATAGCTTGAAAAACTTAAAGGAGAGTGATGGAATACAGGAGACCATGTGAGACCCTTGCTTTCAACTTGAGCTATTACTTGATGGGCCACGAATTAAAAAGAAAAAGAAAAGAAAGGAATTGAGCAATGCATGTAACCCATTATCTATCACAATGAATCATTTTAGCATAAGCCATGAATTGCCGAATTTCAACAAAATTTTGACATCCACGTTATGCCATTCAAATTATATTAAATGAGAAAACAATTCTCTTTCTGTTTTTATAAGTTTAGATGTTTTTTACAACAGAGGTTTCCAACCTTTTTTGGCACCAGGAACTGGTTTCATGAAAGACAGTTTTTCCGTGGACAGGGGTGGGGATATGGTTTTAGATGAAACTGTTTCACCTCAGATCATCAGGCATTAGGGAAATTCTCATAAGGAGTGTGCAACCTAGGGAAACTAATGCCACCACTGATCTGACAGGAGGCAGAGCTCAGGTGGTAATTGCTCACTTCCTGCTCACCTCCTGCTGTGGAGCCCAGTTCCCAGTTTCCTGGAGCCCAGACTGGTACCATTCTGTAGCTCCAGGACTTAGGACGCCCAGTATAAAATACTTTTCTGGTTTATCTTTTGTGAGAAAAGTTGAATTCACATATCTCAGATTTGTTTAAAGCAGCATATATATATTTAGATAGAGCAAGTGATAAATACTTAAATGTATTCCCTGTGTTACTCTGTTTTCACACTGCTGATAAAGACATACCGAAGACTGGGTGATTTATAAAGAAAAAGAGATTTAATGGACTCACAGTTCCACATGGCTGGGAAGGGCTCACAATAACAACAGAAGGTGAAAAGGAACGTCTTACATGGTGGCAGGCAAGAAAGGGAATGAGAATCAAGGAAAAGGGGTTTTCCCTTGTAAAATCATCAGGTCTCATGAGACTTATTAACTATCATGAGAACAATATGGGGGAAACTGACCCCATGATTCAATTATCTCCCACTGGGTCCCTCCCACGACATGTGGGAATTATGGGAACTAGAATTCAAGACGAGGTTTGGGTGGGGACACAGCTGAACCATATAATTCTCTAATCCTAAAAATCAGAGAATTGTATATGGTTACACATCATATTTCCAGAGAAAACATTAGGAAATAATTCTATAAAGTACAATAAATCCTCTACCCAATTTTGCATTATAATCAAGTTTATTTATTTTTATTCTGCTGTGACTGAAATAATCTTATTGGAGATCTTTCTTACAAATAATTACACATAAATTTTCCATCTTCAAAATGTGTCTTCATACACATTGGTAGAATTCTTTACTAATAAAGACAATTTTAATTTGAAGATTTATGTTAATAAGGCAATTTCTGTTATCAACAATTAGTCAAGCAATATTATACAACAGGTTTCAATATTTTTAGAAAATAACTTATGAGATACAAAAATGTAAATATTGTCTGTATTTTTAATATATTCATGTAGATATTAAATAGTTGAATGATAAATCATTCCTATATAAATTCAATATGTTATAATGTGTAAAAACTACATTTTAGAACCTATTCACACTGAAAACTTTGATATATGCAAAAACCACTAAATTGGTACTATTTTTGAGTTATTTTGTTCGTCTGTTTGTTTGGTTGGTTGTTTATAAAATGTGCTGCCTTTGTTTGGAGTTGGAAAAATGTCTTATATAATCTATATATCATCCTGGAAAGTCCAAGGTTTTGAGTATCTTCAAATCACATAAATTATGGCTTAGCTTGTTTTACCAAGAATTTATTTTTAACTTTAGATGTAATGATTACCAAAGCAAATATTGCTTTTTACTTTGAGGTGAAGTTTTGAGAGTTAAGAGTATATCAAAAGACATGTTTGTTAATCATAAATTCTTATAACCTATTGGAGACTGTTGAACCTACTAAATATTTAATTTCAATAAAAAGTGAAGAAAAGGATGTTTTACTTGTTCACAGTAGTGGAAAATTACCCAATCTGAGAAGTCTGTGGGAATTTAACTGTGAGATGATACCAAAAGAGAGTCTTGAAGAACATAAGATAGCTGAACTTTTTTTGGAACAAGGAATCAAAATAAATAATAGCACAGCATAGACTTCCATGATGAGCATGCAGTAAACCTCACTACTGCAAAGGATAAAGCAGAGGTGTAATCAGTCTGACAGAGGGAAAAGAATAGAGTTGGAGGTGTCAGTACTGGAAAAAGGGAAAAGGGTGACAGCAAGAACTCAGGGATTTTAGAGGCATAAAGAAGGCCAATTTTAATATTGATGATTGCAAAGGGATAGACCCAATAAATGTTTTGGAACTAGAATTAGTATTGTATATATAGGTAGGGAAGGAAGAGAACCATTGAAAATGATAGGTGAAGAAAAGTATCTGGAATGACACTAAGATCATGTGATTGACTTGATCATGTGATTGACTTGATCATGTGATTATATTATTCAGCACCAGAGAAAAATTATAATAAGGAGCATTTCAGGTAGGAAGATAGAAACTACATTTTCAGGAAAAGATGATTATAGTATCAATGGACAAACAAGGAAATATGTACAACAAACAACTGGATACACGAAACTGAAACTCAAAAGAAATATAAGCAGTAGTAACATGATTTGGGACACTTGGTTGCAAAACAGTGGTACCCAGGTGGAAATTCTTTATGCTGTGGTTTTCTATAACAGCTGAGGAAACCAGTGCTTAAGAAACCCACTTTTTTTTTTTTTTATAACAAGCTGCAAGTAAATTTGCCTGACCATTTCCCTGGAGGGAGACATTATCTCTACTATACAAGACAGTAACCAAACATTCCATTTAGTTTGGAGGGAAATCCTATCCATATCTCTCAAGGTTGTTTACTATATCAACACTCTTGAAAAGACAGCCACAGGCTGGGTGCCGTGGCTCACGCCTGCAATCTCAGCACTTTGGGAGCCAGAGGCTGGCAGATCATGAGGTCAGGAGATCGAGACTATCCTGGCCAACATGGTGAAACCTCGTCTCTACTAAAAATACAAAAAATCAGCCGAGTGTGGTGGCATGTGCCTGTAGTCCCAGCTACTTGGGAGGCTAAGACACGAGAATCACTTGAATGCGGGAGGCGGAGGTTGCAGTGAGCCGAGATTGCACCATTGCACTCCAGCCTGGGCAACAGAGTGAGACTCCATCAAAAAAAAAAAAAAGAAAAAGAAAGAAGAAAGAAAGGAAGGAAGGAAGGAAGGAAGGAAGGAAGAAAGGAAGAAAAGGCAGACACAACAAATGGGCAGGTAGTGACTCTAGACACAGGACTTGCAGAAACTTGAGACATACATGGAGAATCACCCTCAAACATGCACAGGCAAGGATGTATTGTTACGCAATGTGAGAAAAAGAAATTATGTTTGGGAATGAGGAAATTTATTGAAGTGGCTCATATAACTAACTTCTGTGTAAAATAATGAAGGGCAAATATTAACATAAAAAAACTTCTCAATATTAGCAAGAAAGATACATATAGAGTTTGAAGAGGAAAGTTTAGATCACCTCCTTAGGTAAAAAACAATCCTGTTTTATGCCAACTGGCAAAGATAGCAGAGACTTGGTAGTGAAAGGAAGTTAAGATACTTAACCCCGGGCTTGAGACTGCGTACTAAAGCATGAACTATAGCAGCTCTTCATATCTTCTTACATTAACTGGTTTCTTCACTTATTTTCTT
Organism: Homo sapiens; assembly: GCF_000001405.40. Taxonomy (NCBI): domain Eukaryota; kingdom Metazoa; phylum Chordata; class Mammalia; order Primates; family Hominidae; genus Homo; species Homo sapiens. Next base: position 32,777,870 of record NC_000004.12, on the reverse strand, counting down.
CTATCTACATTTGGTAGTGGCTAATATTGCAATTTTAATTCTGAGTATGTAAGTGAGTTGATGTTAATTATATGGCAGCTGATAGGAGTTTGTGTTTGTCTTGTATTAGCCATGAACATGAGTGTTCCTTTATCTTAATAAATGGAAAAAAATGAATTCTGAATGGCCAAAACGAGTGTATTGTTCAGGTTATTATTAGCTAGATTTACTCCTATTTATTCTCTACTCTCTTTTGTTCTGTCCTATATATTAGAAGCTGATCTTCACATAATAAATGAACCGGGCTCCCTTTCTATCAAGCTTCTAGTTGGCATTAGCCAAAGAGAAACATTTCAAGATATTCAAAAGCAGAAGGAAATATAAGTCAAGCTATGTCTTTCCTATTCCTCTCCCTGCTTTATTGCTGTGCCTCTGGCAGTGATTTTAAGTCTCCATAGACAGTTCCTGCAGTGTGGCCCCTCCTCTGCTGAGCTCTAGTGAATAAGAGTGGTATAATTTCTCCCCCTTTAGCTCTAGCAGTAGCAATGGTTTTCCATTGTTACCAGTCTCAGGGGGCCTCAACATTCATTGTTTGTTTCCTTAGGTCTATACACACCTTACTAAGAGATTCTTAGAAGTATATAGATGTCTATTAACAAAATAGGTCAAAAAATTATCATCATTTAAATCAGCTGAGGTACATCTGGTATCTCTGAATAAAATAGGGTACAAGTAGGGGTCACAGCTTGCCTAGAGAAAAAATATATTCTCCCTTCTACTTACAAAAAAGTACAAAATGATGTGTGCAAAAGTTGCTGGTATTGAAGATTTGTGAATGATTAACAGAGTTCACATTTGATGACTTCTAGCTTTTCAGTGATATAAAAATGGGTCAGCAGATAAGAGTGACTAAAATGAAAAAAAAAATAAACAGTGGCTTTAATCTGGATGGCTCAGCCTAATCATATGAGTCTTTAAAATAGAGAATCTTTCCAGCTATGCTAGAGAGAGATAGGCAACTATGGAGGAAGAGTCATAAAGATGTGGCATGACAAAGATTAGACCACTGTCTACATTAAAGATAGAAGAAGAAGGGCATGAATCATAGAATGAGGCAGCCTCTAGACCAACAGCTTAGACCAAGAAATAAATTGGGGGTCTTGGTTCCAGAACCGCAAGGAACCAAATAAGCAGAATGAAAGGCAGAATGGATTTTCCCCTAGAAACTTCAAAAAGAAACACAAAGTGCTGACACCTTGATTTTAGTCCGGTAAAACCTGCATCAGACTTTTACCTACAGGAAAAGTAAAGTAATCAATCTCATTACTTTAAGCCACAGAGTTTATGGCAATTTTTCACAGGAGTAATAGATAATTAATACGTCTTCCTGCAGCTTTCTCCATGGACTCATGGAATGCATTTTCCACCATTATGGCAGTCTGCACAGCATTGCTTCTGATCAATAAACTTATTTTACAGCCAAAGGAAAAAAAGTACAAGGATGGGATCATGTGCATAGAATTAATAGATTTGCTGTAACCGCCATACATGAGGGTCAATTAGACTAATGCAAAGATGGAATGGCTTATTAAAAATTTAGTCATGGCACCAGCTGAGAGATAAGACCTTGAAATAGTAGGATTCTTACAGGTGTATTACATGGTTTGAATTGAGATGATTACATGGGCATGTCTCACCTATAGTCAGGTAAACAAGTCTGGAAATCAAGAAATGGAAATGGTTTCTCTGTTGAACATAATAACCCCTTTGTAGGCTTTTTTAACTTTTTGTCCTGGTAACTATCTTGATTTGGTGCTCTTAGTTTCCAGTAACGGGAATTATTTCATTGGGGTTCCAAGAGGGTTGCATTAAACTTTATGAGACTGCCACTTGACCATTTGAGGATCCTTACGTTACTAAACAAACAGGCAAAAAGGGACTATTCTACTGGCTAGAATGATTGACTGCAATTACCAAAGGAAATTGAGTTTTTGCTAAAAAATCAAGTCAGGAAGAACAATATCAGGAACCCAGGGAATTCTATGGACTCCCCTTAGTGCTTCCATGACCAATAATTATAATTAATGGAAAGCTACAGCGTTCCAAATTCAGGATTATAAAGGACTCAATCTTTCGGTGAATGAATGTTTTCGTGGGCCAGCTGAGGCTCTGATGAAGACAAGGAAAATATGGAATAAATAAAGTAGAAAAAGCTCAGAAATAAAGATTAGTTTTGTTCATTTTCTCTTTTCTTGTTATGCATACCTATTATATATTAAATTATTTGTTTTATTCCATTTAACTTTATTCCACTGATTATTTTATAAAAGTTATTGGAGGTTAATTTTAAAATATTCACTGTGATGGACTAAATTTGAAGAGTAATTAATAGGTATAATCAAAGATAGATTCAATGAAAACTGGAACCACATTTTGGGGAAAGACGAGTGAGAACTTCTTCACCTGTATGAAAGATAGTAGCATTTATTAAGTAGAACGTAAATGGATGTAGAAAGATACATACAAGAGCTTAGCACACAAAACAGTGATCTGTGCCCATTTTCCATTTATTTCCTCTTATCTCCAAACCTACTATCCTGTGCCCTACTTGCACAATGCTACGTTTGTCAATAGAGGGTGCTGGAAAGACACTACAAGGCCAGAGTATTCTTGTGTCTTTTGTCCTATCACCTTGCTGTTGGCAGAAAAATATGCACAAGGTCCCATGGTACGTCACAGTGGTTAAAAAAAAAAAATCTACCCTTTGTGAGCCACTTCCAATGAGTTTCTGTGCCTACCATTGGAGCATTTATTGTGAACTTCTGGACCACACCGTCTATTAACTTTGCTCACCACTCAGATTGGGTGTTCCTGGTCAGCCATACCCTCTAAAATGAGATCTGGATCTCAGTGTTAGGAGTCTTTTCAGTTATTAGTTCCATCCATATTTACTTGTCCTTAGCCCTTGAGGCAGTAACTACTGTGTATATTTGCTATTTATCTGTCTCTAGAAGTCCTTTTACTGTTACACCCAAGTTATATGAAATTTTACACATTTAAATTACTAGTATCACTTTTTCTCTTGAATGGACCGTGACTGATACACATCTGGATTGGCTAAAAAAAACTTGGTGAGATATTCCAGAAGAGTTTTTTGAGAATAATTGATAATTTAAAATTCTCTAAGAAAGCCTGAGAATTATTGCAATAATTAATAATTTTAAACTCAATAACCAAGCTTAATAATATGTAAGTTACAGATAGCAATGTACATACAAAAACAGATATAGACTTGTAACACATATGTATATTACAAATCCTAACTTTTTTCTGTCATTTTCCTGAAAAAATTGAGAATTTGGAGAATTCACATGTCATTTTGCAGAAAAGCCAATATTTTGGAAATTATAAGAGGCATTATTGTATTTAACTATAATTCCTTTTTTTGTTTTGTTTTTGGATTTCAATTAATTCGAATATCCCTTGACTAAAATGAGAGTGTGTTGTGTATATTATCAAACTATGTTAAATCTAAAGATTAAAATACATAAAATGATAATGGTTTGTCAGAGATGACATGGCATTAAGACTTCAAGAAACAATATGCATAATCCATGGAGGTATCAAGGACAAAGTGATGTTACCTGTAAGGCCTGTCATGCTTTATTTGCACATTTCTTTCTTTTACAAGCTTTCTTTTTCTTTTCTTTTTTTTTTTTTTGTCTCATTAGGAATACATCTAAATACTAGTAGGACAAAAGCTTGATATTTTTCCATCTCTTCAGATAAAATAAGATGAGACAACATTAGAGATACCACACAAAGATCTGAGTCAATAATATGACAGTGTAAAATATCAAAAATAAGTCAGAATAAAAAGGAATCACTGAGAATTCATAGCATGTTACTGAATAGTTGGACCATCCATTAACATGGAAATGTGTTCCCTTCCCTAAAGGAGATTACGATCTAATTAGGGATACAAGACAGATCAGTAATCAACATAAATGTGTTGAGGTAAAAACAAGTTATGACAAGAGTTAGTTGAAGGGGACCTAGGGATTATGCTGGCAGCCTGAAGAAGGTGTAGAAAATGTTAAGAAGAAGAATGAATAGAATACTGTGGAATATATTTTCATAATTGATCAGCTGTGTATGTTTAACTGTCATTCACAGACATTCTGTATACCCAAAAACTCTGTTAAAACAACTTATAATAGATGTGGTTCAAGTGTAGATATTCCAAGTATTTATTCAAATTCTTTCTCCTTCCTAAACTTCATGTTACACGGCAAAATAATAAAAGAAAAACACAAGGATGAATGCTCACTGACATTTTCAGAGTTTTCACAAAGATGGATCTTGCAACACTATTACTTCATGTATTATGGAACTATCAATATTCCTTCATTCTGGCAAACATCTACTGCCTGATGAAATTCTTTCCAAAAAAAAAGTCATTATTCCCTCTCTGATAGATGACCATACCAGAAATTCTCCAGTTACAATTAATTGATTCTGTTGCATCAACAACACATAGACATCTTGCTTAAAGAAATTGTCTCATCTTAGGTCAATATATTCTGAAACTTACATCTTAATTTATTTAAAGCCTTCATTTTATTATTTATTCTGAAAAACTCCATCTCATATGTCATGCTCCTAACAGCTTGGGTTTACTACTCCTGTGGAGTTATAACCACAAGCATTACTTTCTAATAGTCCCAAACCCCAAAATATTAATTATTCAACACATTTTATAATATGAACAATTAGCAATGAACGTAAGTTCAATTTGTTATCTAGTACTAACCAAAGATGTATTATAATTATTATTAAAAATACACAAATCATTATGTCATAGAAATTATTAGCTAATTATGAGATCCTTCTCTTCCTGGGCACAGAGTATGTCTATATTTCCCAGCCTTTCTTGTGTGTTATAGTCAACGGGATCGGGGTAAAAGTCACGTCTGCCACTGATTGAAATGGATCCTAAAAGTTTCCCATGTGTGCTCCCCCAATCCCTTGTTAGCTTTTCTCAGTGACTGAGATGGAAATAAATTCCAGGACAATCTTGGAAGCAATATACTGAAGATGATCAATCAACCTATGTCCTGAATGGCTGCATAAAGTCCCTGTCCCCCAATACCCCACTTTCCAAGATCACACACATATTTTTAGCCTACATTTTACAAAATTTAATATCATTTCAGCAATCTTTACTTATTGCTAAACATATAGACATACACTCACACATTCACTTTCAACTTCAATATTTTGATACATTTTGTCTCACATAAAATAGAAACAAATTCTAACTTAGCTGGATCTCAGTTTGATCGGAATGGATCTTATACTTCATCTATGTATCATTGAAAGTCATTTTTTCCTTCAGAACTGGCTAATTGCATTACATTTCAGATCTCTTTTGCCAATTGAACCTTATTATTTCTTTCCTTTTCTTTTTTATTTTTTTAAAGGTTGTTTAGAGCAACATCGTCCTTTAGAAACAGCAGGATGTCCTAGGCACATCCTCTTCTCTGCCCCAAAATTCAGAACTTCCTACTTCCCAGAAGGCCCTGGGTTTCTCTAATGAGGAATGAAGTACAGACACTAATTATGAGGACAGGAAACAGTAGTCAAAGGGAAGGTCTTCAGCTTATACCATTCCAGGTACTACCAGTTAAACAGTTGGCATTCAGAGAAAATGTTCCCATATGGCAAAATGTATTCTGATTTACTTTTGTCCATATGATGCAATACTTTCAGCCAGAAAGAATTCTTCCAGCTCTTACATTATTGATGATCAAGTTTTTTCACTAACCTCAGTTTCATTAAGATTTTCTTTTATATATCAGGTTTTTGGTTTATAGAAAAACAAATACTTGCATTTATGAATGTTTTGATTTGGATAACACTTCCAAAGTACTAAAAAATGTTATGTTATATACAGATACTGAGACCTAGAAAAGGAAGTAATAATTTAAGCAGTCAGTATTTGAATTTAGATCAGCAGATGCCAAATTCGATCTGGTTTCCATCCTTTGTTCTTTCTTACATTGGCTAATTCACATTAGAACGGTGCTCCTCATTTGTATTTATAGAGGTGCATCTGTTCTTCACTGATGCAGCTTTACCCTTGTAAAATCTCCAGAGTACGTGTCTTTGTATGTCATTGTGGCTGAGACTGCTAGATTTTCACCAGCAATTCATGCAGTAATGAATCTTTCATGAGCATTAGTTTGCATTTCCCAGTCTGTCTTACAGTTAGGTGTAAACGAATACTGAATTCTACCAAAGGAATGTGAGGAGAGTGGTGTGCGTTTTCCAGGCCAAGGCTTTTAAGGGGCAGGTATAACAGCTTCACACATTCTGTTCCTTTCCACGGACTTCATACTGATAGTAGCAAAGCTCTACAGGATTATAGACACTCAAGATGAAATCATCTCTTGTCTTTGCATCACTGTTTAGAGGAGAACAAAATTTTCAACCAAGTTTATCTCTTTAAGACTGACAAGTCACATATTGTAGATGTTATATAATCCTGAACATATTTGCCATAATTTCTCTGAATATTTAGAGCATTCTAATAAAGTTTTCTATTTTCTAGTTTACATTACCAGTTTTCTTAAGCTTAAGATTGCCCTTCTACCTATTTTGTATAATTTTTATCACCTATTTATTTAAGATCTATCTCTTTACCACTGTCTTCTTAGCTTTCAGTCTCACCTCTCTTTTATAAGACATACCACATACATCACAACATACTATTGCCATTATTGTTTTCAATAATAATGACAAATAATGATTACTTTAACAAACATAAAACTATCCCAAATGACTATTATATATACCAGAAACAGTAGAGAATATAATTGTTTCACAAATATTTTGTTAATGTGACTGCAATGTCAACTATGTAGCTAAGAAAAAAAGAATACAGATATTCAAATAGAATATTTCAAAGTACATATTCTACTTCTTCAACATGTGATGCAAAACTTCATAAATTCCAGATATAGTACATTCATTCAACAGTAGCAATATCTACCCTAAATCCAGATTAATGTCACAATCCATCTGGACATAATATTGTCCAAATGTATTTACACCAATTAATTATATAATTTTAAAATCTAAATCCAAAATCTTACAGGCCAATTGAGTTCAATGTCCTAATTTCTCATATATGAAATATTTTATATCTATTTTTCTCAATTGCATTCCATGGTGACTGCACTCCACGTCAACATAGAAAAAACAAAGATATGGCAATCAAATTGTAACCCCTTTGAAGAGGGGTTAGATTATTTTTTATCTATGGCAGTTCATAACAGTCTAACTAACCACAGATACATTTATTCATGTCTGTATAATAAATGAGTAAAGGCAAAGATTATTTCAAAATGTTTTAATTTACATATTAAATTTCTCCCATTTGTTGGTTAATTTATTCTAGGTTGCACTGAACTGATGCATTCTAAGTTGCATTGTTGTACCATAATTTACTTGTTGATGCTATGCACAACATTTATTTATCAGTTTTTAGAGCCACAATATTTTTTATCTCTTGCGATCTTTCCTTCTTTCTCTCTCTCTTTCTTTCTTTCTTTCTTTCTTTCTTTCTTTCTTTCTTTCTTTCTTTCTTTCTCTTTTTTTTTCTTTTTTTTTTTGAGCTGGAGTCTTGCTCTGTCGTCCAGCTGGAGTGCAGTGGCGCGATCTGGGCTCACTGCAACCTCCACTTCCCAGTTCAAGCAATTTTCCTGCCTCAGACTCCTGAGTAGCTGGGATTACAAGAGTCCGCCCTCCTCCCTCCCTGGGGCTAATATTTTTCTTTTTTTAGTAGAGACGGGGTTTCATCATTTTGTTCAGGTTGGTCTCGAACTCCTTACCTCAAGTGATCCACCCACCTCGGCCTCCCAAAGTGCTGGAATTACAGGAGTGAACTACCGTGCCCGACCTGATTTTCTTTTAAGACAAATTTACGGACTCACTTGGAATTACAACACTAATCTGCAAGCACTATTGATAATAGCAGAATGTTAGATATAATTACGTTTTTCCCTATTCAATGAGTTATTCAGCCCCTGTGAATTTAAACTCTCATAATAATAATGAAGTTATGCCTAATTCATAAAATGTAATTTCTGTTTCGCAAAACAAGTAGTATTGAATTATTCTTTATATGATTATAAGAACAGAAAAATATTTCTCTAAATAACTATTTTGATCGTTAGATTATTTAACAGCTGCTTCTTGCTCTCCAGTCCTTTTATGTGAGGACTCACTCCACCCACTTCATTTTATAGTTTCCATACTATGCCTGTCCTTGAATTATCTGATTATATATTTGACAAGCATGCTTTGTCAACCTGAGTTTATCGTTGTATTAGATTCCCCACTATGCTACTCCATGAAATAAACTAGATTTCCCTAAACATGTAACAAGGTCTGTATTTATACTTTAATCCATCTTGTGTGAATATTGTAAACTATCTAAATTCCCTTTGTGAAATGCCCTTCCCTGATACATCTTCCTTATTTCATTCTAAATTGCATGAATTAAACAGGAATTTTATTTTTTCTTAATTTAAGCACCAAGTCTCCTTGAAATCTGTAATCCCTTTCAAAAATGTACCCTGACACTATGATTGCAGTTTTCCTGGCACAAAATATCACAAGGCAAGAGTTTATTTCAACCACATATTGCTCAACTCATGCATACCTGTGTGCATTCAAATAATGATCCTGACTTTTGGTCAATTTTATGCTATTCTCATACTGTTTTTTTTAAGTACTTTCATTCACAAATACTTAATGGAATTTCTATTAACTAAATAATAATATGCACATGAGCTCCAAGTTATTGGGAACCTACATGCACACATTTTGCATATATAATAATTAATTCTCACACAACTCTGAAAGGCAGGTGGTATGCACATTTTCTACTTAAGGAAACTTAGTCTTCAAGAGCTGAAATATTCAACCCACCATGACATACATAATGAATGGGAGAGCCAGGGCTGAAACCCATGTTTGTTTGACTCCAAAGGTCATTTCCAGCCCTAAGCATTTTTACTCTTAGTTACAGACAGAAAAACTTGTAACTGCATTTAGTTTGATGTAGTATTTTGCCTACTTTTTATTAATGTACTGTATGTATCATTAGCAACTAAATACTAATTGGCAATGTTTAAGCCGACACATGCTGATGTACTCCGAAATGTTTGGAAATGAGGTGCTCTGATACTCAACGCTTTATTCCCATAAAATTTTTTTCCAAGTACAAGGTCGTTCAGACACTATTCATTTTACAAGAAGCAAATTTAAAGAGGCAATTTGCATATTTTCTGATTTACCTTAGAGTTAGAAGCTCCCTACTGTTAGTCATTTAGAAAGTAGTTGTACCTCTTTGAAATTGTACTTTTCTTCATAATACTTTCTGGTATACACTTCCTGGTATATCATTAAAGATAAATTGCCTTGTCATTACACATTTCAGGGGATATAATAAAGATCTGTAATAGGGGGCATGCGCTGGCACAGATTCAGAAAAAGACAATGATGTTACACTCTAAAAAGAGTTCATACTTGCCTCCACTGACGAAAGTAAGTTAAAGTTTTCAATTAATTTAATTAAGAATTTTAATTTGAAATAGTTATCTTCTTTCATATACATCATCAAGACTGATATAACATTCTCTGAAAATAATTAAGAATATATAAATACTACAAAAGGACACTTATTAAATTCTGGATGGTTTAGATTTTACTTTATTTTAAATTTATTAATCTGGAATAGATAATTAATGCTAATTTAGAAGGGCAAGAATATGTGTTAATCAGTGATTTACCATGATTATCATTAACTTCTCTGTAATCATCACCAGCAAATGGGCTCTTGTGTTTTAACTGGATGTAACGTACACTGTACTCAACCATTCTGTTACCTTATCATGTGAGGCTTTTGCAAACAATACTAATCCATATTATATATCAAAGTAAAAACAATCTGATTTTTAACCCATTAAATGAAGAGGGTTTTCATGAAGAGATTATATTTTCAAATAATTTTGAAGAATAATATTTGTTACAATCTCTGGGATTAGGAAAAATAAAGAAAAAATATAACATCAATCTAATGATATATTTATCATTATAATCAATTATTAAACAAACTAATTCCTAATAAGTTTTAGAAAAGGTTTCCATAGGTGACTAAAATAATTACATACATTTTTGTAAATCTAGTGTAGAAATAACTATGAAAATAATAGAACTAGAGTGATAAATGGTATGTTTAAAGGAATGCAGTGGCTATACAGGGAAAAAGCCACTTAGAGATAATATAATAGTTTCCATTGACATGAGAATATTTTGGAACGGTAATATTAAATAGAGACTCCAAAGTGGCTAAAACTTAAAAGAGAATTGGAAGAGCAGCATTGCTCAAGTCAAAAGAGTTTTAAGATTGAGAGACTGGCCAATTTGGTCAAGTGTTTAACAGAGATTATCTAAGATGTAGACTATGAAGTACATATTAAATGTAGCAATTAAGATGTGATTGGCAATATTTTAAAGCAAACGATAATGATTAGATGAAGCCACACTGCAAAGCCATAATAAATGAACAGGAGCTTAAAGGAAAAAACAATCCTAGATTGTATAATTACTGCTGTTTTACAGTCTGGTTTTGAAGAGAAGAAAAAGGCAGTTGCTACATATTAAGGAAGAATCAAGAGTAGACTTTTTTCAAATAGGTGAAACAAGTGGGAAACAAGTGTCCTTATAAATGGGAAGGAATGAATCAAGGAATACAGAATGATTAGACTGTGGGAAAGATAAGAGAAAGGGCAGATTCAATGCGGGAAGCTTTGAAGAATGTGAGAGGAAATGATTTCTAGGGCACAGGTCAGTAATGAAGACTCCATTCTTATGACTGGAAGATGGTGACAACTGGGGTTGTCACACACAACACATTTGTGGATAATACACAGGTGAATACATATCAGATTCGTTTTAGAAAATAACTGTAACTCATTGGTACTGTGGAGATAGATTGAAATGAGATAATTTCTTAAAATGTAAATCTAGTAGGAGACTAATAGCTAGACATTCTGACACCTGTGAAAGAATGGACACCTCTTTCACTGCTACTCACCTTTGTAAGAAATATGTATTTATCCTTTCTGTAAGAAAATATTTTTATCTATTTTTGATGGTATGGCAAATTTCAAATATTTTATAAATACCTGAGACATTTAGTTAGTAAACAATACTAGCCTTTCTTTATATCAATCGTATACAGGGGGCAAGATGAGTAACTTATTACAGAAGGTTTATATAAATCATTATTTAGAGACAAATGTCTCATTAAAATTATTTAAATAGATACTGAAAAGCTGAATTCAACCCCTTCATCATAACACCTCATTATCTATTATTTTCTCTTCAAATAAAGTCTTGTGTTAGATTTTTTTAAAGAACGATCATTTTTATAAAGATACTTATATATACACTTATGTCTTATTATTCCCTTTTTTAACTGTATAATATATTGAATTCACATTTCATGTATCTCAGAGATGTCTATGTTCTTAAAAAAACCTTAATATATATTGATATACCTTTTAACAATATTAAAGAGAAAGAAACAAAATAATCACTAAAGAATTTGATATACCCATATAACATAGATTAAATTCCTACCAAGACATTGTATTGAGAAATTCTCTGCTAGGTATTTGAATTTATATTAAATATAAAAATTTGAATAGAAATGCACTGCTTAGAGAAATGTTACCTCATTCATTATTTTTCCCAAACGGATCCTCACTACAGATAATGGAATTGAAATTTGATTTCATGTTTATTCATAGGTGACAGCAAGGACTTAGTTCCAGAATCAGACTTGAACCCCTTATTTCCAGAGGCATTGCTATAAAGCAAGTTTTGCTCATAGTCTTTATTAAACATTATGGTGTCATTGAATAGACAAGGTTTACTCTCAGGAAAATTGTTCTAAAATATGTTAATATACATGTTTAGTGTAAAAAATAAGATTTAAAATTATCTAGAAATACAGAAAAGAAGGTAATCACCATGACTTCATCTTTGAATTGGTAGAAAAAGGATTCACAGAGTGTCCCAAATTAAACTGAGATCGATAGAGACTGAAACTCAATTATGAAGAAATTAGGATTGGAAAAAGAGGAGACAGATAAGGAAAAACAAACAGCATAAGCACAAAAGCAGAAATAGTATAAGACAACTAACACATGCATGTGTCATGTTCATGGATGACATTTAAGGGTGATGTTTAGCTATAGGCAGAATATTTGGCTGATAAAAATCTAAAATACTATGCCTTCCTTCCTGCTTCCCAATTGAAAAAAGCGTGACATGCCCTTGTCTCTTTCTATAAGGCCATCTCTAAATGATATCCCTCCAGCTAAAGATCAACCACTTCCAATAAAAGAGGATTCACAGAGTGCTTTCTCATGGAGAACTGGGCAGCTTCAAATTACTTTGAGCAAGTAATTTACTTTTATAAACCATATAAATAAACAAAAATTTAATTAGTACATATTTTTCTAGAAATGACATATGATAATTTGTGCATTTTAATTAAATCTTTTAAGATATCTTTCTCCCCCAGTCTGGTACACTCTGTCTTGAATCTGTGTGTGACCAAACGGGGTATGCATAAGGAATGCTAAAGAGAATTTTGTCATCAAAAGTATCAATTTCAAAAACTTCACTCATACTGAAGATTAGCTTGGGATGTTGAATTTTGTCATTTAAACCTGGAACAATTCAAGTTTCCTGGGACATATTCTGTTACGTATTCATAATTATAATTGTGATTGTTAATTAGAGAATTTGTGAGTGCTTATGGTATGTAAATGTGCATTGGTTGGCTATCATCTATCTATTTTCTATCTATCTGTCTATCAATCAATCATTCAGCCCTTATCTATCAGAGACAAAGAGCAACAAAAGAGAATAGAGTGAATAAAGCTAATAGCTAGTTCCTCCCCTAACCCCCTACTCATTTCTTAATCTGAAGTCTTGGAAACTCATATTAGATTGTAAAACTATTTTATTCTCTTAGGAATAATATTCATAGCTTTTATCTGATTCTCAAAAATGTTTTCTAACAAGCATTGAAATCCCTGTTTTAGTGTTATTAAAGGCATAAAAGTCAGCTTTGTTAGCTAGGAGCACATATGTAATTTTGTTTCAGATGATCAAACTAAAATGATGATTAGAAAATATGGTATGTATTCTTGTCATATAAAATAAATAGATTCAGGAATGTCATTTGTATATTTAGAATGAATTATTCCCCTGAGTTAAAATAACTTATCCAAATAAATAGCATTTTTGTTTCTTAACCAAAACTGCAAATAAGAAAAATAAAAATAAAAAAGAAACTAAGCAAACTTTCTTTCTGATAGCAAAATAGTTTCAAATTCCTTTTACATGTTACCTTTGGAATTCTTCTTTGGAGCTGAAACATAAAGAACAGCCGTACCCAACTATTTACAGAAATAAAGCTGCCCTGTGTACACTATTCAAAGTCAGTTTAAAAGAGATAATTTCCACCAGGTTTGGTTCTTCGTAGAAGGTCTCCCTCTATTCTCAAATCAGATTGACTCTCTTAAAAAGCAAAGCTTTTCAACCTTGCAGATTTCATCCCCGGAGCTAAAGATCAACCACTTCCAATAAAAGAGGATTCACAGGAGTACTTCCCCATAGAGATCCAGGCAGCTTCAAGAGTAGTACTTCAAACAAGTAATTTACTTTTATAAACAGTATAAATAAAACAGAAAATAGGAAGACGTTCACAGACTGAGAGCATTTTGCTTTTTTATAGCACTCCGGATATTTTATTTTATTTTATGCAGGAGGTCTGCAAGCTGTTAGCGTTGCTTATCTCTGGGGGGTCTCCAAGCTGTTCAGGTGTAATTCAGATAAGTCAAATGTTACTCCCCATTGGAGGGTTTATTTACGATATAGCCTCAAGGTGGTACTTTGCTATCTGAAATGTTATAAATTAGTAGCTCTTTATAAGGCATCTACTTAAAAAAGATTAGAATACTAATGATCTCTTATTTAATATAATAGCTTAATATTGACAAAAATATTTCATCCTTTGTGTATTTACCTACATCAGCACTTCTGTAGTGCATTTCAACAATTTATTGAATGACTTCAATGACTATTTAATATGCTAATGTGTATTTTAAATCTTTTTGTGGAATAGCACACAGTATTTCCTAAACTCATTGAAAACAAACATTTTTTTATAGAGCATCTCTCAGGACTCACAATAATGTGATAAAACTTTTGGAAACACTGATCTCTATCACATTATTTGACAATTCATCAACAACTTCCTTCAAGTAACAACTTTAAAAAGGGTGCTCTCACTCATCTGTCACTCATATATATATGTGTGCATATATATATATATATATTTTTTTTTTTTTTTGAGACAGGGTCTCGCTCTGTCGCTCAGCCTGGGGTGCAGTGGTGTGATCTCAGCTCACTGCAACCTCCACCCCCCAGGTTCAAGCGATTCTCTTGCCTCAGCCTCCTGAGTAGCTAGGATTACAGGCATGCACCACCACACCTAGCTAATATTTTGTATTTTTAGTAGAGACGGAGTTTCACCATGCTGGCCTGGTTGGTCTCAAACTCCTGACCTCAGGTGATCCATCTGTCTCTGCCTCCCAAAGTGCCAAGATTACACGCATGAGCCACCATGCCCGGCCTCACTCACATACTTTTGATGGATCCCTGACTAGAATTGAGATTCGAGTGGAGCATCCTTCATATAATACTTTGTCTTTAAGGAATTATTCCAGCTCCCAGTAATGCTGGGTGGAAGATGTAACTAAAATACCTAGTCATCACTAAATCCCCCAAGCAGCAATGATTATTGATTTTTGTGTCATTTCTAAAAAATTTCCAGAGCCTCAAGTCACGTAAAACCAAAATACCTAATTATGCTGTTACATACGTACAACCACAGGATGTTAAACATTTAAATCCAAACAGGAAAATTCCGTAAAATACACAGCTATTTCCAAAAACATATTTTTATGCTAAGTAATAAAAATTCTAATACATTGACGGAGCTTTGCAACATTACTCTTAGTGACCAGGATATTTGCCTTCACATAGACATCCTTAAAATTGTATTAAATTTCAGTTTCCCTAGTTCCTTTATTCAGCACAAATTACCTGAATACCTTCTACCTGCTTTGTGGCAGGTCCTGTTACACATCATTCCTGTCCTCAGTCAGCTTTTAGAGAATAGTATCCAATTGACCTGTCTGCTATTTTCTGGCTGTCCAACATAAAATCAACATTTAAAAGTGTGATCTATATGCATGTATGAATATAAAATGCATTTTAAATGAATCTAATCCTATTTAATCTCCAGTAATGTTTTCTCCCTCTATAAAGACTTCTATAGGACGTATCAACCCACAACAGAACTGTGTATGTTCACTATGCAATTCAAAGAGAACAAAAAAAGCACATATAGGCTAGAAATAAACTTGTGTCACATGAAAAAAGTGGCTTATTCATTGGCCTAAATGAATTAACTTGCACATTTCATTAGCATACAAGATGCACATCTATTGGTTGCCAGCATAAGTAGAAAAGAGTTCCATGAACTGAAGAAAAAAATGGTGATTAATATGGCCCCAATGGCAAACCTCAGTTTAGAACACAAGTTCACATTCAAACTGACTTTAACAAACTTCCTTGAGGACAGATTTAGATTAGTTCTTTGTGACCTAACACATGATTAAATCTTTGTCATAATTTGATAGGCCTTTAATTACCTCCACAGAAACATTAACTGAAAATATCACCACACCTGGATAGTTATTCTTTCTTAATATCAAGAAAATAGCTCATGGCATTTAAATCTTTCAACTCACCACATCAAATTTTTATTGACATACCTATAATTTTATGATGGATCTAGATACAGAACACAATTTCATCATGCTTAATAAATCATTTATTTTTGCATGTTTTAAAATGATAGGTAGTTATATTTTATAAAGAAACTAGTTCCAGGTGCTAAAAAAAGGTGTGACACAGTGGTTTAAATCTAACCTCAGAGGTAAATAAATGCAAAATACCCATTCCAACAAAATGTTTTTAAATCTTTAAATGCCTTCATTTCATTTAAAACATCAATTCCAAAAATAAGGCATCCTTAATATATGTTTCTAAATAATGTGTTGAATAATAATTTGTTATATTTTCATATCTATTATTCATTATATTACTTATTAATATATGTCAACATTATATTCTATTGCATTTTGTGTTCAGAATGTTTTATTTTTATAGAGATATAGTTATATATTCAAACTGTGAATAAAATTAAAATTAAAGTCAACCTGGAAAATTATTGATTTTTGCTTAATCTTGGTCAAGAAAAATCTGGTCAATATAAATTAACAATCTTTATAATTTTGGTGAAAATCTTCTTTTGGTCTCCTGAAAATAATTCACCTAAATAATTCCACATTTCACAACTTAACTACTTAATGAAAATACAGATTCTTACAGAGCCTGAATGTTTTTAGGCTGTTTAAAATTGCTTCTAATTTTTAAGAAAATGATCATATCCTATTGTAATCATATTGTGATAAAAACCATGTTAATTTCATGTCCTTCAATGTATCCATCAATCCAATATACAATGGAAGCAATAAAAGTTAACATATAGTAAGAATGTTGTGACAGAGTTAATATTTTATTTTAAATTAGTTAAAAATATCATTTATTCAATCTTGTAAGTTTAATATGGTGAAATGAATTAAGCTAAAGGACAAATTGCTTATAAAATTTCTTTTTTCATATCAGCACATATTCTTTTTAGGAATCTATTTTAATTTGAAATGATTTTATTTTTTAAATTCACAATATGCATTTAATCTTTTGCCTACTGTATGTCACATATAATAGCTGCCCTGTGAAAAACTAGCAGCTTTCTTAACAATATTGTGTAATGAGATTTATCTCAGTAGCCCTGAAGCCAACATCTTTGGATTCTTTATTCATCAATGCCTATTCAATTTAGCTAGGAGAAGAGTAGAGCCTGAACTGTAAGGGAAACCTTTTGTAAATAAGAATGACCTATATCTTTATATCATATCTTTATGAAATAGAAGCTTAAATTTAAAATAACTTGTTTTTGAAGGGAAAATATTAATATTCAGGGACGATAACTATTTTCCCCTAAAATACATACACAGACAAATATTTAGGCTTACATTTACAGATTCTTAAATGGCCAAACCTTACATTCTGCAATTGTTAAGTAAAATATTCACATAGGGAGGTGTAAAATGGGCTGATTTTTCTTTTTGATTTTATTTATTTATTTTTTGAGATAGGTTCTCAATCTGTCACCCAGGCTGGAGTGTAGCGACATGATCATAGCTCACTGTAGCCTTGACTTCCCAGGCTCAGGTGATTCTCCCCACTGAGATTGCCTAGCAGCTGGGTAGCTGGGACCACAGGAATTTGCCACCACACTCAGCTAATTTTTGCGGGGTTTTTTTTTTTTTTTTTGACCTGGGGTTTTGCCATGTTGCCCAGGCAGATCTCAAACTCCTTTCTTAAGTGCTCCACACGCCTCAGTCTCACAAAGTGCTAGAATTACAGGCATGGATCACTGCCCTAAGCCTTTGATTTTTCAGATGTGTAAGCAACAATAGAACATTGACAAAGTTGAATAATGTTATCAGGAATGCCATTCTAGTAATTAACTTGAAGCTACACTAATGAGCACCTTATCCCTTTTGTTCCTAATGCTAAGCAAAGTGCATAGCTTCAGTTTCATGTAGACTGATGGAATGACTTTATAAATAAATTATACTTTGATAAACTGGGCTCTTTCTGTAAATATTTTTCATAATTTGTAGAAGTATAAATGTAACATATTTGATATATGTATTATTTTATTTTTAATTTTTTTATTATTTAAATTTGGGATACAGGTGGTTTTTTGTTATGTGGATGAATTATACAGCAGTGAATTCTGAGATTTTAGTTCACCCATCACCCAAGTAGAGTACCTTGTACCAAATGTGTAGTTTTAAAATTCCTAGCCCCTCTCACATCCTCCCAATTCTGAGTCTCTAAAGTCTATTACATCACTGTATGCCTTCACGTACTCATAACTTAGCTCCCACTTATAAGTAAGAACATACGGTTTAGAGTTTTGTGCTCCTGTGTTACTTTGCTTAAAATAATGGCCTCTAGCTCCATCCAAGTTGCTGCAAAAGAAACTATTTCATTCATTTTAATGGCTGAGTAGTATTCCATAGTGTATATATAGCACATTTCCTTCATCGACTCATTAGTTGATGGCACTTAAGTTGGTTCCACTTCTTTCCAATTGTGGATTGTGCTTCTATAAACATAAGTGTGCAAGAGTCTTTTTCATATAATGACTTCTTTACCTTTGGATAGATATCAAATAGTGGGATTACTGGAACAATTGGTAGATCTACTTTTAGCTCTTTAAGGAATCTCCACACCGTTTTCCATACAAGTTGCACTAATTTACATTCCCACTAGCAGCATATGAGTGTTCCCTTTTCTTCACATCCATGCCAACGTCTATTGTTCTTTGACATTTTAGTAATGGACATTCTTATAGGAGTAACGTGGTATGTCACTGTAGTTTCAATTTGCATTTCCCTGATGATTCATGATGTTGAGCATATTTTTCATGTTTGTTGACCATTTGTATATCTTCTTTTGAGAAATGACTATTTATGTATTTTGTCCACTTTTTAAAGGGATTATTTGTTTTTTATTTCTTGGTGATTTGTTTGAGTTTCTTATAGATTCTGGATACTAGTCCTTTGTCAGATGCATAGTTTACAAATATTTTCTCCCATTCTGTGGGTTGTCTGTTTACTCTGCTGATTATTTCTTTTGCTATGCAGAAGCTTTTTAGTTTAATTAGGTCCCTTCTATTTAGTTTTTGTTGCATGTGCTTTGGGGTCTTAGTCATGAATTCTTTGCCAAGGCCGATGTCTAAAGAGTTTTTCCAATGTTGTCTTTTAGAATTTTTACAGTTTCAGGTCTTATATTTAAGTCTTTGATCCATCTTGAGTTAATTTTTGTATAAGGTGAAAGATAGGAATCTCATTTCATTCTTCCGCATGTAGCTTGCCAGTTTTCTCAGTACCGTTTATTAAATAGGATATCCATTTTGCCATGTTTTTGTATGCTTTGTCAAAAATCAATTTGCTGTATGTATTTAGCTTTATTTCTGGGTTCTCTATTCTGTTCCGTGGTCTATGTGTCAACTTTTATGCTTGTACCATGCTGTTTTAGTAACTAGAATCTGGTAGTATAATTTGAAGTCTGGTAATGTGATACCTCCAGATTGGAACTTTTTGCTTAGGTTTTCTTTGGCTATTTGGGCTCTTTTTTGGTTCCATGTGAATTTTTGGATTGTATTTATTTAATTCAGTGAAAAATTATGTTGGTATTTTGATGGGAATTGCATTAATCTGTGGATTGCTTTGGAAAGTAGGGTCATTTTCATAATATTGATTCTTCCAATCCATGAGCATGAGATGTGTTTCCATTTGTTTGTGTCACCTATGATTTCTTTCAGCAGTGTTTTCTAGTTCTCCTTGTAGAGATCTTTCACTCCTTGGTTAGCTATATTCCGAGATATTTTAATTTTTGCAGCTATTATAAAGGGATTGAGTTCTTGATTTGATTCTCAGCTTCACTATTGTTGGTATATAGTGTGCTACTGGTTTTTTACATTGATTTTGTAACCTGAGACCTTAAAGTCTTTTGGAGGAATCTTTAGTATTTTCTAGGTAGGCAATCATATTATTTGCAAACAGTGATAGTTTAGCTTCCTGTTTTCCAATTTGGATGCCATTTATTTTTTTCTTGTCTAATTGCTCTGACTAGTACTCCCAGGACTATGTTGAATAGGAGTGGTGAAAGTGGACATCCTTGTCTTGTTCCTGTTTTAAAGGGGAATGCTTTCAGAGGACTTCGTCTTTTCCAATTTGGATGCCGTTTATTCTTTCTTTTGCCAAATTGCTCTGGATAGTACCTCCAGGATTATGTTGAATACAAACGGTAAAAGTGGGCTTCCTTGTCTTGTTCCTGTCTTTGGAGGAAATGTTTTGAGGTAGGTCACTTTTATGCCTAGTTTGTTAGGGGTTTTTATCATAATGGGAGGCTGGATTTTGTCAAATGCTTTTTCTGTATCTATTGAGATGATCATACAGTTTTTGTTTTCAATTCTGTTTATGTAATGTATCATATTTATTGAGTTGCATATGTTAAACCATCCCTACCTCCCTGGATGAAGCCCACTTGATCATGATG
Organism: Homo sapiens; assembly: GCF_000001405.40. Classification (NCBI taxonomy): domain Eukaryota; kingdom Metazoa; phylum Chordata; class Mammalia; order Primates; family Hominidae; genus Homo; species Homo sapiens. The sequence goes on along the minus strand of NC_000004.12, from coordinate 32,757,470 downwards.
AATTGTATTTTTGATCTGCTGTTGGATTCAGTTGACTAATATTGTGTTGAGAATTTTTGCATCTTTCTTTATCACAGAAATTGGTCTGTAGTTTTCTTTTTTTGTGCTTGTCCTTTTCCAGTTTTGGTATCGGTGTGATACTAGCTTCATAGAATAAGTTAGGGAGGATTCCTTCTTTCTCAATCTTTTGGAATTGTTTCAGTAGGATAGGTACCAATTCTACTTTGAATGTCTTGTAGATAACATCTGTGAATCCATCTGGTCATAATCTTTTTGTTGTTGTTCTTGGCAATTTTTAAATGATGGATTCAATCTCACTGCTCATTTTTGGTTGGTTCAAGATTTCTATTTCTTCCTGATTTAACCTGGGAGGGTTTTATGTTTCCAAGAATTTGTTCATTTCCTCTAGGTTTTCAAGTTTGTGTGCACAAAGATGTTCATAGTGGTATTGAATGATCTTTTGTAATTTTTGGTGTCAGTTGTAATTTCTCCAGTTTCACTTCTAATTGAGCTTATTTGAACTTTTTCTCTTCTTTTCTTGGCTAATCTAGCTAATGATTACTGATTTTGTTAATTTTTCAAAGAACCAGCTTTTGTTTGATCTTTTTTGTTGTTTTTGTTTGTTTGAATTTCATTTAGTTCTGCTCTAAACTTATTTATTTTCTTCTTCTATCTTTAGGTTTAGTTTGTTCTTGTTTCTCCAGTTTCTTGAGGTGTGATATTAGGTTGTCAGTTTATGCTTTTACAGACTTTATGATGTAGGCACTTAGTGCTATAAGCTTTTCTCTTAGCATTGCTTTGGTTGTATCTCAAAGGCTTTGGTAACTTATACCATTATTATCATTTGATTCAAACAATTTTTTAAATTTTCATCTTGATTTCATTGTTAACCCAGGTTCATTCAGGAGAAGATTATTTAATTTCTATGTATTTGTATAGTATTAAGAGTTCCTTTTGGATTTGATTTCCAGTTTTATTCCATTGTGGTCTGAGAAGATAGTTGATATGATTTCATTTTTTTAGAATTTATTGATACGTGTTTTGTGGCCTGTCACATGGTCCATTTTTGAGAATGTTCTATGTGCCAATGGGAAAAATGCATATTCTGCAGATCTTGGGCATAATTTTCTGTAGATATTTGTTCAGTCCACTTGTTCTGAAGTGTCATTTAAATCTATTGTTTCTCTGTTGACTTTCTGTCTTGAAGATCTGTCTAGTGCTTTCAGTGGTGTACTGAAGTCTCCCACTATTGTTTTATTGTCTATCTGATTTCTAAGGTCTAGTAGTAATTGTTTCATAAATCTAGGAGCTCCAGTGTTTGATACATATAAATTTAGGATTGTAATATCGTCATGGTCTTCTTGCTGAATTGGTCCTTTTATCATTATATGGTGATCAATCTGCCTTTTTTTATTGTTTCTTTGAAGTTTGTTTTGCCTCATTTAAGAACAGCTATTCCTGCTTGCTTTTGGTTTTCATTTGCATGCAATACCATTTTACCACCTTTTACCTTGAGTTTATATGAATTCTTCCACGTTACATGAATCTCTTGAAGACAGCAGATATTTGGATTGTGATTTTTAATCCATTTTGCCTCTATCTTTTAAGTGGAGCTTTTAGGGCACTTACATTCAATATTAATATTGAGATGTGAGGTACTATTTTCTACATTCATAATTATTACCTATATAGTTTTTTTCATTGTGTTAATGTTTTATAGGCCCTGTGAGTTTTAAACTTTTAAGAAGTTCCATTTTACTGAGTATCTGGCTTTTGTTTCAACGTTTAGAGGTCCTTTTAGCACTTCTTGTACTGCTGATTTAGTAGTGACAAATTCCCTCATCGTTTATTTGTCTGAAAATGATTTTATTTCTCCTTCATTTATAAAACTTAGTCTTGCAGGGTACAAAATTCTTGGCTGAAAGTTGTTCTGCTTAAGGAGATTAAAGATAGGACCCCAATCCCTCTGGCTTGTAAGGTTTCTACTGAGAAGTCTGCTGTTAGTCTAATAGGATTTCCTTTGTAGGCTACCTGATGCTTTTTTATTACTGCTCTTACAATTCTTTCCTTTATGTTGACTTTAGATAGTCTGATGACTATATGTCTTGGTGAAGATCTTTCTGCAATAACTTTCCCAGGAGTTCTTTGAGCTTCTTAGATTTAGATAACTAGATCTCTAGCCAGGCCAGGGAAGTTTCCCTCATTTATTGCATCAGATACTTTTGTCAGACTTAATATTTTCTCTTCTGCTTCAGGAGCATGAGTTATTCTTAAGCTTGTCCATTTTTCATGACTGCATATTTTTGGAGACTGTTCTTTTGTTTAATTCTTTTTATTTATTTTTGTCTGATTGTGTTAATTCAAAAGCTTTGTCTTCAAGTTCTGAAATTTGTTCTTCTATGTGTTCCAGGCTATTATTAAAACTTGTCACTGCATTTTGTAATTCTCTCAATTTCCAGAAGTTCTGGTTGGTTTTTATTGATGATGTCTATCTCTCTAGAAAGTTTTTTATTCATATTCTGAACTGCTTTTAAAAATTCCTTTATAATCATTTTCACCTTTCTCTGATATCTCCTTAAGTAGCTTAATAATCCATCTTCTGAATTCCTTATCTGGTATTTCAAAGATTTCATGTTGGCATGAGTCCATTGCTGAAGAGCTAGTATGAACTTTTGTGGGTGTTACAGCACTCTGTTTTTGTTACATTACCAGAGTTATTTTTCTGGTTCCTTCTCACTTGGTTAGACTATTTCTTCTAATTATTCTTGAATTTAGGTTTGATTTGACTTTTTTTGTTTGTTTATTTTTAAATTTATTTTTTCCCCTTAAGTATGAGACTTTAATGCTTATAGTTAATTATAGCCTAATTCTGTTATTAGTGCTTTCAGGGGTAAAGACTCTGTCAGATTTCTTTGGTTATAGAGAGTCTTTGTATGATGGCTCTCTCATATGCTGGTTTTAGTAGCAATGTGCTCAGTAAGTGAACAAGTTTACTATCTCCTGTGTGGTCTCTTAAACTTTATCTCATTCCGCATGCACTTATTTATTTATTTATTCATTTTCCTCCAGTATTTTATTTATTGGTTTGATGATTCAGGCTTCAGACCAGTACGGGAGGTATTTTTGGGTAGTAATTAGCTGTGGCTAAAGCATGCAGGTAAACACATTCCCAGCCTTGAAAGATGCGGCCGCAGGAGCTCTCAGTGAGTTGCACTGAGGTCTTATCAGGGAGAAGGGTTGGAGCCACCTCAACTCCCGTGGCAGGTCAGCAGGAAAGTTATCCACCTATCAGACACACTCTTGTCTCAGTGCTGCAACTATTCAGATTAGAATCAGATTGTGATTCTTTTTTGCAAGCCTGAACCTAGAGGGTGTTCTTTGGTGGGGATGCAGTGACTCTGATGTTTTCCAGAAAGTTTCATGCAGACTGATGGAATGACTTTCTAAATAAATTATACTTTGAGACAATGGGATCTTTATGTAAATAATTTCCATAATTTGTAGAACTAGAAATGTTACATATACATGTTATTTTAGATAGAAATAAATTTATCTATTATAAATTTGTATAAGCCTGTGATTGTAATCCAACAACTTTGTAGGACATGTGCTCACGCTTAATACCTTCTTTAGTGAATGCTATATGCTTTAGCACAAGTTCTGCACTGCACATAATCTCTTAAATGATTAATTTTTAGTTTAAATTAATTAAATTTACTGAGCAATCACTATGTACAGAGTATTAGGACTCCAGGAACAGGATATGAGTTTCTCAGCTGCTAATGTGTTCTGAACTTCCTAATTTGTTCCTGATGTACACGATTTGCCCTCATGTAAGCCAGCTTTGGTTGACTTTGGCCTAAAGTAAAAGGTTGCCTTCATCAGTGTTGAAGGATTCACTAGCTGTCACTAATGTTTACTTCAGCATTTACCAAAGTTCTCTGTGCACTTTGGGGAAGCAGAAAGAGAACGTGTCAGTCTGTACATAAAATTTCAGAATTTTTAATAAAACAAAATGAAGGAGGTTTGTTTACTGCTGATCATTTATCCATAACTATAACTATGCTATCTATTTATAGCTGTAACTATAAATAATTATATCCATTAGGTATATGTGTGTGTGTACATGTGTGCGTGCATGCTTATACATTTCCAAAAAACAGGTTGCAATACCTCTCAAACTATTATGAAAGTAAATGCTTTTTTTTTTCTTTCTGTGTAGTGTTGTGAAGAACTCTATGTTAGGAAATGCTGGCTTAGGTAAATAATTTCAAGAGGGCACAATAGCCTGAAGAACTTTCCTGCTTGTTCGTTCATTAATCCTGAACCTAGAAAACAGTCATGTGATCCGCACTCCAGCCTGGGTGACAGAGGAAGACTCCGTCTCAAAAAAAAAAGGAAACAGTCATGTGTATTTCACCTGATCCCCAGAGGCAACTTAAAATGAAGTGTTGCTGCTGCTATAACTAAGATTCCCTGAAGGCAATAAAAATGGCTGTCAATTCTGGTGTAATAACTTCTGTTATTGTCACCAAAATATTGTATTTCCATTGCTTAAATTATACTGTATTGAGAAAATAAAATGTTTATTTCTGATATCTGCTTAATAGATTTATTTACACCTATTCTTTTTTCTCAGTGGAGAATTCTCCACAATGAAAACACTAGAAAATTCTTAGTATTGAACACTATTATCCTTTCATTTCTTATGTCATAAAATCTGTATTTTGTCCCTGAGTTAACGCTTATAAGAATAATATTTTGCTACTAAATACATATGAAAATATTTAACCAGGGATATAATTTTCTCTGCTGTTTTATATAGTGGCTTCACATTTGCATATATTTTGCCTGTTCAAGAAAAGTGAAACAAACCACCAAGAAATTATCTGATTTATTCATTCTTTCAAAATGGGAAAATAACCTATATAATTGCTATAAAATAAATTTGGTATATTAAATTTAAAATAAGTTGATTTTGATTATCCGGTGACAGCCCTGCTTTTGTCTATCAGGTGAAGGACTGTCACAAAATATTTTCTTTTATATTTCCCATAAATAGACTTTCTTTTGCTACTTTGATAATTTTATGTTTTTATCTCTATTACTATTTATGTAACAAAATATATTTTGCCTATTCTTATATTCAGGGAAATATTGATTGTTAAAATAAACTGCAGTTGTTTATCAGAGCAAATCGCAGTCTTAAAGTGATTACTTGATACACACAGATATTAATAATCACTTATTTAATTGCTGAACATTTCTTTCAAATAGCATAGCTATCTTATTAGTTAAGTTCATAGATTCAGCACTTTAAAAGTGTAATATTCTCATTTTGTATATATGTATGACTACATATATGCATACATATATAATCTTCAAGATGTGTTTTATTTTTATGGTAGGCTTATTAAACAGGAAATTCTAATTTTACAGATTTTTTTGTAATTAGGGATGAAGTTCTAACTTTGCAATTATTTTCATGTATTTGTACATTTTTATAGCAATGATTCTATAATTTTATACTAATCTATGTTAAGATTTCAGAGTCATCTCTTTGCTTACTGTACAATATTGTTTTTAAAACAGTAGTACATACTTAAAGGGCAATAAATTTAAGGCTTCCTTCTCTGAGCACTCCTCCAACCCTCAGTCCTCTATCCTGCGCCACTTTCCAGAGCCTCCCTCTTCACCATCATGATATTTCACGATATTTCACAGCTTTGGAAGCAAAAGTACCCATAGCTACCAAGCAAATCTTATGAGACTTTTTCCTTTGGTTAATCATGTAGCATTTTGTCTTCTATCCGCTGTACATTGCCACTTTTCCAATTTAGGCATCTGCTTGGCCATTCAAATTTGTCTTATGGTACAAGAGAGTTATTCATCATTCTATTTTTTTTTTCAAAAAAGCTATGTTTTATTCAGTGAAACCAACAGTATTGGAGAGAAAATAAAGGTAAATCAAAAACATTTATAGGAAGTTTCCAGTTTGAATTGAGAATGAGTAAGCAAGTCAAACATGCTACAGGATTCACTGTGACCCCAAAATCACCCTTTATTCTGAATAGGGAGGTCTAAATTATTATTATTATTTTCATTCTAAGAGACTATTTTCTAAAAATATCCAATTATGACCATGCCTTCTAGACCATGGCAATTTTCCCACCATATTGATAAAAATGGCAGTCTAAGTAGTTTGTTATATAATTTTAAACCTGGATTATATTACATTTAGTAGTCAGGAATGACTGAGCAACTATATTAACCCTAGATACTTAGTTTACATCTTGGAACAAATCTACTAATATTCTTTTTATCGTTTTTCTCTCCTTCCTCTGATCTAGTCAGCCATCAAGTTCTATTTATATAGTGTCTGTAACAAACCTATCTTTTAAATTTCATATATATATTCTCTACCTCCCTAAAACTATATTTGACATTTGTATAAAAACATTTACAGAGTGTGCCCTGATATATGGTCCTATTTAATGCTATATTTGTAATATAGCTAGGAAGATAATATTATTACAATGGATAGTGTAAGTAATTTGATCACATAGCTCCTGACAAACAGATGCTAATCATAGGCCTTCAGATTCAAACTAAGGATGCTTCCAACAAATTAACCTCACTAAAATTTATGAGACTATATTATGCATATATAATATTAAAACTTTTACTAAACACATGGGCAACATTATTCAATACATCACTCTACACAAATAAAGTAATATCTTTACAATTAGCAGTTCTGTCAGTTAAAAAATAATTTGAGAATATTTATATTAATGAACTAGGTAAAAATTAATCTTCCAAAACTTTTAGGTAATCTTTACAAACATGATTTAAATATTTTGATATTGAATGATATTTAAATATTTCCCTATGCTGGACTTACTTTTATTCTATTTTTTTGACATGGTAGATTTAAATTTCATGCATATGCTTTGTTTTATTTTTACTTTTTTATTTATGAAATTTGCCTACTTAGAAATAGTTTTATACTGCAGTGGTAGTTCAATTTTTTCCTTGTGTTTATCTTTGAAAAGAAAGCAAACATCCTACCTCTTTTAAGACATAGCTGTTCATTACACTTACTGTCTATTACACAACCTTGTCCAACCCATAGCCCATGGGCCACATGCACCCCAGGATAGCTTTGAATGCAGCTTAACACAAACTCGTAAATTTTCTTAAAACATTATGAGATTTTTTTGCAATTTTTTTTTTAGCTCATCAGCTATCGTTGGTGTTAGTGTATTTTATGTGTGGCCCAAGTGAATTCTGCTTCTTCCAGTGTGGCCCGCAGAAGTCAAAAGATTGGCTACCCCTGTTTTATGCAATAGGTCTTCCATCTCTCCAGGTATCTGGTAATCTTAATAATAACCTTAGAATTTATAGTATATCTAATGAAAAAGATTACATGATAGAAAGCAAAAAATATTGATTAGTAATTAGTTTTGTGAACCCAAATCTATGACTCAAGATATTTGGAACTTTCAATAAATATTGCTGTTTAGAAAAACATGGTCCATGAATCTATTCATTAGGAAGCTACATTTTACTCTTCTCAGATGCCCTTTGTGAACTGTCTTCTGGGTTTCTGATTGAGTTTATTTCAGCTCTTACAGAATAAAAACAATGTGTTGTTTGCTCCTGGCCCTCATCCCTCAAGTATCTTATCTATTTTCAAGTCTATTGAGAATTGAGATTCTGGCATGTCAGAGCAAACTATAGATAAACACCAATTTCTTTTTTTTTAATTTTGAAGACATGAGCAACTAATAATACTGCCCAACATATTCATTCCTCAAAAATCTATTACCTTAAGAATCAGGAATGTTATGATGAGTATGAAATTTTCTTGTTTATTATATCAGTGATTATTTTATCTTATTTTTTTATTTATATGTTATATCTTTATGCTCTTTGAAAATTCTGGCTGTGTTTTTGCTAAGATGATTGCTATTTCAACGATGTCACTTAAAGTTATTTTATGTTTGTTGAAAATTATATAATTGTTTTGTAATGCTTGAAACTCCATCTATTTTTCTGAGAATGAGATATTAATAGTGTGTTCACTAATATATCATATGATTTATAATTTTGCATTAAATCTCAAATTTCATAGTATATGAATTAAAGAAAGATGGGTAAGTTTAATAGGACTGAAACAAAGGAATCAGCAAAGTTTTTAAAGACTTTTTGCAATATAATTTTCACTACTTTTCAAATTTTGACCATTTTAAGAAACATAATTTTCATATTTTTTTATTTTAACCATTTTGATTATATTGGCACAAAACCAAGAAATCTAATTTTAGAACATTATAACATCAACTGAGTAAAATCTCTATAGTAAACTATATCAATAAAAGTAAATTTATTGTTAAAAATGCTGTATAGTCAAACACTTGATATGTCATGAATTACTTTCTTGAGTAAACATCTAAATGACAATTTTATAACATAAATAAATAAGCCATTAAACTGTTTTTGTTACTTTTATAATGTGTTCGAGTATCCCAGAATATTACCTTTCACTGTCATCCTAAAATTAACTAAAACTTAGTTTTAGCATACAATTTTGACAATATAGCGTATCATTTTGAGTGTCCGTTTGAAACAGGAGTGTTGCCTTATCCCCATCACAGAGGGTGATAGGAGTGTAGCTCAGTTCTTATGTGGTCCACTGCTGAGACTCCTAGGGGCAGCACACAGATAGACAGGTGCAAAGGTCGTGGGAAGCATTTTTGAGCTGTGACCGCACTTGGCAGAGTCTAGGAGTGAGTGTTTACAACTCCCAAAGCCCAGGTGGGCGTGTGTTACAGTGTGCTCTTTCAGCTATGCGGTCTGCAGATGGATTGTGTTACTCAGCCCAATGGACTCTCTGCCTCATCGCAACGACAGGGGCGCCAGTGTGACAGCCTGAGTTCTTGCCCAGAGTACCTGAAGAACCAGATCACAAGTGGGCTGGAACGTTGAACGCAAGGTTTATTGAATGGTGGAGGTGGCTCTCAGCTACATGGATGGGGAGCCAGAAGCGGAAGATGGAATGGGAATGTGATCTTCTCCCGGAGTCCCGCCGCCCAGGGGCTGGACTCTTCCCCGACTGTCCCTGGCTGAATTCCCCTGGGGTCTGCGTCTTTCTGCCATTGCTGGTCGGCTGGTGTCTCTGGTGTCTGCTAGTGTGCTCCCATTTTCCTCTTGACGCCCAGCCACTTGTGTCTGCGACCACTTAAGGTCTCAGGTTTCTACGGGCACAGAATGGGGGGCATGGCGGGCTAGAGTGGTCTTGGAGAATGTAACACTGGGGCGTGAAAAGAGGAGTGCCTGTTCTCACTTAGGTTCGTGGGCACAGGCTAGAGAATGGAGCCCTATCCAGGGTCTTTGCCCTTCTCTTCCCAGCACTTCCCTGCCCCCATCCTGTATCACACCCAACAAATAATTTAAAACACGTATTTGCGTAAAGCATCATGTATGGCACAGGAGGTATAATGAAGAATAAGGCAGTTTCTAGTTTCAATAAGCTCACCACGGATTTGAGCAAATCAATGTAAATCTCTAGTGTACAGGCAAGAAATAAATCAAAAGACTAATATGTCAGAGCCATTTTCCTTGAAAAAGAGCATTTGATTAATATTCAAACATTTGATTTTTCTTAATAATTTTGTCAAAATTATCAGTGGATGTATACAGACTGGAGGAAATAAAATATATGATGATCGTAGTCTTAAAATACGTGCTACAGAAACTAATTGGGTAAGCATGTTTTTGATCAAACCATTTGATTTAAATTTTGTATTTGCTAAATTATTCTTTCTTTGAGCCAAGCAAGAATAAATATAACTTACAAAATCATAAGCATTTAAATATAATTATTTTGGATAAAAAATATGAGATAAACTGAAATAATTAATTGATTATTTAATTAATTATAAATTATCAAAATCAAGAGAGATTCAAAAGAAGCACATGTCACCTGCTTCGGCACAATATGTATCTTTTGTGAAGAAAAATAGTCTGAATATGAGCTTACTGACCACCTAAGCAAAATGCAAAAAATAAAGTATGTTGACAGTATTAAACATTTAATACCTAACAAGATTTCAGGAAAATAATTCTTTTTCTAGCACTGACTTTTTAGAAAAACTTTCCATATGTGTGTATATGTATGTGTGTGTGTGTGTGTGTGTGTGTGTGTGTATAGAGATAGAGAGAGACAGCAATATCTTGAAGAACAATGCTGAAATGAATGTATTTTTTACTTTTATTTTAGCGGCCCTGTATCAGAAAGAGGGTAACTACTACTAAAAAATAAATGTTTAAAAGGATTCAGATTTGGAGAAGATAGAAATAATAACCCAATCAATAGTATAATCCTGTGGTGGACCACCTAGATCTTCCAATGAATATTAGACAAGTACAGAAATATATGTATTACTTATCTCTCAGTCAATCCTTTATGAGCATTACTTATCCATTATAACCTTACATTATGATTTGAGTATTTTGAGGTTCTATTCCCTGGAAATAGCCTGGAGTACACTGACACTATTTGACTTCTCATAGCAAAAACCAATAGAGGAAAATTCTTACATATCAAAAAATCAATTGAGGTAATGTAACATATTTTCTTGAAAATTAAGGAGCCTATTAAATTCAACTACAAAAGATTGTTGCGTGATATTTTGAGGATTAAAAATATGTGTGTATGTGCCTGTTGTGTGTGTGTAGCAGTAGTAGGTTTATGAACTTCAATGGAACGTGGCAGAAATGCAATATCTTTAGGCTATTTTTTTGCTGAATATTATTTAATCCATGAAACCATTTAAAAAATGTGTATCTTAAAATCAGAATAATATACAATTATAATGCCAGGCAATTTGGATGCTAGCATAAATTTGACAATAAACCACATGATTTTTGTCACCCCCAAAATGTTCATCATCTCTGGAGGGCAGATATCTCACCTCCTGTAATACCTTTGTTTTTTGATAGAATGAATAAAGAAAACTTTTTTTTCATCCATGAGATGCTAGTTTTGGTTTTTTAATAAACTCAAGTTATTAGATTTAAAATTTCTATAATCTTTGTGGAAGTCAGTGTGGCGATTCCTCAGGGATCTAGAACTAGAAATACCATTTGACCCAGCCATCCCATTACTGGGTATATACCCAAAGGATTATAAATCATGCTGCTATAAAGACACATGCACATGTATGTTTATTGCGGCACTATTCACAATAGCAAAGACTTGAAACCAACCCAAATGTCCAACAATGATAGACTGGATTAAGAAAATGTGGCACATATACACCATGGAATACTATGCAGCCGTAAAAAATGATGAGTTCATGTCCTTTTTAGGGACATGGATGAAGCTGGAAACCATCATTCTCAGCAAACTATTGCAAGGACAAAAAACCAAACACCGCATGTTCTCACTCGTAAGTGGGAGTTGAAAAATGAGAACACATGGACACAGGGAGGGGAACATCACACACTGGGGCCTGTTGTGGGGTGGGGGGAGGGGGGAGGGATAGCATTAGGAGATACACCTAATGTTAAATGACGAGTTAATGGGTGCAGCACACCAACATTGCACATGTATTCATATGTAACTAACCTGCACATTGTGCACATGTACCCTAAAACTTAAAGTATAATAATAAAAAAAAATGCACACACACAAATTCGTTCTTTTAAAAAATATTTTCTAACAAGCAGAATTGAATTGATGTGTGATCTTGACTGAATGTCTGTGTCTCCAAAATTTTTATATTGAAACCTAACACCCAGTGTGATAGTATTAGGAGGTGGGGCTTTTGGTCAGTGATTAGGTCCTGATGGGAACATTCATGAGTAGGACAAAGGGCCTTATAAAAGAGGCCTCTGAATGATCCTTTGTCCCTTTGTCATGTGAGGACACAGCTAGTGAAAATACATCATCTTTGAACTAGAAAATGAGCGCTCAGCAGACCTTGAGTTTGCCAGATTTGATCATGAACTTCCCAGCTTCAAGAACTGTAAGAAAAAAATATATATATCTGTTGTTTATAAGCCACCCTGTCTGTGGTACTTTGTCATAGAAGCCCAAATAGATTAAGGCAATTATTAATGTTCTATTGTTACATTAATTATAAATAAATGTGGTACATAAAAAGGGATTTTTTTAGTTTTGAAACTTAAATGTTATTTTTATATTGACAAATTACAGGTATAATATGTTTATAGGGTACAAAGTGGTGTTATGATTTTTTATCATAATGTGGAATGATGAAATTAAATTTATTACATATTCCTCACCTCAAATATTTAACAATTAGTGAATAAAACATTTGAAATTTTCTCTGAGTAAAATGTATATGTACAATACTCGACTATTAGCTATATTCACAATGTTGGATATTAATCTCAAATAAATGAAAAATTAGGAAATCAAACTTGAATTGCATATGAATATGAACTTCACTTATTAGCATACATCAAGATATAACAGATATTCAATATCACATTTATAAATCATACCTAATTAGCAAAAATGTCCCAGGTTTCCATGTGTGCCCTAGTTACAAATATGGTACGTGTAAAACAAATCATTTTGTTTAAGACTACCACGAAGAGACTGATTATCAATGGCAATTTGGATAGTTTTTCAGTAGTGAATAATGGTTCATTGATTATATGATAAGCATAAGTAATGGTAGTTATCAAATAGTCTGAAAAATACCACATTAATAAATGAATAAAGAAAGAATAAATAACTTCTTAGAAATCAAATGGTCTTAATCATGTGATTAGAATGAAGATTATGTAAATTGTTTGAAGAGAGTAGTAAAGATACATAAAGAAATATAACGTTTATCAATGTTTTACCTGTAAATTATTTTTAAGCTTCTTACTTTAACTTTCTATTTTTTAGCATTTTTTCTCTTTCTTCATTTCTGTGTATGGTGTAAATCTCTATGTTTCAGTGTGTGTTTTTCCAAGTAGGCGTGGCTCTTGGTCTTGTAAGAGGTCTTGGCAGAGGGCAAGAAAACTTACAGTCTTCAACTCATTCACTATGTTGACTACAGGAATTAATCCAAGTTGTCTTGGCCTTGGTTTTCTCAGCTATACAACAAGAGATTTGTATTATGTAACTTATAAAAACATTCTCACTTTTGCAATTCTGTGATAATCTATGGATTTGTTTTCACTTCTTCCCTTCTTTAAATAGTATTCTTGAGAATCTCTAGGGAAAAGCTTTTTTTTTTCTATTTTCAATCTCCTATTTTTGTTGTTTTTACCCTAATTGTCTCAAACACTCAAATGTTGAATAATTAATTGGTGGAATTTGATTAGGTTTGAGAAGAAATATGTTTCTCTTCTTTTTTATTATTTTTTAAATGTTAACTTCTTCCAGCATCTCTGAGAAACTCAATAACATGCATCTGTTACTACTTAGACATTATACTAGAGAAATAGCTACCGTATTTTGCGTGCTAAATGACTTTCAAGCACTGTGCAGGCACCTGTAAACCTAACATATAATCCTTACAGCTAATCTGAAAGGGTGATATTTATTTACGGTCCAGAAATTAAGAAACCAAGACAGGAAAGAGGGTAAAATTTTGCCCACAGCCAGACACCATTAAGTTGCAGAAACTAATTTAAACTTAGGCCTGCATCACTCAAAAGTTATTTTTCTTTCTAGCATACCACATGAATTTAAGAGTCACTATTAAAATTGAAAGTATTAATAGTCTTAAGGCATTTATTGAAGAATCTAAAGGCAAATCTTTTACATTTATCAAATAGAACCAGTTTATTTGAATTTTTGGAGTCACAGAATAATTTCAAATGTGTCTTTCTTCCAGGCCAAACCCAGTTATAAGACACTTGAGAGCAGGAACCAGAGTGATCAGGGTGCTATCCTTCACTGTCAACACTCAGCCTACTAACTTTCATATGGAATCTTTCAATAACTAGTTGAATTAGACTGAATTAAAGAATATGCTAACTCCTTTTGTTTCTTAGGCGCCTAAAACGTAGCTATTTAGGTAATTTTTAAATAATATTGACTAATGAAGATTTTTGTTACATTAAACTGTCAGTGACAAAAAATTAGATTAAGTTTATGGGACATAAAACCCAGCATTGCTGGGTGCGGTGGCTTACACCTGTAATTCCAGCACTTTGGGAGGCCGAAGCGGGTGGATTGCCTGAGGTCAGGAGTTCAAGACCAGCCTGACCAATGTGGTGAAACCCCGACTCTACCAAAAATACAGAAGTTAGCCAGGCGTGGTGGCCTGCGCCTGCCTGTAGTCCCAGCTACTCGGGAGGCTGAGGCAGGAGAATTGCTGGGACCCAGGAGGTGGAGGTTGCAGTGAGCCCAGATGGCGCCACTGCACTCCAGCCTGGGTGACAGAGTGACACTCCTTCTCAAAAACAAAACAAAGTCCGGGCGCGGTGGCTCACGCCTGTAATCCCAGCACTTTGGGAGGCCGAGGCGGGTGGATCATGAGGTCAGGAGATCGAGACCATCCTGGCTAACAAGGTGAAACCCCGTCTCTACTAAAAATACAAAAAATTAGCCGGGCGCGGTGGCGGGCGCCTGTAGTCCCAGCTACTCGGGAGGCTGAGGCAGGAGAATGGCGTGAACCCGGGAAGCGGAGCTTGCAGTGAGCCGAGATTGCGCCACTGCAGTCCGCAGTCCGGCCTGGGCGACAGAGCGAGACTCCGTCTCAAAAAAAAAAAAAAAAAAAAAAAAAAACACAACAAAACAAAAAAACAGCATTACTTGTACAAGTTAGTGGGCAAAGCTTTGGGAACTCTGGGTAGCAGTTTTCACATGTATTTTATGACATGGTGAACAAAATTATATCACAGCTATGTTTCCTATCTAAAAGTATGTGCTTTTAAACTATCTTTGAAATCAGTGACAATCTTGCAATAAATACAACAAAATCTGTAGTACTTTCTTGATGCATTATAATGGGAATCAGAGAAATGAACAAGATAATTTTTAATGTCTCTGAAAATTCTTACATTGAGTAACTCAAGGACATTGACTTATAATCTATGAAGCTTATTGTGAATCATGTGACAAAAAGGAAGGCATATTTAGCAATTAATGTCGGACAGTGTGAAAATTGAGTTAATAAAGGTTACATAAAAAAGTGCTTCTTTTTGAAAACAAAAGCAAATTCAAAAATATGTAAATAAAATATTTTTTTCAAAAGAGGTTCTCTCAAAAGGGAAAAATTATAAAAAATAAGTTCATAAAATTCGTAAATTTGAGGTCATTTTGAGAAAGTGGTCAATATAATAAATTAAATTAAATACTTGTGTAAAATATTTTTAATTACAAATGATATAAATAGTAATTCAAGTTTCATATATTATTGTTTTCCAAAACATTAAATTAAATTATTGATTACTTTCTATTAGTAGCAAATTTTTTGTCTATTTGTGACTAAAAATAAACAAAGGATTCTGGAAGAAAATAAGCCATTCTTGAAAACAAAATAAAATAGAAATTGGTAATGTATTATTTTACAAATTAATACAAAAGAAAGTTATTTGGTGGAATAAGAGGGGAAAATCCCACTGACACATTATATTTTATTCATTCATTTGCCTTCAAGACTGCAGTGAGTGATGATCGTATCACTGCACTCCAGCCTGGGTGACAGAGTGAGACTCTGTCTCAAAAAAAAATAAAAATAAGCATTTGCCATTTGACAACTATTTTAACAATACTTTCAGATACATTGTGTTGAAGATTAATGGTCTCTGTTCTCTGGGTCTGTGTCGCAAAAGCTCTAGATAATACTGCTTTCAAAATAAAGGATTGCGGTAGTGGAGTCTTCAGGAAAGCTTTGCTTTCTTCACTGCAACCGTAAAGAAGGTCACTAACAGGGACTTGGGATGAAGGTGGAGTTATTGGATACATGGTGGGAGAGAAGAATTGAAAGAGTAAAGGGAAGTATAATCTCATTTCTGAGCAACATCAAGGACCTTCCTCAAATAAATGATCTTTAGTTTAAAATGAGACCCATATAGTGGATGCGTGTCTTTCTCCAGCCATGTTCAGCAGCAGTGGCCAGAGAGTTAACTTTTAAAGGGATTAGGGTTTAGACAAGTAAGGAGCAAGATATCAGAGGACATGTGAAACAAAGTGAGTTTAATGACTGATCATGAACTTTCAGGTGTGTACAGTGGGAAGAATGAGGCTGATACTTATAAAAGAGTTGTAAGATCCATAACTGTAGTTTCCAGTGTGTTGAATGACTGTTAGAATTGGGGTTCTGGAGGGAAAAAACTAGAATAATAGAAGGAGGTGGAGAGTTGAATGTTTTAAGCAGATTATGAGTGAGGAAATTGAAAGTACTGTAGGAAAAAGTATGGGCTGTGACTAATAGTAGGTAGCTGAAGCGAGGGTAAAGACAAGCTTATTGGAGGAGAAAAAGAAAAAGAACTAACAAGTCAGGTAATTGAATGATCCTCCTTCAAAGATTTTGAAGTCATCAATATTTCAATAAAATTCTACATCATTTTAATTACAAATGCCAAAAATCAAATCTCTCATGCCTGATTTTAGTTGTATCAACTTTATATTAAAATAGCCACCTAAGTTTTGAAATATAATATTACACGCATGTTTTCTTTTAGAAAACTTCAAAATAATTTATTATAAAAAGTGTGGGCTATGTTTTGCTATAAGTAGTAAGATTTTCATACATCATACTGGATCAAATTCTAGAACATAAAACTTCTTCATTTATTCTAACATCTTAACTAATATCCTAGCACTATAAAACAATGATGTCTAGTAGAAATAAGTGATTGCATATATAATTTTAAATTTTCTACTAGGCATATTTAGAGATGGAGAAAGTAATAGGTAATAATTGACTTTACAATATATTTATTTAGCCCAATGTAGCAAAAATATCATCCTTTCCATATGTAATCAATATAAAAATTGTTAATGAAATGAAATAGTTTACATTTTTCCTTTGATATTCTGTGCATATTTTATACTTATAGCACATCTTAATTCGGACTAAACCATTTGAAGAGTTCAATAGCCACATGTGACTGACCAAAGTTATAGTAATGAATAGGGCAAGTCTAAAGTTATATTTCACATTATTTTATCAACAGCAAAGGCCTAAAGTCATGTTTGATATTACTTTATCAAATTAATTTGGTATTATTTGTTATAAAATACTATATCACCATAAAAGTTTTATTTTTTCTTTGACACTTTTACTGATTATTACAACATATTATTATTCAAAGAAAAGAAAAAGGAAGAGAGAGAGAAACATCATATGGTACAAACTGCAGGCTGGTGAATTAAAAGAATTGGTTTATTCATAGCTTGATTTGGTGAGTTTCTATAATACCTTAATTATATCAATAGTTCATCCCACTAGAAGTAGCTTCACTTGTTCTAATCTTTTGGACTCCTACTGATGAAATAATAATGGCTTTTTTTCTCTGCATCTTTTCATTTATGGTATTGGTTTCTTGGTTTTTTGACTCAATATAAACTAGAAAATCCTATGAAGAGTATTCAATAGAAATTAACTGTCAACTAGGTATGTTCCAATTTAGTCATTAAACGTATATTGTCTGTTGAAAAAGCATCCCTTTATTTCAAATTGTTAAATGTTAATTCAGATGGTTATTTTTAGGGAACATTGGTTGTGTACGTTTTAATTTGGTTGTGAATTGAATAAATGGCCTTTCAACTTTTGCCTCTGGTTTGAGTCTTAAAGTGCCACATAAATGGTGTAAGCCACCTTCATTCAGCTCAGTCACACTATGTTATTTCAATTGCATATAATTGTATTTTTCCAGTGTACTTATTTCCAGTGGCCTAGATCCTTTTCTTGAGGCAAGTTATTCGTGAAGAGCCTCTTTAAGGTTAACTGCTGTTTTTACTGTTTAAATATTCTCAGTCTTTTATTCTTAAACCCACAAAACTACTGTCTTTGTCTTCAAACTTCACTCTTCCAAATATAGGTATCTATAGAGGCATGATGGATTTTTCAGTTTAGATAACATCATTTACCACAGCCTTTGTAGCACTCCAATATTTGGGGGGTAATCTAAATATGAATTATACTAGCAATGTATGCCTTTTAAGAGCCAGTATTTTCTTTCCTTATGCGTGGTTTCTGTGTAAGAGTTCTACAGCTACTCACATAACAGCATCCTGGGGCCGGGCGCGGTGGCTCACGCCGGTAATTCCAGCACTTTGGGAGGCCGAGGCGGGCGGATCACGAGGTCAGGAGATCGAGACCATCCTGGCTAACACGGTGAAACCCTGTCTCTCTAAAAATACAAAAAATTAGCCGGGAATGGTGGCGGGCGCCTGTAGTCCCAGCTACTCGGAGGCTGAGGCGGGAGAATGGCGTGAACCTGGGAGGTGGAGCTTGCAGTGAGCCGAGATCGCGCCACTGCAATCCAGCGTGGGCGACAGAGCGAGACTCTGTCTCAAAACACAACAAAAAAAAAACAAACAAACAAACAAAAAAAAAAACCAGCATCCTTCCTATTAACAGCCACAAAATGAACTTATCTGTGCAATAGAGAGTGGGGCAGGATGGGTATATACTGACTTAAGAAGGCATTTGCCACATGAGTATCAGTCTGCTATTTATCAAAAAAAGTCCTCCTCTCTTTAGTTTTGCTTTCTTTTTTCTAAAACATCTAAAAGGTTTATAGCAAGTAAATATTATCTATTTTTCAAGTACTCTATATAATAAGTAATGTACAGACGGTAGCCACAATCATCTTTCAGAAGGATGAAGGCTGAGAGTAAGATCCCGCAGTGAGATGTGGGGTCTGAAGATGCACATAGAACAACAACAACAAAAATGCCATCTTCTGTGCACCTGTCTGCTGGCTACTCCTTTTCCTTAATATGTTTTCATCAAAGTCAAAAACTTTTGTGTCTATACATTGTCATTAAAAATGGTTTAAAGTATACCATTTCTACAGCTTCTGCTAAGAATGAGCAACTTCTCATCCTGTTCACCAAAGCTCTAGTAATTTTCCAGTATTTTTGTCAACATTTCTGAACATTCAGCATGGGAGAAAGAAAATAGATAAACTTACAAATAATAGTAAAAAATTAATTGCTCACATATGATCCTTCATTTTACTCATGTGTAAATGATTTAACTCCTTTAATAGTACCTTTTTAGGTGTTGTATAATTCCTACGGCCTTAAATATCATAGGCACCAAAGAAATACTTCGTATTAGTTGTGTGAAATTACAGTAAGTCCCAGTACCCCCTAGCTATTCTGAGGATAGTGTTTACTGTAGGTAACAAAGCCAAGTTTATATCTCAGCCTTTCTTTAGAGAAATTATCAAGTTGTTTAAGTTTGTCATTGATTTCTTGCTGTGTTTGGTTCACATATTCTCTCTTAAATCTTGGCACAGCTTTTCTCCAAACACTTGGTTTCCTGGTGCAACCTTAAAGTTCAACATCTG
Source organism: Homo sapiens (assembly GCF_000001405.40). NCBI lineage: Eukaryota > Metazoa > Chordata > Mammalia > Primates > Hominidae > Homo > Homo sapiens. Next base: position 32,737,964 of record NC_000004.12, on the reverse strand, counting down.
TTCCTGTTAAACAAAAATAAAAATTAATGTAGGCAGACCTCACAATTTCTTATTCCTATTAGAAAAATACAGCTTCTAGTAGTAATTCCTAACAAAATTAAAGAAACTAAAAGCTAAATTAATGTTTAAAATGTTTTCATTTTTATATTAGTTAAGAGAATTATATTTATGAGAATATACTTTCAGAAAAAAATTATTGCTGTTGGGCTTTATATTTGACATATTTAAAACTCTCAAATTGTACCAAGCCCTCTTGTTTTCAGTATCTGATAAGTTCATAGCTTTCATGTATCTCTGAAAACCCGGTGAAGTAATTTTTAAAAGATGAAATTTGTTTGTTTAATATAAGTAAAGTAACAAATTATTTCTTCAAATATAGCATATATCAGAAAATACATTTATAAATATACTAGATACAAAATGATTTTCTTATAAATAAATCAATTCAATCCTTAATTAAAAGAGAAACAGGGCCGGGAGCGGTGGCTCATGCCTATAATCCCCCCACTGTGGGAGGCCGAGGCAGGTGGATTGTTTGAATCCAGGAGTTCGAGACTAGCCTGGGCAACATGGCAAAACTACATATTTATTAAAAATACAAAAAACTACCTGGGCATAGTGGCACACACCTGTGGTCCCAGCTACTCAGGAGGCTGAGGTGGGAGAATCACCTGAGCTCAGGAGGCCAAGGCTGCAATGAGCTGAGATTGCACCACTGCAGTACAGCCTGGGCAACCGAAGACAGGATCTGTCTTGAAAAATAAAATTAAATAAATAAATAAAAGAGAAACAGTTTTCTATAAACATAGAAAATGCATATCTTAGCATTTAATAGCCCTAAAAGCAAAATAACCCCAAATAGTTAATATTTTTTCAGGCATACAATAAAATTATTATCTTGAACTATAGGTAAAAATATAGCCATCTGAGGCTCAAAATTAACTTGGATATTAATATTTATTTTTATTCTAAATTCAAATGTTCTTGGAAGACTTCTACACTCTAGTTAGCTACAGTTCCCTGGACTCCCTATGACTTGTAACAAAGATTTCACACATTTAATCCGCCTGGCCTTTGAAAGCTGAGCGTGTACTTGGCCTGCCTCAAGGTTAGGGAGCAGTGATTTTTCTCAGTAAAACTGTTTGGACAGGGTCTGGAGTCAGTCTTATCTCCAGCATCCACAGTAGAGGTCTCACCCTACACTGAAGCCATTCAGCAATCGATGTACATGTTTAAAATATTTAATATCAAAATATGGTATGCAATAAAGGCATTGGAGGTAAGCCAATGATTTCATTTGCATGTTATCATATTGCAGTGTAGGCCCTGATACTCTCCCTGGCTAGTTAAATGAGATGGGCTCACTCAGTTATCCATCCAGCAACATATTATCAAGGATAAATAATGTCAGACACTAATTAAAGCAATAAGGACAGATTTAACTCAGTAACATTATTGCAATAAGAAAAAGAGTCCAGCATAAACTGAACTTGGATCCCAGCAAACAAAGGCAGGAAACATTTTACAGGGTTGGGAGTGCTAAAGGAAAGGCATTGACTGGTGTGAAAGGGCCAGGTCCACGTGACCAGGCCACCTGGATTTGCTTACTGGGAGGAGAAACAAATGTCTGTCTTTATAACAAGTTGAAGTTAGGTGCCCACAAATCGTAGGCCCTTACACTTACACCAGGCCTGAGAGCTATATTGAGAGAGTCAGTTCCCTAACTATCACCATTTCAGAGGTGGCTTTCAGGTCTTTGAGAAAACAGTTTTGGTTGGTAGATTTGCTTCTCAAAACACAGAGAGTCAGGTTTGGTGGCTCATGGCAGTAATCACAGCATTTGGGAAGGAGGTGGAAGGATAGCTTGAGATCAACCTGGGCACAAAGCCAGACCACGTCTTTACAAAAAAATTAGCCATGCCTGGTGTCACGCTCCTGTAGTCCCAGCTATTCAGGAGACTGAGGCAGGAGGATCGCTTGAGGCAAGGACTTTGAGGTTACAGTGAGCAATGATTGTGCCACTGTGCTTCACTCTGGCCTGGGTGAAAAAGCAGCACTGTTTAAAAAAAAAAAAAAAAAAAAGCACAGAAAGGATTGATAATTGACAGATTTCTAAAGTAATTGCCCTAATAGGGAATTGAGGGAGATATCTATCTATCGCCAGGTTTTAGCTGGAGCAAACGGTACATTTTCCTGGCAACACTGAATTTTCTCAGGCAGATATTTTAAAGGCGGTCATCTGAGGGGCACACAGCTGAGTGCTGCTAGAAGCCAAGCTAGAGTGTGGTCAAGCATCGCAGATCAGAGATTAGGATGAGTTTGTAGTATGTTAAGAGTTCTACAGCTCTCAATAGCCTTTGTTAGATTTTTTTCATTACATTTTATTTGATTGATGTATCTCCATTTCAGTTATGACTCACAACTACAAAAGAAAGTGAGGGTGGGAGTGGATTAAATATAAAGTAATAGTGTATGTCTATTTTTCCTATAATTGTGTATCTGTGTGTTCATAAGAAAAGCAGTCTCACTGCTATATAGGGAATGAGGAGTGGGCAGGGATAGTCTGGAGTCTAACCTTAGCATCAATGCTAACTTACTGTGTGAACTGGGGAAATAGTTTTAGTGTTTATACCACTTCCCTATGATCCAATAGATGAAGGGAGTTGGATTAAATAATTTCTAAAGACACTTTGGACCTCTAAAACTCTGTGGAGGTATGTGTCTAATTTAATGACATTATCAGTTATGTCTAAATACTATAAAGTACACTAAAAGCTGTGTAGCACGCCAGAGGATGCAGCATCTTTCTAAACTTTAAGATGTAAGTCAAGCATCATGGCTTTATGGAGATGGCTTTTGCAGAAAGTCAATTGTGAGGGCATTTCTCACTTCAGAATATTTGAGATCAGTCACAAGGATACGCTAAATTCATTCAGTTATTTGGAACATTTCATTCTGCACTACCTGTACATGACATAATTTATTTTGAAGCCACATGTTCAAATTGGGACACATTATTCATTCATTCGTCCAGTGATTCAGTTGTTTACTCAGTATTTTTTATTCCATAGCTTCTTAAAAGTTTATGGGTAGTCTCATAATGTTTTACTGAATACAGATAAAGAACATAATAAGAACGGTTCCCACTATATATATATTCAAGCTCACATATGAAAATATTTACAACATAAAATATGGACAGTCACTAAATTAACTTCACTTTGCACTAGCCATTTTTAAAAATTACCCAAATAAGAAAATTATTTTAATGCTGTAATTTTCAGTATTTGCTTCATCTAGCAAGTTTAAACATTAGTATGTATTAGCTAATTTTAATAGCATGTATTTTTTTGATCAAAAAGTCATATATAGTTATCGCAGAACATTAGGAAAATATAGAAAACATGAGAGTATTTCCAACAAAAATATAAATAAAATATAGGATGATATTAAACATTAAACTTCGTATTATTTTTATTTTCAAAATAAAGTACTCAATGAAGAGACACAATCTGCAGAACACTACTATATATTATCAGTCCAAGAACTGCAACTACAGTCTTCCTAGTAAGCAATATTAAAAAGAACAGCTGGTCTCAAAGGCACACATTGGATTTGTCAATCCATTCTATATATATTTCCCAGATTTTTACACAGCTGTGACAATTTCGTTTTTATTTATATGAATTTCTCAGTGTTTATCACTTTTCTGAAATCTACACATCTACAGTTAAGCCCAGTAAGTCGTAACTCTCTCTCTTGAATTTTTCACTCACCTTGACCCTGTCTATATAGGTTTGATATTTCTCGTCAATCACTATTTAGCTTTTCATGAATCAACATTGCTTTCTTCCTTATAATCTAACTTTTCTTTTATGTGATTCTCAGACCAGGACCATGGGTAAGAGGATGAGTAAAGGCTACATATATATATATATATTATATATATATATTATATATATTATATATAAAATATATATATAATATATTTATATATATTTATATATTATATATAATATATATGAGAAAGAATATATACATATATATTCATATATATATTTTTTTTTACGTTAAGTTCTTGATACATGTGCAAAACTTGCAGGTTTGTTACATATGTATCCATGTGCCATGGTTGGTTGCTGTACCTTTCAAAGCATTACTTATGTTTTAAGCCCTGCATGCATTAGTTGCTTATCCTGATGCTCTCCCTCCCTTTGTCCCACCCCGGGCCCCAGTGTGTGTTGTTCCCCTTCGTGTGTCCATGTGTTCTCATTGTTCATCTCCCACTTATGAGTGAGAACATGCGGCATTTGCTTTTCTATTTCTGTGATAGTTTGCTGAAAATAATGGCTTCCAGCTCCATCCATGTCCCTGCAAAGGACATTATCTTGTCCCTTTTGTGGCTTCGTAGTATTCCATGGTGTATATGTACCACATTTTCTTTATCCAGTCTATCATCGATGGGCATTTGAGTTGGTTCCATGTCTTTGCTATTGTGAATAGTGTTGCAATAAACATATATGTGCATGCATCTTTATAATAGAATGATTTATATTCCTTTGGGTATAGAACCAGTAATGGGATTGATACTTGTGTATGCGTCACGAATTTTCCATGATGCATTTTTCAGTTCCATCAGGTTATTTATGTTCCTCTCTAAACTGGTTATTCTAGTTAGCAGCTCCTCTAAACTTTTATCAGTGTTCTTACCTTATCTGCATTGGGTTAGAACATGCTCCTTTACCTCAGCAAAGTGTTATCACCCACCTTCTGAAGCCGACTCCTTTCAATTTATCCATCTCATCCTCCTTCTAGCTCTGCTTCCTTGCTGGAGTGGTTTCCATTGTTTTTTCGTTGATTCTTTCTCATCTTCTTCAGTTTGTCTAGTTTTGACCTTTGAGGCTGCTGACTCTTGGATGAAGTTTTTGTGGGGACTTTCTTTTGTTGATGCTATTGTTGTTGCTTTCTGTTTGTTTGTTTTTCTTTCCATAGTGAGGTCCCTCTTCTGTAGGTCTGCTGTGGTTTGCTAGGGGTTCACTTCAGGCCCTATTCATCTGGTTCACTCTCGCGCCTGGAGATGTCACTCGAGGAGACTGGAGAATGGCAAAGATGGGTGCCTGCTCCTTCCTCTGGGATCTCTGACCTTGAGTGGCACCAACCTGATGTCAGTAGGAATACTCCTGTATGGGATGTCTGATACCCCCTGTTGTGGTGTTCTCACCCAGTTTGGTGGCTTGGGAAGCAGGAACCATTTAATGAGGCATTTTTGCTGTCCTTTGGTGGAGGGGGTGTGCTGCACTGTGGGGAAACCCACTTGTCTGGGCTGTGCAGATTCCTCAGAGCTAGCAGGAGGAAAGACTAAGTCTGCTGGTCTGCAGAGACTGTGGCCACCACACCCCACCCCACGCAGGGGCTCAGGCCCAGAGAGACCAGAGTTCTCTCCCTGAGAGAACTCTGACTGGAGTTGGAGTTCCTGCAGGGAGGCCCTGCAGCCGCAGTGTTGACTGCCATCCTTCCTGCAAGGAGCTCAGGTGGCTTAGACAGAAGGCAGCTGGCAGCAGTGGTGATGGCTGCCCCTCCCCCATGGAACTCAGCAGGCTTAGGCCAATTCCGTGGCTGTTCAGAATTTGCATAGCTCCATGGTTGAGACTCAAGGTCACAGTGGCGTGGGCTCCTGAGTGGGATCTTCGGATCCATGGGTTGCACAGTTCCATGGAAAAAGCACAGTTTCTCAGGTTGGGTACCATGCTCACTCACTGCCTCCCTTGGAAGGGGGTTGGGGGCTCCCCCGCCCCATGTAGCTCTCAGGTGGCCCATGACACCACACTGTTCTTCCTTCCTCTCCATGGGTCACACCGGCCACCTAGTCAGTCCTAACGACGGAACCTGGATACCTCCATTGCTGGTGCAGGACCCGCTCACTGTTTTGGATATTTTCCATGGGAACCTCTAATTGCTGCCGCTTCTAGATGGCCATCTTGTCCTCGCCCCAAACGCCGTATCTTTTAAAGGTCTGATGACAAATCTCTAAATCTTCTATAGAGAAGAATGAAGTCATGAGGCCAAGAGCAGCAAAGGTCTTTTCACTCACTAGGACCAGATGAAATTTAACCAGCAACTGAGTTCAAGGAGGCTTACATAATTTTGAAAAGTGGAAAATACCAGGTCCACTCTCACATCTTCTTCACAAAAGTTTGGAGATGATGCAGGGTAAAATATATGTCAGCTGCACATATTTTTAGACTCATTTAAAATAATTAGAACAGAACAGTATCCTATTTTGTCAATACCTTTAAATATATATTTTTAAGTCCAGGTGTTATTTGAGGTACTTGGAGGAAATCAATCATGATATGTTTTATATGAGGAGATAAAATGCCCAAGAAATACTTAGAAATAAAAAGCCATTGAAAATAATAAAGAAAGACATTGTCAAAATTGCATGTTTTCGTTTAGAACTGTTAGAGGTTCATAGTAATTCAAAACAAAAGACAAGATAAATATTATTAATTATCTTTTCATTGGTTATATTTATTATCTGCTGAGAAGAATCTCATTCTATCCTCTTATAATATTTGATGCATATATTTATTATAATATTGGTCATGTGTTTTGAATAATTTTGTTAGTGTTTACAGAATGAATGTGGAGCCCATATACTTAAAAATGGTATATAGACCAAGGCCATCACAAACTAGGATCATATTTCACTGTGGTTCTAGACTCTAAGGTTCCTGGTATTGTTTCATGGGACATGAGTATTACAAGGAGTCAATATTATGTCATGGTAGTGGGTATGGAATCTGCCCATAACTGAGAAGCAATAATATTTACATCACATACTATCTGTGTCACAGAATTATAAAAAGTAAAATTGTATATTTTAAAGCTTTTACACATTTCTTGACATACAGTAAGTAAACATTCAATAAACTGTGGCTGTTTTTACTGAGAGAGCTTTTTTAGGTTATAAGTGTTCTGCAAGTTTTTCTCTTTCCCTCAAAAACTAAAAAAACATAAGCTCTTCTCACTAGGACAGTTTTAAGGATACAGAATATATACAGAGAAACTATTCTCTGGGAAATTGATAGCAACGTTAGACGTTTGGCAAAGCGTGTAACAGGGAATCAGATTTCTGCTAGTTCAGTACAATTAAGAAGATTGATGAAAAAGAAATTAAGAAAGAAATCCAATGTACAATAGCTAGAAAAAAAACTCAAGGGATAAGTTTAACCAATGAAGTAAAAGATCTTTACAATAAAAACTGTAAAACACTGATAAAGAAATTGAAGAGGAAACACATGCAAAATGAAAAGACATTCCATATTTATGAATTGGAAGAATTAACACTGTTAAAATGACCATACTACCCAAAGCAAGCTACAGATTCAATGCAATCCCCATCAAAATGTCAGTGACATTATTCACAGAAATATAAAAAAATCCTAAAATTTGTATAATATGAAACCACAAGAGACCCAGTATAGCCAAAGCAATCTTGAACCAAAACAACAAAATTGAAGGCATCACACTACCTGACTTAAAAAGATAACATAACCAAAACAGCATGGTACTGGCACAGAAACAGACACATAGACCAATGAAACAGAATAAAAGTCCCAGAAATAAATCCACATATTTACAAACAATTGATTTTCTACAAAGGCACCAAGAACATACACTGAGGAAAAGGACAATTTCTTCAATAAATGATTCTGGAAAAACTGGATATCCATATACAGAATAATAAAACTATACCTCTATCTCTCACAACATAAAAAAAATCAACTCAAAATAAAGTCTTAAATGTAAGACCTGAAACTATGAAACTACTAGAAGAAAACAGGACAAATGCTTCAGAACATTGATTTTTATGGATAAGACCTCGAAAACACAAGTGAAAAAGAAAAATAGACAAATGGGATTATATCAAACTAAAGGATTCTGCACAGCAAAGAAAGCAATCGACAGAGTGTAGATACAAGCTACAGAATGGGAGAAAAGATTTGCAAACTAGAGATTAACATGCAGAATATACAAGGATCTCAAACAACACCAAGCAAACAAATAAGCTGATTTTAAAAATGGGAAAATGATCTAAATAGACTTTTCTCAAAAGAAGACATACAAATGGCTAACAAGTATATGAAAAAATTCTCAGCATCACTAGTCATCTGGAAAATGCAAATCAGAACCACCTTGCAATATCATCTCACACCAATTAGAATAAATATTGTCAATGTAATGAAAAATAAGAAATGTCGGTGAAGATGCAGATAAATGAGAACTCCTATATACTCTCGGTGAGAATGTAAATTAGTACAAACATCGTGAAAAATCTTATGAAGTTTCCTCAAAAAAATTAAAAAATGAAATTACCATACAGTCTAGCAATCCCACTACTAAGTACATATCCAAGGGAAAGGAAATTTGTATATCAATGACATATATGCACTTTCATGTTTATTGTAGTACTAGTCACAATAGCCAAGATATCAAGTCAACCTAAGTGTCTATCAACAAATAAATAAATAAAGAAAATGTGGTGTATATACACAGGAGAAAACTATTTAGCCATAAAAAAGAATAACACCCTGTCATTCACAGCAACATGGATGACTCTGGAGGACACCATATTAGATGGAAAAAGCCAGGCACAGATATATAAATAATGCATGTTTCTACTCAAATCTGGAAGCTAAAAAATTGTTGTCATAGAAGTAGACAGTAAAATAGAGCATACTAGAGTCTAGGAAGGATAGTAGGAAGAGGAGGAAAGGAAAAGTTTGGTTAACAGATACAAAATTGCAATCAAATAGGAGGAATAAGCTCTGGTGTTCCACAGCACTGGAAGGTGACTATAGTTAACACTGATTTATTGTACATTTTCAAATAGCTAGAGAAGATTTTGACTATTTCCAGCACAAAGGAATAATAAATATTTGGGGTGATGGATATGTTAAGCACCTTGATTTGATTATTACACACTGTATGTATGTATTGAAATATCATACTGTACCCCATATGGAAGAACAATTTTGTGTCAATCTTAAAATTAAAAAGGTAGATAGTTATAGACAAACACTTTATGAAGATTATATAGTTAAATTAAGATTTTTATGATATTATAGACCAAAAAGACAAAAATGTCTCTGTCATTATGTTAATTTCCCCAAAAAATGAGACACTCATTCTAATGTAGGGCTTTGTCATGAGGAGTACTAGGCACTAAGTGAATGATTAGAGGGAGTTAACACTACACCAGGAGGCAAAGAAAACAAGTCACATAAGACCTGGCAGATATTTCTGACGAATAAGTCCCCTACAGATAAGGAAACACCTATTAAGTATTCCAAGTTACTATATGCATATTTTTTCTCTTTATGTAGGTTTGTTAAAGTTTTCGGGTTTTTTTTTTTTGAAATGGAGTCTCGCTCTGTTGCCCAGGCTGCAGTGCAGTGGCATGATCTCGGCTCACAGCAAACTCTGCCTCCTGGGTTCACAAAATTCTCCTGGATGGTGTAATTTCAATAACCCTCAACTATTTATATATGTACCCAAAATTTATACATCTACCTGAAAGACTTTTCCAAAGATTGTACAATTATCAATCCCTAATGGATGTAATATAACTAAAAACCTGTAACCACTATTCTCATAGTCAGTTTTGGACAGATATATATTTTTTGTTTGTTTTGGCAGCCATTTCAAAACTCCTCCCTTTCTGTATAGGCTGACTGTGAACCCTACATTTTCTGTAAATGATTGTGTTGAAAGAATTGTGGAGCATGATCAAAGTTTGAGAAACTACTATAATCTTAAACAAAATTACACATAAAAAAGTGCCCTGGGGGTAATACCCTCACCATGACCACAAGTTCTTTATGAAATATGCCACAAAAAAGCTGCTTGACCCAAAAGACCAGTTGTGACTCAACTTGCACTCATTTGTCTGAGATTTTTGTATTTCCACATTAATTTACCATTTTAATCATGGATTTGTTAACTCTTTTAAGCAAATTTTATTTTTTCTTTTTAAATAAATGATTATGTAAATCAGACTCATTTTGTTAGTTGGGGGTTTTAACCAATATTCATTTATGTGTTGTTACACTGTTAACATTTTAAATCATATTTTTAATCTGAGCTTCTTATCTTCTACCTATAACTGTTTATATTAATGTTTAAAATAAGGAATAGAAAGAAAAAATGCAACACTAAAGTTCTGATGTGTGTGTCAAAGCAAAATTTGCACCAATGTGAAACAGGTAGGAAAGGCTTCCCTCAAGGCTTTGCATAAGGGGGAGAGAGTCTGAACTCAGCTCAAGTGAAACAAAGGATGGGAGAGTTTCTAAGAGTATACAGGAGGAATAAGTTCTAGTGGAACTTATAATAGAAGATCACAAGCCATCTATGTTTGTTAATTGGCCTCACCCAAAAGAAAAGTCAACTTTCTCTTTTTCATAGGAAGTAATTTTACAGCTTGGAGCAAGACTCCCACCAAAGTTGGTTCCTACCCTCCCACAGAGACTGGGAGATGGGGTACCATCTTCCTTAGTGGTTACACATCAAAGGATGAGTCTCAGGTCCTTGAGAAAGACAGTCCTGGGTTGTAACACTGGCAAGAGGCTTCTAAAAAGGCTTGCAACCAAAGGGGAAAAGAAAGCAGTTACAAGTTTTCTAAAGTAAATGTTCTCTAAGAAAAGGGAGATCAGGGCCTACAGTCAGGATGACTAAAGTTTTGTCACAGTAAGGGGAATGTTTCATCCATTTTGGTCAGATATTCCTCCAACAGAGAGTGAGCTCCTTGAGGACAGCAAGAAACAGAATGTACAAAGACTAGGCCACTAGATAGGACTCTGACTCACAACTTTTGCAGCAAACAGGTCAGAACTTGTTCTAACTGCCAGCTTCCCTAATTTTTGCCCCTAATTTTAACTTAGAACCAACCAGAAAAAGCCAAATGTGTTCTCGTGACTAAGCACATAGGTTGCTGTTTCTCTTTAGCCTGCCTCCACTTTGTCTATGCCCACAATCTCCAATCGGAGCAGGGACGTGAAACGCCCCATCTGCCTTTGACTCTTTGTCAAATACAAGGCATGGTGGCTGACTCCCTTGCTATGGTAAGCTTTGAATAAATAGTCTTTGCTTGTTCTCATCTGGATGGTCTTCATATATTTCCAGAGCAGAAAATCAGCATCTAGAGCTGTGAGCAATTGCTAATACCATCATAATACATTAAAGAATTAGTTCCTTCATAAAGACTTCTGTGCTAGAAGCATGGTTTTCTGGAAGACGATTATAAAAATCAGTGATGTGGTTTAGCACTCAGCCTGAATCACTTATTTTATGACTTTAGAAAATTTAACATGTTTGACATTCTGCTACGGTCTGAATGTTTGTGTCTTTCCCAAATTCATGTGTTGAATCCCAATCACCAGTGTGATGGTATTAAGAGGTTGGCACGTTGGAAGGTGATTAGGTCATAAGGGTAGAGCCCTCACAATGGGATTAGTATTCTTACACAGGAGACCCTAGAGAGCTATATTGCCCCTTCCACCGTGTGAGGACACAGAGAGAAGGCCTCACCCATGAACCAGGAAAAGGCCTTCACCAGATACTAAATCTGTGATGCCTTGATCTTGGATTTCCCAGCCTCCAGAACCATGAGAAATACATTTCTGCTATTTATAAACTACCTAGTTTATGGCATTATGTTATAGTAGCCTAAATACACAAAGTCAGCCTCTATTCTTACCTCTATTTTTGGAATAATAATACAGTTTATGAGTTGTTTGAGTATTAAATTAGGTAATAATTGTGAACATTGTTTCTCTTTCCCTGTGTAGGATGCTCAGTGTTTTCAGAGACTTACTGTTCTATGGACTTACTGCTAACGGGATACAAATTAACCTTAAAACGCAGCTTTAAAAAATTGGTTAACAATTCTTTGTTTCTATGTATAGTGACCAATGCCTGAAGAAGTTTAAAATCTTGTACATTAGCTGAAAAAAATGCTCCAGGGAAAAATGGTCAAAAAAGAGGAAAAGACAAAAACACCCTCTGGCCAGCATTGTTATGCAACTGAGCCTGCAAACTACAAATGACAGTCTTGGGTAAGCACCAAAGCCCCCAGGTTTTTCTGCAACTAATGACTTACAGCCGTGGAATCATCTATGTAGTTTTGTTTTTCTCTAAATTATTTTTTTAAATAGATCATACAACCACATGATTCCAAAAGCAAACATGTGAAAAATAGAGTTTTGCTTCGATACCTGTTCTCAATCCTCCTGGTTCCTTAACTTATTCCTGGGTATCCTACTGCCCAGAGCCAAGCACTTGTATTAGTCTCTTATTTAATCTTTCAGAGTATTTTTTTAAATAATAAAGTATATATTCATGCTTACTCTTTTTAATGTAATATACAGCATAACATTTGCTTGACTCCTTGTTCTTTTTCATTTAACAGTATGTCTTTACCTAGTCATACATAAAGAGCTTCTTCACTCTTCATTTGTGTATCCATATGTGGATATCATATTTTAAAGAATTATTGTGTTTGAAGGATGTTCTATAATTTATTTAACAGGTACCTACTGGAGTGCATTGTTTCCAGGTGCTAGTTATAGTGAAAAATGCTATGATGAATAAACCTGCACATTAATCATTTCAGTCCTGTGCATCTCTACCCCTTCTTGAATGTGTTATGTGGATCTATTATTGGTAGAATAAATTCCTGTAGTGCAATTATTGACTTACAAGGCAGCTCTATCTATCTATCTATCCATCCATCCATCCATCCATCCATCCATCCATCCATCCATGTATCTATCAACTATCTTTATACACACAAAATTTAAAAATACAAGAAATATTTTGAAAGCTATCAAATATCCTTTATCGTTTTCTAATTTATGTTCATATCAGCTCATTTTTCCACACCTTCACAAATGTGAGGTATTATTCAACATTTGGCTTTTACCAAGCTGACAGGTGAAAATCAGCATCTCAATGTCTTTCTGAAGTGTATTTTGTCTTATTTTGAGGAATGTTCAATACTTCTTTTCATATTAAATGGATCTTCCCTTATTTGGAAACTGTCTCTTTATACCTGTTATACATATTTTTTAAAATATGACTTTCTGTAAGTCAATAAATGACTCAAAGGTCACATATAAAACTGAAAGATCCAAAGCCAGATGTCTCTGGATTCAACCAGGAAGTTGCCTCTTGCTCAAAAGTGAACCCGAGTAAGCTGTTGCTACACACAGAATGTTTCTAAATCATTATTCATTATAGTTCACATTAATTTAACTCAGAACACTCTGGATACAGACAGTAGGTACTCTCATGATAATATGAAAAATGGCAGGACATACTAAAATTTCTAGGCCATATTTACTATCCTTCCTTGAATATATATTTTATTCCAAGATTTTTCTTAAACAAATAATTTTTAAGTTACATTAAAAATCACTTTTAGGTTCCTGTTTCTCTTCCAACATGTGAAGTGCTTTTTTTGAAAGTCTATTTTTAAAAATCAATTTGTAAAAGATCTTTATTAGGGATAGTAGCCCTTTATGTATGGGAAGTGTAGTAACATATTTCTATGCCTATATTCATATCTGTATCTACTTATTTAATACAGCTAAAATTTTCAAACTTTTCTTATTGGTTTTTTGATTTTCCCCATGCCAAGAATGTAACTAAATTCTCTCACAATTTCTTATAGTCTCTCATGAGTTATTGTTTTTAATTTAAATATTAAATTAGTTTTAGATTTCTGCTCTATAAGTTATAGATTTGAATTTAATTTTTCCCCACATGGTCAATTAGTCATCCCAAGCCCATTTATTCCCCACAAATTGAGATAATACCTTAAATTAATAAATACATTTAGGTATATTTATAAAGTTTCTCTCCCATTCTTCTGTCTGTTTGTGTGCTATTAATACAAGCTTTATCTGATTAATCCTTGTTAATTCCAGTACACTGTAAGAGGCTAATTTTTCTTTTCTTGGTGCTGATAGTCAGTTCTTTTTGTATAGGTAATATAATCAGAGAATCATATTTTTATCAGACAGATACAAATTATAAGGAGGTGGGCATAGATGGAGAATAAAAAGGGACATTTACCAAACTTGATTTTTGATTTTGAAAAAAGAAAATGTAATTATTTGTGTTGGTTGTTATTATAGTGGTTGATTTTAGAAAACTGCATGGATATTTATGATTAAAAATTTCAGGAAAAAGTCATATCTCGAGTGCCAGAAAATATTAAAAATGTAAGGATACTGATTATAGTAAGAATATTATGTGAGTTTTATTTGGGGTGATATTTATCACCCTGACTAGTTTGTGTTTTCATCTTACTTAATGAATTCAACCATTTAGATTCAATAAACTTAAATTGAAAAATGTTAAAGCTCATGGGACAAAATTAAAATAAAACACTTCAAAACATTTATTGGTTTTAGATTACCAGGTACCAAAGATGAGTATCTGTAGATTGTAGCAAAAAGCACAATAAGATGGACATTTAAATTTAAAACACCTCTACTCTATTATAGGCTTTCTATATTTGATAGTGTTAATATTGATTATTCTTATTCTTCCTCTCTGCTCATCATATTAGGTTCGTTGATGATGGAGAAATAATAAATTATAAAACCATTCCAAAAGAACTTGGCATAACTCTGAGATCAGTTGCATCAAAATAAATTAAAATTTAATGATGCATTGCTCATGTCTGCCAAACATTCTGCAGATATGTTAAGTAGGAAAAAATAAGTGTGATGTGGGTTTTTTCAGAGATGTAATAATACCCAAGTACGTACCTTGTGCTTATTTTAATTTTTTCCCACATTTCTAAAATATGCTACTAAATATTGAAATAATTTCCACAATCAGAAAACATTCCCTTTAAACTCAATTTTATTTTGCTTGTGTGCTCTCCTGTGTGTGTGCGGGGTGGGTCATGGGATGAGGATGTGCACTTTGCCTTTTAGATGCTTGTATTAGATAATAGGAACTGAGATAGACTTTTAATGTGAATCCTTACCTTTAACTGGCTTTGAGTTAAGCTGCGTTAACTGCTCTAGTTGTTGGTTTCAGTGGCTTCAATCTCTTCTAGTGTCTTTTTTTTTTACTTTTTGTCTTTTCTGTTGCCCTTGGTTTTCCTAGAAAGTCCTTAAGTAGAGTCTGAGCCTTGCAGAATTTTCAGCTGTATTCCTGTTATTATACAGTAGCCCTGTTGATGTATTGTGTTGGGGAGAAAAGCATTCTGCAAACCTGTAATGAGGTTCCAGTCATTCGGTGGATCTGTGACCGTCTGCTATGATTTTCTTAAGTCTTTCTCAGCTTTGCACCCCTCGTTCTGTGAGACAGAAGGCTAGCGGTGGCTAGAGTTGTGTAATTTTCCCTTCCTCACATTGGATAAGGCTCTTGAGAAGTGTTCTCCCTTTCTGTGTAGGTCTTTTTTTTTTTTTTTTTTTTTTTTGGAGAGATCATTCTGGATTTCTTTCAAAATTGTTACCTTTCCCTTGGGTACATTTCCAAACGGTTACTTTTTCTCTCCCCTAGCCAAACAGAAAGGGATTTTTCTCTGATCTTCATTAGGAGATCTCAGTAGGGTCCCTGTAGATAAAAACCCATCAAAATATGCGGTCCTTCCCCAAGCTGGGCACCTAGGCGTTTTCACCTCTCAAGCTTATCCACCCTCAGCTTGCAATAATTCACTGAAGTTTGTGCAGAGGATCCAGTGGCTTCAGCTTCAGGTAACTGATCTGTATTTCCTGAATTCACTTGTCTCTCCAGTTTTCAGAATGGCAGCTTGTCCAGTGACCTCAAATCTCTGATGGGCTTTTAGAAAGTGTTTTTTCAGTTTGTTTGGCTTTTTGTTGTTGTTGTTGTTGTAAGGGTGGAAATGATAACTTGTAAAGCACTTCACATGTTGGAAGAGAAACAGGAACCTAAAAGTGATTTTTAATGTAACTTAAAAATTATTTATTTAAGAAAAATCTTGGAATAAAATATATATTCAAGGAAGGATGGTAAAAATGGCCTAGAAATTTTAGTATGTCCTGCCGTTTTTCATATTATCATGACAGTACCTACTGTCTGTATCCAGGGCGTTCTGAGTTAAATTAATGTGAATTATAATAAATAATGATTTAGAAACATTCTGTGTGGAGCAACAGCTTACTCGGGTTCACTTTTGAGCAAGAGGCAGCTTCCTGGTTGAATCCAGAGACATCTGGCTTTGGATCTTTCAGTTTTATATGTGACCTTTGAGTCATTTACTGACTTACAGAAAAGAGGAAAAAGAATAAGCTGTTTACAAGAGAAAATATTGTAATGAATAATGAAAATCCAAAAGGATCCCCAGAACAGCCATAAGAAAAACTCTAGGTGTAATGTTTTTTAAACATATATGATTATAATAAATATTAATAATTTGCTGTGCTTGGGACCATTGTTTTCCAAAACAGAGAAACATCTAAGTTATTCCAGAGGAAGAGAAATTTCTTCATGAATACCAGAAATACAAATGCTTAGTGAATCAGAGATAAACAGAAACACAATATAATATTGTCGACTGTAAAAAACATCAATTATAGCTTACAGATACCTTTTCCTAAAATTCAAATCCACAAATTTGCTTTAAGAGTTCAGAATTAGTGACAACTTTCAAGGCATAATTAATCATTTTCATATGTGATTTCCTGTGGAAAATAATGAATATTTCTAAAACCTACTAAGAGCTTCTAGCCAGTAAATTATTTCAGTTAAATGTTATCTTTCATAGGCTAAGTTATAAACCAAAGAAACATGGGTAGGGTGCTGTAAAATATACAAAGCAACTTCTCTTATGCTAATATTCTAATAACTAAAATTTTATACTAAAACTATCATTTTAATCTCCATCTACAATTTTTAAAAAATTCTACTTTTTAAACAAATATATTCTTATTAGGAAATTTGCATTTACTTGACAAATATAATATTTCTAATGTAATTCTTAATAGCTAAAGGTTCAATTTTCTTGTAAGAAAAACAAAAGTGAAAAATGTTTATTTTTGATGCAAAAAAAACAATACTTATGAAAGTGTTTTAAAACCACTGTGCTCCCATGACAAAGATGCTCAAAAGTAGAATAAGTATTGCATTTTTAATTCCAAGGTGTTCCATTTGTAATAGAAAATATGTTAAGGTTTATCCTTGAAGGTAAATTATTTTGAAAAGGAGATTTGTTTTGTATTACATGGCCAAATTAATGTTAATTTGTAAATGAATTGTGATTATACAGTGTGTCTTAAATTTGTATTCTAAATCTACTCAAAGCAGGGTAAAAAGCAAAAAAACAGTGTATCTTTATTTCAATTTTTTCTTTTTATTTTCTTCTTTTTCCCATGATTTGCAGAAATTGGGTCAAGAAGTGTATGAGTAATTTAGAACTTTAATATTCTCTTTGTATATGTTTATCAAAAAGCCTCATTCCAAATTTGCCTTTAGAATTGTCTCTGGTGTGTATTTGATTTTAGGTCAAAGGATGTCCTCATTCTCTTGATTTTTCACCAAGTAGTAAGTAACAGAGTGGTAAAAACCCTTAGGAATATCTTTAAACAAAGATCAAAGTTACAGATAAGGGGTGGGCTCGGTGGCTCATGCGTGTAAACCCAGCACTTTGGGAGGCTGAGGTGGGTGGATCGCCTGAGGTCAGGAGTTCGAGACCAGCCTGGCCAACATGGTGAAACCCCGTCTCTACTAAATATACAAAAAAATTAGCTGGGTGTGGTGGTGGGTGCCTGTAATCCCAGCTACTCAGGAGGCTGAGGCAGGAGAATCGCTTGAACCTGGGAGTCGGAGGTTGCAGTGAGCCAAGGTCGCGCCATTGCACTCCAGCCTAGGCAATAAAAGCAAAACTCCATCTCAACAACAACAACAAAAAAAGTTGCAGATAAGTTGGATAAATAGAGAAAACAAAACTGAAACCCAGCTTAAACAGACAAGATTCATAGTGCATAGAGAAGTTTGTTTCCCTGATCCTTAGTGATGTTGAGCATTTTTTCATATGTTTCTTTGCTATTTGTATATCCTCTTTTGAGAATTCTCTATTCATGTTGTTGCCCCACTTTTTGATAGGATTGTTTGTTTTTTTCTGATTTGTTTGAGTTTGTTGTAGATTCTGGCTATTAGTCCTTTGTCAGATGTATAGATTGTGAAGATTTTCTCCAAATGCAAATCAAAAACACAATGCGATACCACCTTACTCCTGCAAGAATGGCCATAATCAAAATATCAAAAAACAATAGATGTTGGCATGGATGCGGTGGTCAGGGAATACTCTCACACTGCTGGTGGAAATGTAAACTAGTACAGCCCCTATGCCAAGCAGTGTGGCGATTCCTTAAAGAACTAAAAGTGGAGCTACCATTTGATCCAGCAATTCCACTACTGGGTATCTACCCAGAGGAAAAGACATCATTATTCAAAAAAGATACTCGCACACGCATGTTTACAGCAGCACAATTCACAATTACAAAATCGTGGAACCAACCCAAATGCACATCAGTCAACGAGTGGATAAAGAAACTGTGATATATATATATATATAATCATATATATCATTCATTTATATATATATCTCATATATATCATATATATATCATATATATAATTCATTCCTTTTTTGGCTGAGCAGTATTCCATCATATATATATACATGTGTGTGTGTATATATATATAACATGTGTGTGTTATATATATATACACACACATATACACACATATGTATACATATATACACACATATGTATACATATATACACACATATATACACATATATATACACACACACATATATATACACACACACATATATATATACACACACACATATATATATGATGGAATACTGCTCAGCCAAAAAAGGAATGAATTAACAGCATTTGCAATGACCTGCATGAGATTGGAGACTATTATTCTAAGTAAAGTAACTCAGGAATGGAAAACCAAACATTGTATGTTCTTACTGATATGTGGGAACTAAGCTATGAGAACACAAAGGCATAAGAATGATACAACGGACTTTGGGGACTTGGGCGGAAGAGTGGGAGGGGGGCAAGGGATAAAAGACAACATATATGGTGCAGTGTATACTGCTCAGGTGATGGGTGCACCAGGATTTCACAAATCACCACTAAAGAACTTACTCATATAACCAAATATCACCTGTACCCCAATAACTTACGGAAAAATAAAATAAAATAATAATAATAAAAAGAAGTTCAAACTTAGAAAAGTAGCAAGAAATGCAAACAGAAAAACAAAGTTTGCCCAATAATTACATACTTCTGACTATGAATATTAGCAGACTCCCTGCTAACTTCTCTTTGTTTAAAAAATTAGTTGTGCAATTAATTAACATGGATAATTCTGATACCTAATCCCAGAGAAAGTAATATTTTTGTGTACAATTAATAGTATATTTCTTGAAAGGCAAAGAGAGGTATAGAACCTCCTTCTAGTATTGTCTTGATGGCGTTCAAATCAAAAGATGAATATGGCGATCTAGAGTAACATATCCTTAGGGATTTAAGAAAATTATTAGCAAATATGTAACGGAATTAGCTCTGATCTTTGGTATTAATAAGATCTCAATGATGATAATTGTCTGATATTGTGGTGAGTAAAATAATTAGAAACAAATCCAGAAATAAAATTCAAAGATAGTATAAAGAAAATTCAGAATTTATACATATGCAGTAAAAGAAAAACACTGGAGAATCAATTTCACTCTGTTTCTATATCTAAGCCATGAACAGCAAACTTGTCTTCATTTTGGATGCTTTTGTCAGAAGGAATATATATAACACTAAAAATTATCATTCAAGGTTATCTGAACTATTCTGAGAATATCAATTCCAGGAACTGTTTAGGATAAAATAAGAGTTCAGCATCTTTCTTTTGAAAGAAAATTCTTTGGCATTTTTTTTTCAATATGAATCTGTAAGTGATAAATATGATAGTGAATTACTATGTGTCATTTTGGCTAGGCCATGACACCTAATTTTTGGTCAAACCAAGTCTAGATATCGCTATGAAGATATTTTTTAGATAGGTTAACATTTAAGACTTTGAGTAAAGCATATTACCCTACATAATATGGAAGGCCTTGTTCAATCAGCTGATTGATCTAAGAAAAAAGACTGAGGTTCCTCAGGGAAGAAGCAGTTCTGCTTCAAGACTGCCTCTGGACTCGAGCTTGCAACACCAACTCTTCCCTGGGTCTCAAGCCTGCCAGCCTGCCCTTAACATTTTGAACTTGCTAGCCCTTAGAACCACATGAGCCAATTCCAGTCACAACTCCACAAAACAGAAACTGATGAACTGAAACCTCCTCAGGATCCAGCCGTGGAATGAAGGAACTGAAATGTTAAGTGACAAATTGCTGAAAGCTCAGTGTGGTCAACTCTGAAAGCTGAAACATCAAGGGGCATCCAGTCATATAGAATCTCACACACTTTTGTGAGCTTTACCTCCAGGAGCTCAACCTAGTTAGTTATCGCAGTGAATATTAGAGAAAAATCCTCTCATGTTTTCAGGAGAAGGAAAAAAAGAAAAATCATTAAATCTTCTCATGTTTTCAGCAGAGGAAAAATAAGAGGAGGCCTGGCGCGGTGGCTCATATCTGTAATCCCAGCACTTTGAGAGGCTGAGGCTAGCAAATCACAAGGTCAGGAGTTCGAGACCAGCCTGGCCAACATGGTGACACCCCGTCTCTACTAAAAATGCAAAAAAGTAGCTGGGCGTGGTGGTGGGCTCCTGTAATCCCAGCTACTGAGGAGGCTGAGGCAGGAGAATAACTTGAACCCGGGTGGCGGAGGTTGCAGTGAGCCTAGATGGCGCCACCGCAGAGTGAGACTCCGTCTCAAAAAAAAAAAAAAAAAAAAAGTAATCATTTAAAAATGTGCCAGAGCTTACTGAAGAGCAGTTTCTGTCCTTCTTAACTGGTCTACCCTCATGAGAAACTATTTAAGCAGAACCTAACCTGCTGGAGTCCTGCCAGAGCTTTCCATTGGTGAGAAAGGAAATACTCATCTCCAGCCCACTTTCGCCATCTTGCTGCATGTAAGGAGTAGGGAAGGGACTGAGAAGCATGTGTGAACATCATGAGAGGTGACAGCGTGCTGGCAGTCCTCACAGCCCTCGCTCGCTCTCGGCGCCTCCTCTGCCTGGGCTCCCACTTTGGCAGCACTTGAGGAGCCCTTCAGCCCATCGCTGCACTGTGGGAGCTCCTTTCTGGGCTGGCCAAGGCCGGAGCCGGCTCCCTCAGCTTGCAGGGAGGTGTGGAGGGAGAGGCGCGAGCGGGAACCGGGGCTGCGTGCGGCGCTTGCGGGCCAGCTGGAGTTCCGGGTGGGCGTGGGCTTGGCGGGCCCCTCACTCGGAGCAGCCGGCCAGCCCTGCCGGCGCCGGGCAATGAGGGGCTTAGCACCCAGGCCAGCGGCTGCGGAGTGTGTACTGGGTCCCCCAGCAGTGCCAGCCCACCGGCGCTGCGCTCGATTTCTCGCCCGGCCTTAGCTGCCTTCCCGCGGGGCAGGGCTCGGGACCTGCAGCCCGCCATGCCTGAGCCTCCCACCCCCTCCGTGGGCTCCTGTGCGGCCCGAGCCTCCCCGATGAGCACCGCCCCCTGCTCCAGGGCGCCCAGTCCTATCGACCACCCAAGGGCTGAGGAGTGCGGGTGCACGGCGCGGGACTGGTAGGCAGCTCCACCTGCAGCCCCGGTGCAGGAGCCACTGGGTGAAACCAGCTGGGCTCCTGAGTCTAGTGGGGACGTGGACAACTTTTGTGTCTAGCTCAGGGATTGTAAACGCACCAATCAGCGCCCTGTCAAAACAGATCACTCGGCTCTACCAATCAGCAGGATGTGAGTGGGGCCAGATAAGAGAATAAAAGCAGGCTGCCCGAGCCAGCAGAGGCAACCCGCTCGGGTCCCCTTCCACCCTGTGGAGGCTTTGTTCTTTCGCTCTTTGCAATAAATCTTGCTACTGCTCACTCTGGGTCCACACTGCCTTTATGAGCTGTAACACTCACTGCGAAGGTCTGCAGCTTCACTCTTGAGCCAGCGAGACCACGAACCCACCAGAAGGAAGAAACTCCAAACACATTTGAACATCAGAAGGAACAAACTCCGGACACGCCGCCTTTAAGAACTGTAACACTCACCGCGAGGGTCCACAGCTTCATTCTTGAAGTCAATGAGACCAAGAACCCACCAATTCCGGACACAAGCAGAGTCCTGAGGAACTGTAACAGTGAAACAGCAAAAGAACTAACATAACTAATTCCATTTTTGTTTAAGGGGTCTTTACTCATACCTGCACATAGAATAGGATAATTTTAGAGCACTGAGAATATGCAAAAAGAGCAATCATGCTGTATTTTAAACAAACTCTGGAATTAAAGGAGAAGTATGTCAACAACTATGTTTTATTCAAATATATAGGAGCATAATTGTGACCTGACCAAGGACAAAGTAGTTCCCAACCTCCTTAGACTCTCTGTGGCACTCAGATTATCTGTGGTCATTGGTCATCTCTTGACGCCAACCCCCGTTTCATCCCATCTCCCCTAACATAAAAGATGTCTGAAATTTGTGCCCACCTCAGAGAGTATCTTAGGATGGTAGTCCGCCATCTTCTCTGTTTCCTGACTCTCCAAATAAACCTGCCTTTTCTCCCACCAACTCTCATCCCTTGTGTTTGTCTTTGGAGCAGCAAGCAGCCAAATCTAGGTTTGGTTACATTTTAATGGCACCCATCATGGGGTTGTGTGCTTAGGGTGGGCCAGCCTTCCTGGTTTTCTTGGCCACTGACAGCATGCTAGGACGTCACTCTCCTGTGGGTAACAAAAACCACTCCTGAGTACCAGCTGCTGGTGGCTAGGTGACCCTGCAGCTAGGATTCCAGGGATATCCCAGCAACTGCTGAGAATGCGTCTGTCTTGGGAATTCTCGTTCTTTCCCACTTCTCAGCATCAGCTGCCAGAAAGGCTCAGTTGGTGAGAAGAAAAACAGTATCTGAGAGTTGACTGGCTCCAACACTGGGTAAGTCAAACCAATATGTACACTGTGAATCTTCTCTCTCATCCGTTTGGGTTTTTGTGCCATTTGGACCTAGCATGGGTCATTTGTGGTACTGTTTAGTATGATATAAGATGCTTAACGTCATCTCTTCAGTCTCCCTTTTACTTCCGGAGTGCTCTGCTTGTTTCAGTATCTGTGTTGTTAGTTTTAAATTGTTTAAAAACATGGAAAAGTTCAAAGGCATGCTAGAATTTCTGGGAATCCATTTGATTAAATAGTATGGCTTATTTGTACACATTTTAAAACTAATGAGCAAATTACAGTAAATAAAATTCAGAGCTCAAATGGTTAATTTGCAACTATACAGTTAAGTAGGGTTTTCTAAAAGTCTCTATTTCTCTCTTGTTTCTGCCTACTTTGTATCTGCATTTATTAAGCTACTGGTATTGAGATAAAAATCACTGATTCAAAGTTACTTGGAGATTTTAGTTTTCTTAGACAGTTCAGCCAGTTCTAGCTAAAATGTAAGACATTGGAAATTCATTTAAAACTGAAAAAAGAAAGGTCAAAGACATTTTTTAAATCAAAAGTGCCATGAAAACTGCTTTACCCAAAATTTTGATCCACAACCTTCATTGGATTACCTGTTAGGAAAACAAAGTTTAGCCATGTGGACAGATCCCAATTTTTTCAGAAATAATTTGGATCTAGCCATCTTTTGTAGGCTGATGAGTTTGTGATGCTGTCTCATGGCTAGAGTTCCAGGTTAAAAGGTATTCAGTCTCTCTCTGTGTGTAGGTATACATGTTTAGAGGTATTTACATATACGTACATATATTATGTTAGATCCTGTGTTTAGAATGCTACCAAATTGGCTTCTAAGTAAATGATTACTCATAAATTAAGTCCAAAAACCTATCAAGTTCATGTGAATTTAGTAATCAGTAGTAAATAAGAATTGTTTTAAAATTATTGGTAAAATAAAAATGTCTTCCGAATTGTAAGCATAAATGTTTATCTGGGCTTCCTGATTGTTTTATATTTGCCTCTGCTAGATAATTTAAATTGTTGGTTTGGCATAAAGATTGTAAGATTATAAATCCAGCCAAAACCAGAACACCTATTTGTGTGTGTTTTGTGTTATTCTCTTTTTTTTTCTTTTAACAAATAAGACTAATTTAAAATTGTTTGTTCAGTGAAAACAGCTGAATCTTCTGAGCTATCAGCAAAATGCCCATGTATTTAACTTCAGGGTTCACATTCAGGTGAACAGTTGATTCTCACAGGCTTTAAAAATGGTTAACAGGAAAATAAGTTTAAATGATGACTAGCTTTGTCTAATGTCTCAGTTTTCAAAAGTAATCTAGATAAGCTATGAAAAATAAAAACAATTGAGTACATGTAAATGGGATAAACTCTTATAAGTGAATTTCTGTTTAATTTAAAATCTGAAAATTATTTTGCATTAAATAATAAATGCTTATTGGATATCTGGGGCATTTCCAATTTAGAGAGGGGTATGATATGGGGAAACATGTTTCTGAAAATTATGTCTTGGCTTTATCTATACAATGGTAGCATCTGACAGTTCAGGATTTCTTGCTTCCTAGGTTTTCACTAACATTTAAGGTTACTAAGAAAAAGAATTCTATTGTAATTCTGTAAGTTGTGTTCTAATTAAGAAAAATATATATATTTTTTTAAAATTAGAAGTTTATTTAAAGGTTATTTATAAAAGAAGGTAGAAAGGAACCAGTAAGTACAAGACAGTGATGTGAAGAATTCCTATGGCCAAGGGACTTGGAATCAAAAGACTTAGAACAAATTTCAATGTTCTAATCTAGGTAAGAATGGAGTTGGACAGGCATACATTAATATTTAGAACCCTTTTGAGTAAAATAAGAGCCCAAACCAAAAGCCAAAAAGGAAAGGTGAAAAAATGACTTGTTTATAAATTTTATGTGTTATCAGGTGTTTAGACATCTGTGGGCCTGTCTTTGATTTGAAGGGTCTGAACTAATTTTATCTCTCAAAACCAGATAAGAAGACCACTGAGCATGGACCAGTTCTGTCCAGTTTACGGAGATTGTGCACTAGTGTGCTTTTGTGTCCTGAAAAAAGCCTTTTGACTAATAGGGCCTAATTGTAGCACATTTAAATGTTGTCTCCACCCCAAAGTAAAGTGTGTTTTATGTTACATGCATGTCTGTCGAATAAGCATGTGTCGGACCACCTTTATAAATATTCATAGCCCCTTCACTTGTTGAATATGTATGTTTAGTCAACTTGTATTCATATCCCATTGGAGCCCTGGGTACCACTGACAGTGGGGAACACATTTATTAACTTGCTTATGGATATGAGGAACACATATTTTGTAGTTAACATCTGTCTATTCCCTGATTCAAATGAGAATATGATGGTTACAGAAATGCAAGAGAAACTTTGACTCACCTCTTCCTACAGCCTTTAGATTGCCATGTTGGAGACCGTAATTGCTAGGAAAAACTAAAAAAAGATGAACCATAGTCTAAAAAGAAGCATTGCCAAAATATGTCAAGGAACTAATTTAACTTGGAATAAGATGTTGTCATTTGCTCTGTTGTAGATTAGAATGGCTTCCTGAAGTGGACACAAATCGAGTCCTTTTAAATTATTATATGATAGGCCATTCCAGGTTTCTGCCCTGGTGGAAAAAAATCAGCTAATACTTTAAGAAACATAGCAACTGGCAATATGTTAAGACCCTAGGCCCTGTATTAACTTCTGTCCATGAGTTTGCCTCTATCAGGACCACTCATCCCACAGATGTGGCACTACATCCTTTTCTACTGGGAGATCAGATCTTCCTAAAGAGTAAAAAAATAAAATAAAAAAAAAACAAGAACCTAAACACAAACTTTCATTCCACAAACACTCCACATTAACTCCATTCAGCACATAAGTAGCCAGATGAGAGAATATGCCTGATACACCTAATCTCATAAGACTATGGAATGAGTCTGTGACCGTGGGAAATTTTAACAGTGAAACAGCAAAGGAACTAACACAACTAACTCAATTATTGTTTATGGGGCATTTACTTCTTCCTGCATGTAGGCTAAAAAAATTTTAGAGCACTGAGAAAATATGCAAAAACAGCAATCATGTAGTTTTTAAAACAAACTCTGGGATTAAAGGAGAAGTATGTAAACAATTAACATTTATAGGAGCTCTGTGACCTGACCAAGGACAAAGGAGCTCCCAACCTCCTTGGACCCTCACTGGTGCCAGATGTCACTAGTCCTAGATGGGTTAACTAGAGAATTCTACCAAACATTTAAGGAAGAGATTATGCCAATTGTATATATTCCCTTTCAGAAGGTAGGAGCAGAGACAGTATTTCCTAAATCATTCTATGAGGCCAGCATTACTCTAATACAGAGATAGATAAATAAACTATGGTATATCTCACACTGGAATATCATTAAGCACACAAAAAGAGCTATCAAGCCATGAAAACGTGAAGGGAACTTAAATGCATATTACAAAGAGAAAGAAGCCAATCTGTAAAGGTATATACTATATGATTCCAACTATATGACATTCTGGAAAATGCAATACCATGGAGACAAAAAAAAAAAAAAAAAAAAAGACCAGTAGTTGCCAGGGGTCAGGGGGAGAGAGAGAAGAGGAGACAGAGCACATAGGATTGTTAGTGCTATAAAACTATTCTGTATGATATGTAATAGTGGATACATGTCCTTATACATTTTTCCAAGCCTGTACAATGCACAACGCCAAGGTTGAACCCTAACACAAATCCTGAACTGTAGGTGATAATGACATGTCAGTGTAGTTTCATCAGTTTTAACAAATGTACCAGTCTGGTGGGGGATGTTGATAATGGGAGAAACTATGCATGTGTGGAGGCAGTAGGTATATGGGGAATCTCTGAGAACCATCTACTCATTTTTGCTGTGAATGTAAAACTCCCCTAAAAAAAAAAAAAAAAAAAAAAAGCTTATTTCCTTTTTTTTTTCTTTTTTTTTTGTCTAATTATATTTTAAGTCTAGTCTAGGGTACATGTGCACAACGTGCAGGTTTGTTACATATGTATACATGTGCCATGTTGGTGTGCTGCACCCATTAACTCATCATTTACATTAGGTGTATCTCCTAATGCTAGCCCTCCTCCCTCCCCCAACCCCCCAACAGGCCCCGGTGTGTGATGTTCCCCTTCCTGTGCCCATGTGTTCTCATTGTTCAATTCCCACCTATGAGTGAGAACATGCGGTGTTTGGTTTTTTGGCCTTGCCATAGTTTGCTGAGAATGATGGTTTCCAGCTTCATCCGTGTCCCTACAAAGGACATGAACTCATCCTTTTTTATGGCTGCATAGTATTCCATGGCGTATATGTGCCACGTTTTCTTAATCCAGTCTATCATTGATGGACATTTGGGTTGGTTCCAAGTCAACAAAGCTTATTTTCAAAAAATAATATTATACTTTTTCTACTTTGAAAAATATAACACTGTTTTAATGAAGGTTTCTTTGTTATTTATGCATGATAAGGCCAACAATTCAGGAGATAACTATCATTGAAAAAACACACTATGCTCACAGACCTTAAGGGGCAGGGGTTACCCCACCTGATAGGAAGGAGGGGTCTCACAAGGATTCCCCTTCTAACCAGGAACATTCAGGGGGAAGAAGGACAGATATAATGCATGAAGAACCTTTATTTGTGATTTCCGTAGGCAGGAATGAGTGACGCAAGGTAAGCAGTCATAGGATTGGCTAGTTTGAATAACTTCAGCAAGCCCTGGAATTGTGGAGCTCTCCATAGTTTTCTGGAACCTGCCCCTTTGTGATCAGGGCAGGTAGACAGTGGCCCAGAATGTGAGAGCCTAATAAAAGAGATACTAGGTTGGGAATATAGAAACTGGGTTGTTTGGTATACAGTTGAAAAATGCACTTATGGGAGAGTTGTTTACTGTCTTTAAGATGGGCTAACCCTGAGGGGCTGACCCTCCAGGGTCAGCAAGATGTTTAAGCTTCATCACCATCATCATCATAAAGGAACCTGGTTAATATGGATACATTATAGAATGTAGATGCAGTTTCTTTCCAAATGAAGCAATTTATGTTGTTGAAAACATATTACAATTTATGTCCTGCCTCATTTCAAGCAATCAATCAAGTTTAGTGAGTCTTGCCACTGATGATAGCTGTTTTTTCCTAAGTTGATAACAAATGTAGCAACAAACATTTCCAAATGTTTTTATTAAGTCAAATATCTTTCTAAGGTTAATGAATGGAGTGTAAATGTATATTCTGCATGCAATAAAAATCAATAAACTGTGCTATACTGCTGCCTTAAGTCACAATAAAATTCCAGGAGTTCCTTGTTGAAAATAATACATCTAAAATGATATTAAGTATAATTTCACTATAGTGAAAAAAAAACAGTTGGATATGATTTGACTACAGGAAAATAACACATTATTTGGATAAAAATAAATTTATTTTCTCTACCTACATTCTACCTTCTACATTCTAACCCCTCACAGTAAAATCCTACTCTACCTACATTCTATTGCATCACAATATAATCCAGAATTCTGAACAATTTATCCTGAAACTCCTAAGGGAACAAAAACATAGATTGTAGAATTCTATAAATTATATTTGAGGTGTATGCTTTTTCTGCCCCAATCATCTCTGTAGTGAGTCAGCCTAGCACATTTCACTATGACCAGTTTTATAGGTGTCCTTTTATAGGACCCTCTTCCTATAGGATCTGTAGGAAGATCTATAGTTTCCTGGTTCTCATTGTGTTCCCAAAGTAAATAGGATTATTTCATAGGTCCTTGGTTTTGTTTTATAATTATAATTACATGATTATTAATGTTTTATTCATTAAATAATTTTATGAAAGTTATGAAATAATTTGGTCCTTATAGGCAAACTCAGATATTCATTTAGGGACTTCTATGATCTGTAACATTAACTGTAGATACATATTTTATATTTTATTCAGTCTTCCTAGAGTTCAGAAAATGATCTAGATACTCTTTCCCATTTGTTTCATACAAAAAAATATAGTTTAACAGCTAATTAAATTAACAGCATATTAAAATTTCTATAGCATATGTTTGTATATCTTGCTGTTGTTAATTGATAAAAATAAATGGGCAGTTACCTTTTCATGAAGATTATTGCTACATAGAATCTAAGCTCTAAAGGAAGTCACAGGCCTGACTTTCTTTTCTCTTCTGCATCTGCTTGGAGTCCTTTAGAATGCTCTGTACTTTTCATT
Organism: Homo sapiens; assembly: GCF_000001405.40. NCBI lineage: Eukaryota > Metazoa > Chordata > Mammalia > Primates > Hominidae > Homo > Homo sapiens. The sequence continues at coordinate 32,708,575 of NC_000004.12, read as the reverse complement.
TCTTGCTTATGTGTTTTGAATGTTTGGCCTCATCAATCTCATTAATTAATTAATATATAATAAATATATTAATATCAGTCATATTTTTATAGAAACTCTTTTTGGCTGTGTCCTCACCCAAATCTCATCTTGAACTGTAACTCCCATAATTCCCATGTGTTGTGGGAGGGATCAGGTAAGTGATAATTTAATCATGGGGGTGTTGTCCCTCATACAGTTCTCCTGGTAGTGAATAAGTCCTATGAGATCTGATGGTTTTATAAAGGGCTTCCCCTTTTGATTGGCTTTCATTCTCTCTTTTTTTGCCTGCCACCGTGTAAGATGTGCCTTTTGCCTTCTGTCATGATTGTGAGGCCTCTCCAGCCACATGGAATTGTGAATTCAGTAAACCTCTTTTTCTTTATAAATTACCCAGTCTCAGGTATGTCTTTATCAGCAGTGTGAAAACAGACTAATACACCCACTCACAACTGGTTCTTCATATATATATGTTTTTTGGTAGAAGGCATGTCATTTTTATATATCATTGTGATTGGCATAATAATTTTGTTTTTCATTGATGAGTGCTAAAATATTAACTTGCAATCTTCTCATATGTAAAGTGACATAATTCATACACCATAGTTTCTTGTCCTTACTATGTTTGCCATTTAAATTCTTTTCCTTTAAAGAGAAAGTAGTATTTAAAATTTAATGGATTTAATCAGCTCTTTCAGTGATTAATGCTTTGTTATCTTTGACTTCCTGGCTCAAACATTACCTCCTCAGAGATGGCTTCCCCAGATATTATATGCAAATAAGTTTCAATAACCTCTCAGGCTCTGTTCATCACTTTATTTTTATTTAATTCATTTATTACATGTATTACTAGATGAGAGCATTTGGTTTATTTTATGTCATTCTATTAAACAGTTCATCTCCCATGCTGGTATCCTCCATTGAAATGAGACTTTGTTTGTCCCATTTATCCAGTAAATATTTGTTGAGGAAGTTGATAAAAGAAGGAGTGGTATTATCCTCATTTAAAAATGAGAACACCGAGATGTAGATAAATTCCCCAATGTTACATGTTGAATTCTCCAAAAAATGGCACATGTGATTTTGGAGGCTGAGATTCCCAAGATCTGCATTTGGCAAGCTGGAAACTGAGGAGGGCCAATAATATAATTCTAGTCTAAAGCCCTGAGAACCAAGATTGTCAATTATGTAAGTTTCGGCACAACTCTGAGTCCAAAGAAAGAAGACCCATGTCTTAGCTTGAAGAGAGTCAGGCAGAGAACAAATTCCCAGTTATTCAGACCTTTTGTTTTATTTATGCCTTCAATAGATTGGACTATGCACACCCACACCGTGGAGAGCAATCTGCTTTTACTTTGTCTATTGATTGAAGTGTAAATCTTACCTAAAAATACTCTCATAGACACTCTCATAATAATTAACCAACTGTCTGAGCAGTCTGTGGACCAGTCAAGTTGACACATAAAATTAACCATCATCACACATGCTGACAGGTGAAAGCTGACACATTATGATTTTTCATCATATAATGATATTTGCCAAATCATAGTGCTTTTCTTTTGAGGCAGATGTCACATGATGCATTACTTTTTAACCCCCCTTTAAATCTATAAGCCAGGTGCATTTTACCTCATTAAGCATTTATGAAATGATCATTTCAATATTAAGCTATTAAAGATTGATAACAGTAGTACAGAGTGGCTTCAGTATTATTTAAAGTGCTCAGAATCTTTGTATGTGTGAAGGTATATTCTGTATGAAAACTAGAAATTTGTGTGAATTTCAGTACAGTCTATCAATATCAATAATAAGCAAATCTCTGAGGGAGAAGGAAATCTACACTTTAAACATGTAGCCAAAGAGGTAGCTGCTTATCTATGAATTCAGACAGTTGAAACCTCTAAATATTTTCTACCTCTCAAATGGACTAAAATGAATTTTTTATCTACTTTCTAGATGGTTCATAGTCATTTGAGTTCACAAGGAAATTTATTTGTTGTCTTTATACATTCTTACACTTCTTTTTGGAAAACTCTATGAAGTGTGTAGCAACAAAAACTAAAGTAAATGTTCCTGTATTTATTCACATTTTCTCATGTAAAATATTATTTTGAGATCTTATCCAATATTGACATTAAGAGTCAGCATAGGAAAGAAAAAAATAGTCAACATACTTCATAAAATAAACAGAACAAAAGAAATAGTTTAATAAATGCCTTTACATTTCAGTATATTCTAGCTTCCACATGACAACATTCTAATTTAATTTGGCAATTATATGGATTGCAATTTCTGATACATATCATAGAATGATCTTTTCTGTCACTATTAATTTTTATATTTTATTTAATTATCACAATTGGGAATTTATCTTTAATTGTAAAGACTTGATAGGCCCTTTAATGACCGAAATGAAGAAAGCTGCATCACGTGTGCTTATAATCCCAGTCTTAATTTTATACACTCAGCACTGATCCTTGGCTTTCTCATGCATTATTTGTCATTTATTTTGAAGTCTCTTATTTTACCCCAAAACACTGTCTTTGCAAAGTGAGTTAACAAAACCCTCAAATATTGGTCATAGTTTCTATTCACTGGGTTCTGTGTCTGTAGGTTTGCATTTTTACCCCTAAGCCTCTGCTATTTCTAGGCAGGCTATTGCATTTTTAAATAATGCCTAAATTTGTTACTGTAATAGTAGATATGCTATAGTGTGGAGAAAAGTAGACTAGCGTTTCTCAAACATTGTATTACATATGCCTATGAATCACTTGGAAACATGTTTAAAGACAGATTTTGATTCAGGTCTGGGGCTTAAAATTCTGCATTTCCAACAAGGTATATACTACTGATCTAAGGACCACACTTTGAGAAGCAAGGCTGTAGAATTTTCTTGGCTCAAATTTCCATAATACCTTGTGAAGTCCCCTAAATTTTTGTGAATTTATTTCCTTGACTGTAAAATGGTTATAACAAAGTCAAGCCTATTTTTTAATGTTCTTCTGAGTCAAAATCATTCCCAAATATATTTTATAAACCATAACGTGCTGTATAAATTAGAGAGTAGTAGTTATTTTTTTCTTTGCTTTCCTATAGTTTTTAAATCTTTGTAACCTAATTGAAGCTCTCTCTGATTAATTTTCATTCACTTGCAAATTGCTGAGGATCTATTCTTGGATTTTGGCCAGACTAATTGGCCTAAGAGTAAGCCATGTGGTTTCTGAGTCCCATGTTATACCTATACGGATTTATGGATACCTCAATATTGCCAGTAGGAAATATTATTGGACAATCGAATTGACGGTAATATTGTACAATGATATTTTGCCTATCATTATGTATGCATGTCTTAGAACAATTATTTTTTCTCAGTACATTCTCAATAAATTTGCTGAATAAAATGAATTACTCTATCTGCTATGGTCTGAATTTTGATGTCCTCCCTTAAGGTGATGGTATTAGGTGTTGGGGCCTTTGGAAGGTGATTATTTCATAAATGTAGAGCCTTGAAAAATGAAACTAGTGACCTTATTAAAAAAAAGTGGCGGGGGGGTGTTCCCAGAGAATGGCCTTGCCCCTTTTACCATATAAGGATACAACTTGGAAAGTTCCATTTATGAAGATACCAAGAAATAGGCCCTCACAAGATACCAAACCAACTAGTACATTGGTCTTGGACTTTGCAGCCACCAGAGGTGTAAGAAATAAATTTCTGTTGTTTATAAGCTAACCAGTTTATAGTATTTTGTTATGGCAGCCTAAATAAATTAAGACAATATTAACTGAGTGAATTATTGCTTCATTCATTTATTAATTCAACACATATTTAAAAACCATCTACTGGACTAAATATAGGTGATAGAAAGATGAGTAAAATACAGCCACTATTCTTAAGGGCTTATAATGGAATGAAGAATTATTCATAGGTATCATTACCTATGAATAAATAAAATAAAAATACATTTAAGGTGGTGCTGGTGCATGAAAAAGAAAACCCTGACAGTCACATCAATAGACTGTTCAATAAGAATAAGGCAGACAATAAATTGCCATTTGAAACTGCAGTCACAAAATTTTTCAGTAGTGATATTGGCAGCAATGTATGTAATGAATAAAACCTAATTTGAATATCTTTCAACTTTCACTCCAGTTCTACAGTTTTATACATTTTTAGAATTTATTTTTTATCAAGACACATGACAAACTCAGAGTAATAATTTATCATGTAAGAAACTTCTGCATAAGCTTAAAGAATTTGATTAATTGAGAAAATACTGGTCATAATGGAAATTATCATTATGGAAATGATTAATAGGTTAGGCAATAATCTTGGAAAAGGAAATGAAAACTAGAAAAGTGATTAACATGTCTAAATAGTCCCTTTAAGACTACAAGAATGTATAACTCCCTTGTTCAAATACTACCACCTTAAAACCATCACCATCCAACTCACTGACCTTTTGATTTCAAGGGCTTCATGGAGCAGAATGATCTTAAACCTCACATCCTTCAGGGAAAAATGTAAATATGAGCAGAAGATGATTTTCTTTTTTGTTGTTGTTGTTGGGTTTTTTTTTTTGAGACGAAGTCTTGCTCCATTGCCCAGGCTAGAGTACAGTGGCACGATCTCGGTTCACTGCAACTTCCTTCTCCTGGGTTCAAGCAATCCTCCTGCCTCAGCTCCCCCAGTAGCTGGGACTGCAGGCACCTGCCACCACACCCTGCTAATTTTTGTATTTTTAGTAGAGACAGGGTTTCACCTCGTTGGTCAGGCTGGTCTCGAACTCCTGACTTCAGGTGATCCACCCGCCTGGGCCTCCCAAAGTGCTGGGATTACAGGTGTGAGCCACAACGCCCAGCCTAGAAGGTGATTTTCGAAAGAACAGAGTGCTGTTTTCTCTCACCTCACCCAGGGGATGATGAATAAGTCAAGAATAGTTCTTTTATATCCCTATTGAAAACATTTGCTGAGAAAAAGGCTGTTTTGCTTTGTTTCTTGTTTTCTTTTTAACTCAGTGATTTCGTCAGATGAGATGAGATAGTAATTTGTGTTTTGTGCTACTGGGTTTGAAATGAAGCATATCTCCTGGGTACTTGAACTCTTCTATGAGAAGGCAAATGCCTTTGTCTAGCTGCAATTTCTCTCTTCAATGTGAATAATTGAGTTCCCAAAGATAGATCTGAAATATGAGATATACCTAATTTCTACACCTGATTTCTGTGTAAATTGAAGCATTTATTTCCCTTTTACCTGTCACTATGTTCTTTCGGTATAAAACATAAATAATCCCTCTCCCCCAGGTCAACAATAGAGATGCATTTGTCATACTAAAGTTCTACAACTTTTTTAAAAAAGAGATCACATTAATATTTTAGATCAAAACATTATAAAAGGGTATGTACTGATAAACTAATTTTCTCTTAAGAGAATTAGCTTTTATAGTTGACCTAGCAACAAGATACCAAATTAATTGTTTTTTATAAGGGCTATTAATCATAATGATGACAATTCCACACAATGAACCAACGAGTAATTGAATATTGCTGCTCACTTTAAGTATATTTAAATCACTCAGCATGTTTAAATGCTGCAGATGGAAGAGTTTCTAAGTGGTTGGAGATAATCCATAAGCTAATTGCTAAGCAGTGGTGGCATTTTCATTTATTATAGACCATTCAACCATTAATTGTGTATGGTGACACAGTTCACTGGAGTTTCTCATTGAACAAGTTGCAAAGGTTAACTTGAGCCAAGTCACAAAGAAGTCAAAAATAAGGAAAAAACATGGAACCCATCTATCGCCATGCGTATAAACAACACTAGTTTTTTAAAACTACAGAAGCCAAGCAACATTTTTAGAATAAAAATAAAATATTTATTTAGTTAATTTTTTGTGGAGTGATGCAATATAAATAAATTATTTGGGATTTATATTTATAAGCATGTGACTCTTATTCTTATCTATCTTTACGTTTGAGAGAGTTGAAACATTCTAATAAAGTTAATGCTTTTGAGTAAAATTAGTTGAAACATTCTAATAAAGTTAATGTGAATACTTGGGCATTTCAGAGCCAAATATATTGAATTTTAATTCTTATATCAGCAGTAGCTCTGTATCATTCTCAAGTATGTTGACATTCTTTCTCGTTATTTTGATTGTCCTAAGATACATAATACATTCCCTTATCTTTGGAAAATATCTCACAGGTGAGCCTAACTCCAAAGTCCTTGTTCCACTTCTTCCATTTTGACTAATCAGATTGCCTGGAGAGTAAAAATACTACTGCTGTTTCTTAGTATCTCGCATGTAATAAATCATTAAAATTTCCCTATTTATAAGACAGATGTTAGATGATCTTTGCTTAGGAGGAATTTTACTTGCCAACAAATCTAAGTCATAATTATTTCTCATTGGAAAAGAATGCACACACACAGGCATAACTTAAATGTAGAAAAAAAGGACCTCAAAATTATTATTCCTATTATTCAATTCTTCACAAATGCTTGTTTTTGTCTACTTTATATATCCACTACTGAGAATGTTATGTTACCATTAATAACTACAGCTTGATGAATCAGTAATTGCTTGATATTTTATTACATTAGGTGCATACGTTTTCGTAGTAATTATATCTACTTGACTTATTTTTCCTATCAATGGTAGTGTCTCTCTTTGCCCATTATGATAATTTTTTAATGTTCTAAATTTTCTGATTTAAAAATTCTACCACAGCATTCTTTTGTATCATCTTTACGTGATATGTCCTGTTTAGGTTTTTGGTTTAAACACTTGTAGATAGTGTTTAGCTGTATCTTTTAACTTTGCTTTTAACTGTATCTCTTATAGAGATCAGACTACCAGATTTTGTTTGATATAGCCTAAGCTCTGTGTCTCTGCCTTTTTAACAAAGAGTTTAAAACGTTTACCTTTATTTTATGGAATATTTTTGTTAGCTATGTCAACCCTCTGATGTCATGCTTTCTAACATTATTATTTAAAGTATTGTTATAATTTATTTTTGTGTCTGTCTTAGTTTTTCTTTTGCTTGTTTCAAATCTATATATTCAAATTTTATTCTTGAAGTGGTGATACTTAAATTGGCATTAAACATGTGGTTTTAAGTTAATATATATATAATTCTAATTTTCCAAATTTTTAAGTCTTAATTAAATTCATAGTTGTTCCATAAGCACATCCTGTTATCACATTTTTACCTCTCTGTACTTCCCCCAACCCTGCTATAGACTAAATGTTTGTGTCCTCCCAAAATTTATCTGTTGAAGCCCTAATCCCAATTGTAATGGTAGTTAGAGATGTGGCCTTTAGGAGGTAAGTCATTAGATTTAGATGCAGTCATGAGGGTGCAGCCACCATGGATGGGATTTGTGTCCATATAAGAAGAGGGAGAGACCATAGCCTTCTCTCTGCCATGCAAAGATATGGCAAGAAGGTGACCACTTGCAAACCAGAAAAAGGGCCTTCACCAGACACTGAATCAGCTGAACTTTGACCTTGGCCTTACCAGCCTTCAGAACTGAAAGCAGTAACTGTTTACTGTTTAAGCCACCCAGTCTATGGTACATTGTTCTAGCGGCCCACTATTGACAAAGACAAGCCCCACCCCTTTATGTTTTATCACATAGAACCTATCTTAGTATTTTTATGTCTATGTCTTTTTTTGTGTGTGTGACTCCTTATTCATACAACAGCAGCAACTTCGTTTAACTTAATTCTTAATTACCCTCATGAAAATCTTATAATATCCTGAATTCTCCTTCCTTGTTCTATTAGGATATTTTTCTTCAAGTGCATTTTCAAAAACATTCGTTAGTTGAATTTCCAATGTTAATATGACTCTTAACATATTGATTTTGTCTTCATATTTAAAATATAATTTTACTAGGTATGAAATTCTAGGCTTAAAGTTATTTTCCTTTGACATTTTGGAAATATGACCCCATTGCCTTTTTATATTAAATGTTTATACCAAGAGTACTTTCTGTCTCATTATTTTTCTTTTATAATTCTCACTCTTTGCAAGATTTTACAATTTCATCCTTGTCTTTGATTTTTTCTAATTCGGCTGTATTGCTTTCGGCTCTGAATTCCTTCTTATGCACACCACGTAGCATTCCATTAATTTTTTAAATATGATGTCTCACAGTTTTCTTTTTTATGGCAATTCTTTGTCACTATTTTTTCACATATATATGTTTTATTTCTCTTTTTTCCTGGAAGTTGTTTTACAGGTAAGGAAGTACCTTTATTTCTATCCTTTGTATCTCCTTACCTCATGTTCACATTTCATCTTAGTCCATTCATGACACTATAACAAAAAACCCACACTCGCTAATTTATAGGCAATAAAATTTATTTCTCACAGTTCTGGAGCCTGGAAACCCAAGATCAAGGTGCTGGCAGATTGTGTCTGGCAAGGACTGCTCTCTGCTTCCAAAATGGTACCTCTTACTGCATCTTCACAGGGCAAAATATGGAGACTCTATGTTCTCACATGGTGAAGACTGAAGAGAAAAAGGCATCAAAAAGCATCAGGGCTTCCATCAACCTCTTTTAAAAGAGCACTAATCCGCTCATGAGGGCAGATGCCTAATGACTTAGTTACTTGCCAAATGGCTTCACCTCTTAATACCATCATCTGAGACTTAATACATGAATTTTGGAGAGAAACATGAATTCAAGCTATAGCAATTTTCTCTTTATCCATTTCTGATTTATGATTTAGCTGTATTCATTTTGCTCTTTGACCTATCCATTGGGTTTCTTATTGCAAATATTAAAATTTTATATACAGTTGCCTTGGTCACTATCAAAATTGTTGTTAATTCAACTGAACCATTAACTTCCATGTCCTTTTAATAAAATCTCTTGGGTTGAATGGGCAACAGGGAGAGACAATAGGACATACTGCCTCAGAGTAGTAGAGTATAATTAAGGAAATGGAATCAGATTTGGACTTAGGATCAGATTGTAACTACAGATTTTGCTAAATATGTGTCCTTGGACAAATTTCTCTTTACTTCAGTTGTATTACAGATTAAATGGGACTGTTATTAGTACCCACCTTATTGGGTTGCGGGGAATACGTAAGTTAATAGAAAACAGCCCATAAAATAGTATGTACCCCAAAGTTAGCATTTGGACACTATCAGCTACTAATAATATTATCAGAAACAAGAAGTTATTCTTGGAAAATTTAAAAACAGACTTTTATAGTGTTTCCTTAAATAACACTTGTTTCTGTCTGGAGTACAAAATTATTAAATCCTATGTCAATAAGAACATAATTTGCCAACTTTGTCCGAGCATGTATAAAATTTAGTTTGATTAATTTTAAATTAATCGTGGTGATTTTTTATCTGGTTACAAAAATGGAGATATCTTCTTTGCTTCATTGATAGATATGGCTAGAATCTATCTCCTTAGACTCTTCACATAGCATGAAAATTCTATCTGTAGCCATTTGTATAGTTAATTGCTCTTACCCACCCAAAATAATAACTCTTCTCTTATCTCTAGGACGACAATTGTTTAGCCCCCAAGTGCCAAGAAGACTGGAGTGGCTAACCTTCTTGGTATTCTCATTTCAAGGAGCAATTGAGCCAAGACTGTTAGAGATATCTATATGCAGTAAAAGAAGAAGAACAAAAGGGCTATCTTGCTCCTGAAGAGATTTTGTTTATTTAACAAAGAGCCAGAGTAAGGAGTAGACTCTTTCAGGAGAAAAGAGGGACAGCTGCCTCCATTTCTTCATAAGCAAAGTAAAATCCTTTTCTTCTCATCCTTCACATATGAGATACTGAAATAGTCACGTAAGACAGTTGACCTGACTCTCATTTTATGGCTCTAAGGGTAAGAAGTTGTACGTGTGAGGGCAGGGAGTGATGAGAAGTCACAACATTTACTATGATGTATTTAGTAAAAACTGCAGAACATTTTGCATACAGAGCAGCATGTATGCATTCAAAGTAAGATTAATAAAGATGAATATTAAAAATACATACATTGATGTATGGTGAAACTCTACACCCCAAATTCATGGATTATGGTTTTCCCTCCTATACAAATCAAAATACTATGCTATGCTTCAGTAGGAGACAATTTCACAATCTCAGTGGTTTAACACTATAAATGTTTATTTTTCTTTCATATACAATATGATTATGTTCTCAAATATTTTTAAAAGAAAGTGTCTTTCATGCAGAGATGCAATGATCTAGTTGACAGGGGTTCCACCCTCCTATTGCTGCACCATCTGGAACACTAGTCCTCCCACACTGATGAAGCAGGATCAGAGACAATTGGAAGGTTGTGTGCCTGTGATCTTATACTTTGTCCTAGAAGTTACATGTTACTTCTCTCCATAGCCCATTAGCCAAAATGTGTTACATAATACTGCCCAAATTACTGAAAGGAGGCTGAAAAGTGGAAATTTCCGGTATAGTTAGTTTTGCCTTAAAATTACCACACTATGTAAAATTATGAAATACAAACCACCGGGTTTATGTAAAGAAATAGGGTTAGGAAAACAAGCACTCAAAAACTTCATCAGTAACATCTGATAAAAAATAAAAAATGTAGGCACTACTAAAAATAATAATATAATTTTATGGTTAAGAAACATAAAAATACTGCAAGAATAATGGCATTTTACCTTGAAACAGATCTAAGGTTTACTTGCAGATGTGTGGATCAGAATAATAGCATCTTGTAGAGGGTGGAAAGAGGGTTATATGAAATAGGACTGTCTTAGTCCTTTTGGGCTGCTATAACAAAATACCATAAACTAGGTGGCTTATAAACAACTGAAATGTATTTATCACAGTTCTGGAGTCTAGGAAGTCCAAGATTAAGGTTTCAGCTGATTCAGTATCTAGTGAAAGCTCACTTTCTGTTTCACAAATAGCACCTCCTCGTGGTGTCCTCACATGGTGGAAGGAAGGGGTGAGGGTTTTTCTGGGGCCTTTTTTATAAAGGCAGTCATCTCAGCCTGAAGGCTCTTTCCCTCATGAAGTAATCACCTCCCAAGGGCCCTCAATTATAATATGATTACCTTGAGGATCAGGATTTTAGTATATGAGGTTTGGACAGGCACAAATACTTAGACCATTGCAAGTTTTAACCTGTACCACAAATGGAAGTAGGTAGCAGATATTTGAAGAGTATGCAGTTTGCGTAATTCCTGCTTGTATTCATTCATCTGGGTACAGTTTTATGTGTGCACCCAGTGTTTCTCAGGAAGAGTTTGCACATAAGCAAATGCAAAAACTTCATTTTGCTCAAATAGTTCCTACTTTGTCAATCAAGTTGGAACAAATTTGCATTTTCAAAACAAGCATTTAGCACAACCAACTATAGTTGGAAATGACAAAGAACTGGCCATGATTACTATCAGTAAAGCCTACAACACCATTCTATAAGTATTGTATGATTTCAATCTTAATAATCTTAATGAAATATTTATATTTTTATTATTAATATTTTTATCTAATTATCATACAATATTTAATATCCCACTTGTAAAGACCAATTAGCATAAACATTAATTGAGTCTGTGATATGTATTCCCCTTATATGATACTAGGCCTTCATTTATTAAAACCATAGCTGTTTCTCTTTGGAGACTTGTTCTGAAGTTTTATATCACTAGGAGGATTCTCAAGTATTTCTAACTGCTGATTATTATAAGAAAAGGAATCAATTGACTTAGATAATAATTTTTCTTCCTTCAGGATAAGACTACTGACAAAAACAAACACAAAAAAACCTCGAATGCTTATATAAACTAATTTTTCTCTTTATTAAAACATTTTGGCCTTAATAATGCATTCAACATTTTTATTGGTTTATATTCTGGCCTCTCAAATATGGTGATGCTACGTATGATTTACATACCACATCATATTACTTTTATGATTGTGTGTGTGTGTGTGTGTCTATGACTTTGTGAGATTAAACCCCCACGTATCCAAAGGGATTGTGCTCAAGGGATAGTTGGGAAAACAGATAAAATAACAGCTAATTGCTCAAAGCTGCTGAAATTAATTACTTTCCTAAATGTTATCCCTCATTAACAAGACTCTCATCCTGGAATAAAACTGCAAATTGCCTTACCTGACCCAATGTCACACCTCTGTACAATCAAGAATCTTTGTGAAATCCATTGAAATCCATACTATTTCATTAAGAAAATTCCTTATTTGCAGTGTTGATTTATTCTCTTATTTTAAACAAAATTACTACTGTGCCCCAAGACTGCTTTCCATGCAGTCATCTAGTGATGATTGTTTTTCCTCTCAAACGTGTCACTTTGCCTGGAGGCAAATGTCTTCCTCATCCTTCTGTGGCACGTTCATACAACCTCTCTACTCTACAAAACCTTCAGTTCCTTTGAAAATCATATGGCAATTCACAGATCCCATGCCCTCCCTGTCAAAACTGGAAGATTTTAGCCCCTGAATCATTAGCACTCCCTCTATTTCTTCTGCCATAATTAATTATTATTTTGATATTCAAGTAGAGAACACTTTCAGTGTCTTCCTCTCTGATGCTCTTCTCCTTTAACTCACCTCTTATGGTCATACCCATTACAAGCACTTCATTAACACGCAAATCCTGTGTTTCTACCTCATTCCCTCTGGTCCCTGACTGCAATACTTTTTGTTTTCGTTTTGCTTTAAATATCTCTGGGACCATAAATCTGTTGACCCTACAAGCTTTTCAAAGTCACTGAGATTTTGTCCTTACATTCTTCCCTATCGGTTTTGGATGTTATAATTTATTTTATAATTACCCATTTGCTATTCCCTCAAGTCTCTTTCTTCTCTCTCCTGAGCCTTCCAGGTAAAACTCTAATGTGGCTCAATCCAACTCACTTCCTGTTTCTCACAGGCAGAAACATTACCATAGTAGTCATATTACTGACTACTCTAACTGTAAAACCATGATCACAACTTTAAGAACTAATATCAAACTATGTTAAATGCTCCCACTTTAAAACTACCAACCTCAACAGAGACTTTTGTACTACTCAGCAACTTCCCTATAGATAATAATTTCTATTTTCCTAATGACTTAAATTCACATGTTACATCCTTTTTTCTCCTCAAACCTTGAACCCTATTGTAGCAGAAATGAGCTATGTACTTAATGAAAGTCGTTTCCTCCTCCTGGTTATAGAACTGAACTGTATTTCTTGGCCTTGTCACAGTTAGGTGGAGACAAGTGACCTGCTTTAGATAATGAAATGTGAGTACAGACGATGAGTAACTTTTTGATTTTCTTGTCCACACTTTCCCTATTGATCTTTCCTGCAGCCTGAACAAAGCTCCACGATGAAGTCTACGAAGCCACATTTTGGACAAAGGCTGAATCTAAGGACTGTTTGGAAGAGATCCACCCAATAGATTAGCTTAAAGAAGACTATCTGGACAACTTGTTGGTAAGAAATGACCTTCAATGTGTTGAGCCTGTGATCCTTAAAACTGCTTATGTTATGTGGCACTTATTTTGGACCCATTTCCCAAGTCCTCACTCTCATCTGGTAATCTTGCTCTTTTATTTCACTGAATAAAATAAAAACTAAAAAGAAGATAATTTCTACACATTTCTCTATTACCCACCATCCTACCTAGGTCTGTACCCATAAACATAGATTTTTCTTCCAGTAAAAGGATTGAACACTCCACCTTTTTTTTTTTTTTTCTTCAGACAGAGTCTCACTCTGTCACCCAGGCTGGAGTGCAGTGGCGTTATGTTGGCTCACTGCTACATCTGCCTCCTGGGTTCAAGTGATTCTCCTGCCTTAGCCTCCCGAGTTGCTGGGACTACAGGCACCCACCACATGGGCCTGGCTAATTTTTATATTTTTAGTAAAGGCAGGGTTTCACCATGTTGGCCAGGCTGGCCTCGAACTTCTGACCTCAAATGATCCACCCGCCTCAGCCTCCCAAAGTGCTGGGTTTACAGGCGTGAGCCACCGTGCCCAGCTATGTTTTGTAAACACAAAATCAAATCCCGTATTTTTTACTCAAGGACTCTTTCTCACAATTAGTAAATATTTTTTTTCTTGCATCATCAATGTTTTTCTCTATACCTGATACACACACATACATGCACACACACACACACACACACACACACACACACACCTTTTTTCATTCATCCTCAGTGACATCCTACTTGGTTTACTTCAGAACTCACCAGATAGACCCATTCAGTCTATTTCATAAAGTCTCATCTTCCCAGTTTATAAATGATAGATGACTGTAGCGATCAGTATTTTGATAACTCATTTTCTATTTGCATTCACTTTCTAGGGGATCTCCTCCAAAATCATGGCTTTAATTACTCTGTATGTTTATGACTCCCAGATAAATATCTCTAGCTATACTTACTTTCAGGAAATCTAGTCACACATAACTAGGTACAGGTATTCAACATGAGGACAATAGTGGAAAACCTGACAGCATTTGAATAAACTCTGTAGTTTAAAAAATACTATTGTAACAATATTAATTTTCTACTTTTGACAAGTGTGCTATGGTTAAGACATTAACATTAGAGAAAATGGAAGAAAGATATAAGGGAGGTATCTTTACTATTTTTGCAACCTTTTTCTAAGTCTAGTATTAATTCAAAATAAAAAAGTATAAAAATTTTTAAAAAGCAAAAAAAAAAAATTATAGAGATGAGGAAATGCTTCATGGCCTTTGTTATGACCTAGAAGAATTGGAGAAAATACTCTAGAAACTACATAGAGACCATTCTGACAGTGAGAAAAGCTATCCAAAAGAACAGAAAAGGCAGAATTGGCTATGTTTGATGAACAAATTTTTGTGGAGCTCCAGTTACACACATTGGGCATGTTTGTGTTAGCCTGGGACTGTACTGAATTGAAATAGAAAGAACAAATGTCTTGCTTCTCAAAATATTTCAAACTAGAGAAGACTAAGAACCATTCATCACTAATTTTTTTTTTTTGTTTTTTTTTTTTTTTTTTTTTTGAGATGGAGTCTCGCTCTGTTGCCCAGGCTGGAGTGCAGTGGCGCTATCTCTGCACACTGCAAGCTCCGCCTCCCGGGTTCGCGCCATTCTCCTGCCTCAGCCTCCCTCATCATTCTTACTATAAGCAAGCTTTTACTGAGTGTGAAATGAAACTGATGGTCTTAATAAGCCTTTAGTGCTTTCAATTTTTGCCACTCTATGATCTTGCCTGGTGCTCTGTCTGCTATAAATGCTCATAATATGAACAAAATTAATTTCTGTCACCATCACCTTTCATTTTCACATTCAGTTGTACAACTGAATGTGATTCTCCCATCACCAAGAACGAATTTTTCCGATTATATGCTGCTAACCTTAATTGCTAGTTCAGCGTGTGTGTGTGTGTGTTTCCTTGTTTTCTAACACATTGTGCCTTGACCTTTAGTTAATCTTTGATCATTGTTTTGGGTATAATATAAACGCAATAACAATGTCACTTTAATTATAAACTCTTGACTATGGCTCTAATTTCATCTGTGAAATAATAGAAAGAAAATATGTGGGTGGCAAGTGTGGGAGTGAATTAGAAAAATCCATTATGTTCAAATCCCAGCAAGCATCTTTTCTGAATAGCTTCCACTCTAAGTGAATGTGAAAAATTGTTCTGACATTATCAGCAGACTAATAAACCCCTGAACCAGTCAGCTTCCTAGAAGTCAAAGACTTTTAAGTAAACACTATTGATGAAGTACCATCTTCTGTGGTAAGTTATGAAGGCTCCTGATACACTCAGTTAATCCTGATTTTAAATAACTAAGATACACATTTTCCACTATATAGATAAATAAAATTTATTATGTATTTCATATATATGAATAGAGAAAGTTGAATTTAATCTAAAAATTAAATTAATGGATCAAAAGTCAGTAGAGTGTAAGACTGAACACATAAACACATGGGCATTTGCTCACATCAGAATCACCCATCCAGAAAAAGAATGTACATATTTTTTTAGAGGAAGGTTTTCAAATTTTCAGGATCATCAGTGCTTCACAAATATAAATTAAATCATTAAACACTCAAAAATATTAACAATGAGAGTAAAACATAATATATCATTTAAAAATATTATTATTTTATTATAATACTGTGAGAAATGACAATATCTGTAGCCTTCTACCTAAGCTTCTATGGCTTGCTCCATGATCAATGGTTTGGGCTTTAAATCAACAAAGTTTTTTCTTATTCTTTATCTCTAGTAAATTAAAAATTTTAAAATAATTATGATTATCTAGGAATAGCAGAAATTATTTGGTTTGGGAAATAAAATATGCATCAAGGATTTAGTCCTTCCTATAGATTAAGATTAAATCGCACACTAGACTCAGAGGCATAGTACATGCCAAGGCATAGTACATGGATGTTTTCATGTTTTAACATGGCAGGCTGATGTATGGTGATTTCCTTATATACCCTTGGATTCCATTATCTTTGGAGAATATTTTGTCAGCTTTTATGTTAGTGTTTAAATATGGTAGTAATTGTGCTCACTAATAATAATAGTCTTAAATTCTCTAATGAATAAAGAAAATAATTTGCTGGTACAGAATAATAAAATTAACATTGATTACATCATTTTAAACATTACCAGTCTTAAAACAAACAGACAAAAAAAGTCTGAACAGCTGTTTCTGCTAATATGACTGGATAGCACTCGGATTGGTACCTGTACTGAAAAAACTAATAGTTCTGGATAAAATATAAAATATATTGCCTTAAAATCATTAGTTACATAATAATAATGTCAGAAGATTTCAGGTCAGAGACCTGAGTGGAGAGATGAGTCAGGGAATAAAAGTGTTTTCCTGCAGCCAGGTTTCATCTGAGGTCTCCCAGACTCTGTGAACTTGGAGTCAATTATTTAAAGCACCACAGAGAAGGGACAAGGCCCAAGCACAGACCACCCACAGTGGGGTATCAAAGGAATCCCTCAAAACCTAAGCCAGAACTCTGAGTGTTAAGTGGGAATGTGAAATATACTCCTTGGGTACCACATGGAATATTAATTCCTTTGTAACTCGCTATCAGTTGGAATGTCAAATACGAAGAAGGGTAATAAACAGACATGTGAAAAACATAACTGAGAATTTATATCCAAACATTTCTTATAATGCAGCTTTGCAGCCAAAATTCACTACTTGTATGAAGTCAAGAAGTCAAAAATTAAGAATTGGAAATCTTGCAAGGTACATTCAGGTGCTTGGCACATGTCATCTCAAAGGAACCCAGTTCTACTAAAGGTCATGAAAAAGCCCTAAAATCAATTTTTAAGGAAAACAACAAAGTTACAGTCAAAATATCTATTTACAGAGAGCAAAAATGAAACATGAGCTGCAAAAACAACCAAACCAAACCAAAACCAAAAAAAAAAACAAAAAAAGAAAATACACAGATACTTCATATAATTATGTAATTAGACAAAGATAATAAAATAAATATAATTACCTGTTCAAAGCTTAAGATTATATGCAAGGAATCTATGAACAATAAAAACACTTAAATAATAACAATAAAAAGTGTAACAGTTGGCTTTCACTGCAGTTTTTACAAAACTAAGCAAGATTATACATGTCCTAAGCAAGAATTAATGAACTAGAAGATGGAACAGTGGAATTTTTAGGCCTTGGGAGAAATGAAATTGTGAAGTCTTCAAAGTCATTTTATCACTTTTTAACTTTGATATTGAGTAGAAGAGTGGTTTTTTAATTCTTCAAAAGGTACATATGTGTTTTCTGACATTTTCCTTAAAGAATTGAATATTTCACAATATAAATGCAATTATTATCTTGATCCTGTTATCTTAAATATATTTTTTTAAAAAATGATCATTCTGTATATAAAATATGATGATGTTATGCTTATGAATTCATGACTATTAAGGACATTAGAAATTTTTCATGGCATTCCTTTGTTAAAGCTATTACAATTATAGAAGTAATATTTTCTGACATTCTTAGTATCATAGAAGCGTATTTTCATATAGCCCTAATTAAAAACAAGCAAATATACAAACACAAAACCATAACCTTTTTTTTTTTTCAAGTTTGCCTTGACATTCACTCCAATTTAGAATGGAAATACATAATCTGCAGTTCCTGCCAATTCTTCTCATTGATTGCTAGAAAATCATGTGAGGAATTTTGTTCATACTAAAGTTTATAAAATTTACTTCAATTTTGAATCAAAACTGCATAGCTTTTTAAATCTCAAATGTTCTCTTTGAATGTTAGATGGATTTGCATGCAAGTATTACTTCTTTAGCCATCATTAAAAGTCATAATTTTTAATTTGGTAAAATAATCTGCCTGGAATCCATAATAAATCTAGGCCAAATGTTAATTTGTACATAAATTCATCAAGATTTCCACCCTGTTGTAAAAAGAGTATCAGTCTTCATGCACTAAAGTCATGCTATTATCCTTCACAGTAAAATCCATTAATATGTTTTGTTTAAATAAATTTGCTATTGTTTCTGCTTTATTTGGGGGCATATTTATAATCCATATTGTGACTTGATTTATACAACTCCAAGTAAAAAGGTAAGTCATCCCTTTCTTAAACAAATATTATAACTTTTAATTATGTCTTTATGGTTTGAGCTTTTTTGTTTTTGTGGATAATATTTATAAATTTCACAAAGTGGTTGGTCTGGAACGTCGCTATTGGTTTTTCTAGTGGTTACTGTACTCCTTTTTAATATAATGTGATTCAATCAGTAACTAAATAAAACCATTTGATGATACTACATAATGGAAAGCAAAGTATGAGTCATTAGATCACTGATTCAGATGTCAAATATGCATCATTGTACTTCCATTTCACTGCTTGCGCAAACTATCATATTTGCAGATTGCCTTGTCTTGTCTATATGTAGAGATAGATAGATTCACATTCTATAATAAATAAAATCAGATTTCAGTGTTTTAGGTTAATTTTATGTTTTAGTCAACCAATTTAGAGCTTTTTTTCCAGAGATAAGCATTAAAATTTCCATGGAAAAAAAATAGTAGCCATAAGAACAAACAATGTATTTTACATTCAAAACACTGAAACAATGATAGATACATCACTTGAAAATATACAAGCCTGAATAAACAATTCTCCTAATAGAATGTTTACACAACATTAAGTGATGAAAGTAATCCTTGCAGCACATAAATTTAATTTCTTAAAAATAGGCAGTAGTCATGAAATTATAATTAATACATTCATATTTAGGAAATTATTTAGAAAAAATGTTACATTACTTTTTTTTCTGAAAAACAAATGAATGTGAAAAGTCTTGATTTACTTCTATTAATCACAATGGAGAAAGTAAGTTAAACGTATTAAAAGAAATCCAGTGTCACTAAACTGAAAGCACCACATAGAAGTAGAAAAGACTGGATAATGGAACATAAGTCATGCATTCTGTAATCAAAATTATACAATCTTTACACATTTCTTATTCCAGATGCTAGTTATCTTGATTTCCTTTGTACTAAAATATTGTTTGCTATAAATTTTATGTATTGGTCACTATTATGAATTGGACTTTTTAAGATTGTTATTTAAACTTATGCCTTTCATATATTTCTATAATGTAAAACTATTTTAAGCTAGCCACAACACATTTTGCTACAGATTATTTCATTCTACTTTGGGACATTACTTTGTGAGGTGGTGTAATTCAAATATATTTCCTTCTCTTTCAGTACTATTGTATATTCACTCAGCAAAATCATGGAACGATGGCATATGTTTTTATATTCAAGCAGATTTTGAATAGTAGTGAAACTTTGTCAAGAATTTTTTTTTCTTTGCGTTTAAACAAAGATCAGACTTTCAAGTATAAAGTCTTTGTCAAGTATAAGCAGTCCTAAATAATACTCTTCATGTTTACTACTGGAAAAAAATCCATGAAAGGCCTAAAAATGTGTTTTCTTTTAATTTGCAAGATGTCTAGGCACCTGCCCAAGAGTTGTTTATTTATTTTTTGTAGCGATTTAGTGAGGGCAGCCCTTAAAGACCACTTTTACTTTTCTAGGGAGAGATAAGAAAATTTAAGCCACACCCGAGAGAATACCACCTATTTCCTCATACTACTTTTGTTTTCTTTTGTAAATCACTTACATGTATATTGCCAATGGGGCTTCGTATTATAAAATAATTTCTGTGAGTTTAACAAATGTTTTTAAGAGAGAGGACTTGGAAAGTGACAAAATTTCTCAGTTCAAGGAACTTGGAAAGAGACTACCTTAAATCAGGTGGTTTTTAAAAATTGTTTTTATTGTTGTAAAATATATGTAACATAAAATTTACCATTTTGACATTTTTTAAGCGTATAGTTCAGTGGCATTAAGTACATTCACGTTGTTATATCTTCATTGCATCAACCATCGCCATTATCTATCTCCAGAATTTTTTCATCATTTCAAACTGAAACTTGGTATCCATTAACCAATAACTCCCCATTCCCCTTCCCAACCCCTTGTAACTACTACTCTACTTTCTGTTTCTATGAATTTTAATATTTCAGGTGTCTCATGTAAATAGGGTCATACAACATTTGTACTTTTCTGTTTTGCCTAGTTGGCATAATGCCATCAAGGTTTATCCATATTTCAGTATGTATCAGAATTCAGTTCATTTTAAGGCTGAATAATATTCTATTATACATATGCCACATTTTGCTTTTTTATCTATTGATGGACATTTGTGCTGGTTGTATCACTTGGGTATTGTAAATAATGCTGCTATGAACATTGGTGTACAAATATCTGTTTGAGTCCTTGCTTTCAATTCTTTGGAGTATATGCCCAGAAGTGAAATTGCTGGTTATATGGTAAGTCTATGTTTAATATTTACTGGTTTCCATAGCGACTGCATGATTTTACCTTCCCATAGCAATGTATATGAATTTTAATTTTTCCACATACTCCAAAACAGTTGTTATTTTTTAACTGTGTGTTTTTTTCTTTTTTTATAATAGCCATGTTAGTGGGTGCAAAGTGGTATCTCATTATGGTTTTGTTTTGTATTTTACTAATAAATAGTAATGTTGAATATCTTTTAATGTCTTTATTGGTCACTTGTGAATATTGTCTTTGAAAAAAAGTCTACTCAAGCCTTTTGCTCATTTTTAAAGTGTTGATGGGCTATTTTTGGATGTTGAATTGTAGAAGTTTTTAAAATATGTATACTAGTTATTAATCCCTTATGAGATATGTGATTTAAAAAATATTTTTTCTTCCATTTTGTGAGTTGTGTTTTTCATTCTTGATAATCACCTTTGATGCATAAAAGTTAGAAATTTCGATGACATACAGCTTACCTATTTTTTAATTTGTTGTCTATGCTTTTAGTACTAGATCCAAAAAACTACTGTTAAATACAATGCTGTGAATCTTTTGTCTTATGTTTTCTTCTAGAGTTTTATAATATTAGGTCTTACATTTAGACTATGAAACTATTTTTAAGTTAATTTTTATGTGTCATGTTAGGAAAAGTCCAACTTCATTCTTTTGCATGTGGATATTTAATTTTCCCACCACCATTTGCTTTTGCAGAAATAGAAAAACTCGTCCTAATATTCATCTGGAATCTCAAGGGACGTAATAGCAAAACCACATTGTAAAAATAGAACAAAGATGGAGATTTGACACTTCTTTATTTCAAAAGTAAGCTACCATATTGAAAACAGTATGGTACTGGCATGAAAGGCAAACACTTAGACCAATGGAATTAAGGAGAGAGCCCAGAAATCCTCAAATGTATGCTCAAATGATTTTCAACAAAGTTGCTAAGACAATAGAGAAAGAATAGTCTTTCTAGGGTTGTTCTTTTGTTTGTTTGTTTGTTTGTTTTAGTGATGAGAAATTGATGAACAACTAGCTGGGTCTCTAGATGGAATATTGAATATGATCACATCACACTGAATAAACTATATACAAATTCCTTATTTTAAGTTGGTGACTCAATTTTCTTTATCTGTAAAGTCGGTCTTCTTGATTCAAATTTCTCTTATCACCTCCCAATGTGAATCAGTAAGGTATATGCTGCTTACACATTATTATAAACTCATTTATAATTTCCCCATCATAATGTGACATAATATATGTATTATCTATTTCTCCTTTTTACCTGTAAGTTTCTTGAAGATAGCAACTTTGCTTTATTTATTTATTTATTTATTTATTTATTTATTTATTTATCTATTTATTTACTTTTTGGTTGAGACGGAGTTTCGCTCTTGTTGCCCAGGCTGGAGTGCAATGTCACAATCTTGGCTCACCGCAACCTCTGCCTCCCAGATTCAAGTAATTCTCCTGCCTCAGCCTCCCGTCTAGAAGTTATTCACCTTGCAAACTGAAACGTTATACCAATTTAACGTAAACCCCCATTTTTCCCTTGCCCTCGCCGCTATGGTCTCCATTTTACTCTCTGCTTCCATGAGTTTGACTATTTTAAATAGTCATATTACTGGAAGAATTGATTATTTTTTCTTTGTGACTAGCTTATTTCACTTAGAATAATGTCCTCTAGGTTCATTCATGCTGCCACATATGGTAGGATTTCCTTCTTTTCTAAGGCTGAATAATATTCCATTGTATATACATACTACAGTGTTTTTTTTTTCTTATCGATTTATCTGTCGATAGACATACAGGTTGTTTTCATATCTTGGCTATTATGAATAATGTTACAACAAACTTGGGAGTTCAGCTATCTATTCAAGATCCTGATTTCCATTCTTTTGGATATATGCTGAGAAGTGGGATTGCTGGATCATATGATAGCTCTATTTTTAATTTTTTGAGGTTTCTCTACTGTTTTCCCTAGTGGCTGTACCAATTTACATTCTCACCAGCCTTGTGCAAGAACTCCTTTTTCTCCACATCCTTGTCAACGTTTGTTACCTCTTGTTTTCTTGATGATAGTCATCCTAACAGGTGTGGGGTGATATCTCATGATATCTCATTGCATTAATTTTTTTTCTTTCCAACTTGTATTTTAGGTTCAGTGGGTACATGTAGAGGTTTGTTGTAGAGTTTTTTTTTTTTGTTTTTTTGTTTTTTGTTTTTGTTTTTTTTGTCTGTGTTTCTCTCCAAATATCAGCTTTATTCATTGCTCTAGAAAGATAATTCTCAGCCTCTCTGGTATTCATGATGAATGATTGATTATTATACATTTACATGTCTCAGCCCTAGTCCTATGTAAAAGATATGTAACAGTTTCATTATCAAAATTCCACATTCTCAAGAGAAGATACCCAGTTTTTGAAAACCAATATCATGTAACATGAATAAAAATTCCTGAGCCCCATTACTATGGCTATTGTGGCTGGCAGGGTTGATTTGCCGTTAAAAAATGATAGGAATTTTAAGTTTGTCCAGAACCCAAATCTAATTTCTTTATTTCATTTTAAATGTAATTGAAAAGTTTCTAACACAAGGTACATGACATTGAATTGTGGATATCTGGACAAACTGTGGCACAATGTTTGTGAACTTCAGATTCCAATTTCAAATTGGACTGAATTTTTCTTAAATGTAGTTTCTGTTTTTAATAAATCAAAATAAATAGCCAATTGCCTTAGACTGTTTTTTAAATGCTATTCAAATCAATTTGAAAAAAAAAATCCATCAAGGAATGGCCCAGTTGCAAGGAATTAAGCAGAAAGAGATTCTAAAAGTTTTGTTTTCTAATCATCAAATGAATAATGGTGATCAAACAATGAATTATTACACTAATATGATAAATTTCTTTGTTTATATATAGCTATAAAAGCCCCAGTATTTTTTTATAAAGCAAGCAAAACTTCTAACATCCTCTTTTGCACAATAGAATAATCTATTTTACAATATTACTTATGAGTGAATTTAGATAGAATGATTGTTTGGGAATGTGATGGGGGTTTGGTATTGAGATTTATGTAACTGAGTAAGAAGATCACTTTTTTTTTTTCCTTTTTATGTCACCTCACCAGGAAAAGAAACTATTGAGAAACCAATCTTGTGAAAATGATAATTGATGTCATGGAAAATAAATAGGTTGAAAACAGCTTGATAGTTAAAAGCTTTAAGTGATTCCTCAGCTCAGCCCTCAGTGGGATGCTTTTCTCATTCAATGACTAGATGAACTCATCTGATGTGCACCACTTAATGCAATTTGAATTAGAAAATGCTTTGATTAGACAGGAGGCAAGACATAAGAGATGAGAAACTATTCTTATTCCATCCTGCAAGGTTTGAACATACATGAACATTAAGAGGCAAATTGACTTTGTAAAAATTTGAGAAGTGGGTAAATTGCGTAGTCTCTTATAAAGTGGATCTCATTAAGAATGACATTTTAAGTCATCATGTCTTTCTGGAAGCAAACTAACATTTTAAATAGGCTCAGGCTAGTTTAGTTTATTGACACATTTCAAAATACTATATTCTTATCACTATTGTTATGAAAGGATTTCTAACCAAGCATTTAGTGGCGATGAAAGGTAGTAACACAGTACTTTCAGGGAGAGGTTACACTTGGTTATCCTTATGGAAAAACTAAAAATAAATTCAAGTTCTACTTTACACTATTATTACATAAGAAAGTTGAACAATTGAGTTATAGTGAACAACTCTTCCCAGTATTCATCTCGACAAGTTGCAGATCTATTCATTCATTCATCAACAAATTCAGCAGGATTTATGGAGCAGCTACCACTTACCAAATTGACCTTATGGTTGTACTTTGAGATTTTAGTAAGAATCAGCCTTGTTATGTGACTTCTACTGAATGGGCACTTGAGAAAATAGTATGTATATCATTTTTCTTGTATTTCCCTCATCGTTTATTATTCTTAAAAATATATAAATTATTTTATAACATCCACAAATTTATTTGCTATCTTATTAAACATGGTGTAATTAAGAAAATGGTAAAGGAAAGATATAAGGATAAAGACAAGAATAATTGATATATAAAAATAAGGATGATTGCAAATAAAGCAAAGAAATGAAGAAAAGCAGAAAATAAAGGGAAAATTTTGCCTTTTTAAATTAATGGGGAATTATAAATAAGAACTAAAACCATTCACCCTTTTTTTTTTTTCTGAAAAAAATCATGCCGTGTTAATCAGGTGTTTTTTTAGCTCCAATGTAATTGGCCGACAGGTTCATCTTGCTCACTGCCCAGAAAAGCCAATACACAGAGAACAGCAGGTGTTACAGCAAAAAAGAGTTTAATCATCACAGGGCCAGACAGGTGAGGGGGACAGAAGATAATTTTCAAATCTGCTTCCCCAAGAATTTAGATGCTTGGATTTTTCAAGGATAGGTTGGTAGACAGAGGGGCTGAGGAATAGAGGAATGCTGATTGGTTGGGGCAAGGATGAAATTATAGGGAGTTGAAGCTGTCTTCTTGCACTGAGTCAATTCCTGGGTTGGGAGGCACAAGGGCAGTTGAGTCAGTTTCTTAGTATGGGTTATTGATCTGGGTGGAGTCAGCTAGTGCATCAGAATGAAAGCTCTGAAAACATCTCAAACACCAGTCTTAGGTTTTATAATAGTGATGTTATCTATAGGAGCAATTGGGGAGGTTACAATTCTTATGACCTATGGCTACATGACTCCTGGATCATAATTCTAACCGTGTGGCCAATCTGTTATTTTTACAAAAGCAGGTTCAGCCCCAAACCAGGGAGATTAGTTCTGGGAAGGGACGGTTATCACCTTTGTTTTAAAGTTAAACTATAAACGAAATTCCTCCCACAGCTAGCTTGGCATATGCCAAGGAATAAGCAAAGACAGTTAGCTTGTGAGGTTAGAGGAAAGATGGAATCATCTGTATTAGATTTCTTCTTGCTATCATAATTTTTACAAAAGCAACTTCACTATGTCGTATATAAATTGGTTAAGAAATTTTCCAGAAAAGTTATTGTAATGCAGAACAGGAACTATAATATATGAGCTTTCCTCCCCACCCCCCCATGGAAGTTTCATTTCATTGGTTGAAAAATTTACACCCACAATAGTGTATAAAATTTCTCTTGGGCCCATGCCCTTACTAATGCTTGGTATTGCTGTATTTTTCTTTCTTTTTTTTCTTTTTGAGATGGAATCTCACCCTGTTGCCCAGGCTAGGTGCAATGGCGTGACCTCAGCTCACTGCGACCTCTGCCTCCCAGGTTCAAGCGATTCTCCTGCCTCAGCCTCCCGAGTAGCTGGGATTACAGGCGCGCGCACCACCATGCCCAGCTAATTTTTTTTTATCTTTAGTAGAGACGGGGTTTCACCATGTTGGCCAGGCTGGTCTAGAACTCCTGACCTCATGATCCACCCGCCTCAGCCTTCCAAAGTGCTGGGATTATAAGCATGAGCCACCATGCCCAGCCTATTGCTGTATTTTTCTATTTTTACAAAATGATGAGTATGAAATAATGTGTCATTTTGTACACTAATTGGCAACATAGGCTTCTTTTTGTGAATTGTTTGTGAACAACTTTATTTTTCTATTAAAAGTTATTTTGTTTCCTCTTTTCTTTTCCTGTTTCCTTCCTTCCTCCGTCCTTTCCTTTCTTCTTTCTTCTTTTGGTTTATGAGACTTCTGCGTATATTTTGCAGAATAGTCTTTCATTATCTAAATAAATTATAGGGCCAGTCATGGTGGCTCATGCCTGTAATCCCAGAAGTTTGGGAGGCCGAGGTGGGCAGATTATTTGAGGGCAGGACTTTCAGACCAGCCTGGCCAACATGGTGAAACTCCATTAGCCAGTTGTGGTGGTTTGTGCCTGTAGTCCCAGCTACTCAGGAGACTGAGGCATGAGAATCACTTGAACTCAGGAGGCAGAGGTTGCAGTGAGCCAAGATTGTGCCACTGCACTCCAGCCTGGGCAACAGAGTAAGACCTGTGTCAAAAATATATGTAAATACGAAAAGAAGTTTTATAAATTAAATTTGACTTTATGCTTTCTGGTTATTGCTACTGACATAGAACCTTGTCTCAGAATTCTCAGTTGTCATTTCTATTTCATTTAATCACTGAGGATAAATGAGAAGAAAAAAAAACAAAGCTGAAAGGAGTCCTATTATTAGGCAAAAAGTAGTCTTAAAGTGGAACTTTAAAGAATTCAATGAAAACTACTCAAGCCTCATGCCAAGGCCTTGGAACAAAAAAGTACGGGCTTTAAAAGACTAAAATTTCAATCTATTTTATTTTTGTTTATCAAATTTTCAGGCTGCCCTACCCTTGCTCCTTCTTGTGGAATTGGTATGATTTCCCTGTCTATTAACGTTGGGCTTGCAATCTGACTTTCTCTGGGGACTGGAATGTAGTTAAAAGTGACAGCATGTCAGTTTTGAGTAGAGACTAAAGATGGATTATGAATTTCCTTAAGCTTGTGTTCTAACAATCCACTGTGAGAACATCATGCGCCAGGGAGAAACTGCTCTTTTAGCAAGGGCGGCGGAACGATAAGACACCCTACAGCCTGTAGCAGTGCTGCTAT
Organism: Homo sapiens; assembly: GCF_000001405.40. Lineage (NCBI taxonomy): Eukaryota > Metazoa > Chordata > Mammalia > Primates > Hominidae > Homo > Homo sapiens. The sequence goes on along the minus strand of NC_000004.12, from coordinate 32,681,017 downwards.
GGTTGACACAGAGCCTCATGCATTAAACATAAATATTGTTGTTTTTAGCCATGGATATCTGGGGGTTTGTTATGCAGCATTACTATATAAAAGTTAACTTATACTTAAAGCCAGTGTGGATGAGGCATGATGATAAAAGTGATGGAAGCATTAGGTATCGCTAGAGAGCTAGTTAAAGGAAATGTTATTCAGGGTTTTGTACAGTAGGAAAAGGCTTTTTCCTGAATTCTGAGTATACTAAGAAGCTATTGAATAATTTACAAAAGATAGCACTTATTAATCATGAAAAAGTTGGATAGGAGGGAGTAAGTGTAAGACTGAGAAGGTATAGCATTATAAGCATTAGGGGTGAAAAGAAACAGGCGTAGTCAAGAAAAATACCTAGAAGTTAGAAATGACATGGTTTGATGATAATAGGTGCAACGTATGAATAGGGGAAGGGAGAATGTAAAAGGTGATTTCTAGAAATCTATTTCAGTTATAGAATAAATGGCAATATAATTTATTAAGATAAGCAAATCTTGGAACACACTTTGGCAAGAAGATTAAGAGTTTAGGTTGGATAATATATTTGAGTTTCCAGTAACATATGTAAAAAGCTGTTTTGAATTATTTTATGTACAAGTTTGATGTGAGGAGAGAGATGAAGTAGAATTAAATATCTGGAATCATTGATACATAGTTGTATTTTTAAAGACATGGTAGTAAATTATTTCATACAGGAGGAGAAGTATATTGAGACAAGAAGAGATTTGGAGCAACACCCTAAGGCTTTTCATTATTTAACAATCAAAAGAGGTAAGAGACTGCAAAGACGATTAAAAAAAAAATTTAAAAGAAGAAAACTTACAAGAGTACAGTACCTTAGAATTCAAAAAATGCATGTTCAAAAAAGGGAAGACTGATAACTATAATGAATATTGCTGAGAGGTTAAGAAAGATAAGAAGTGGCCTGGCGCGGTGGCTCACGCCTGTAATCCGAGCACTTTGGGAGGCCGAGGCGGGTGGATCACGAGGTCAGGAGATCGAGACCATCCTGGCGAACACAGTGAAACCCCGTCTCTACTAAAAATACAATTAGCCGGGCGTGGTGGCGGGCGCCTGTAGTTCCAGCTACTCAGGAGGCAGGAGAATGGCGTGAACCCGGGAGGCGGAGCTTGCAGTGAGCCGACATCGTGCCACTGCACTCCAGCCCGGGCGATAGAGCGAGACTCCGTCTCAAAAAAAAGAAAAAAAAAAAGAAAGATAAGAACTACAATATATTCATTATATTCATTAGATTTGGCCATATTTTATTCACTGAGCACTGTTTTTACAGCGATTATGGTTGAAGTGGAATTGGAGCCTTTTGAAGAGCAAAGGAGTTCTGCTTTCAAAATAAAGTTGACTAGGTATAGAGGGATCTTCTCAATACAGAAAAGTATATTCTTCATAATGCACATTCTTTGAGTTATCACTCATCTCATAAGTAAAGGAGGTCTCCAACAATGCTTCCTCCAAATAACATGCATGGTCTGGGACCAGAGTAGCAAGAAGCCAAGTTAGGTATTCTTGTCCTGAGGCTGGGTGCAGATAGCAGCAGCAGAGCTGTGCTGAAGCTGAATCCAAGAACCTTAAACTGAGCAGAGCCCTGGAGGAGGAGGGACTTAGTTTGTGTTAACATGGTAGTTCCTGGTGTTAGCTGGATGCTGGAAGAAGCATAAAGAGAAGCAAATTCTTTACGGAATGAAGCTTCCAATATTGCAGCTCAAAGAACCTCCAAATATTAAATCAATTATTGTGAGCTCAAAGATAGCACATTAAAAAGCAAGTCACCTTCAGTAAGTCAGCGGATAATACAAACAGGTAGTTACCAGAGACCTGAAAGTGTAAGAGGGAGGCGATGAAGGAAATATTTGAATGTATTTATTACCACTGTGCCGTACATCTTAAAATGATAACAATGGTAAATTTTATATGTATATTTTACCTCAATGTAAACAAATGACAGACTTCAATCCTTCCAAACTGAAGGTATAGGAAATATCTAACAACGAGTATAGAATAACTATGTACAAAATGTTAAAGAAATAAAGAGCTAAATAACAAAGATGAGAAAGCAGTAAGAATATTTCAGAAATGGACAGGAAGATTAAAAGAAACATCACTTCTAAAAATGAAATTTCTAGAAATCTCCTTAAATTAAAGAGAAAAAAACAAGCAGAAAATGTATCATAAGAAACTATGCAAAATATAGCACTGAGAAATAAGGACATATGAATTATTTAAGTGACAAAGAGAGGCAAAGTATTTTCAGTTCTGGAATTACTTTTCATGGTGACTTTTTTAAGGGCCAATAAAAGAAATGAAATAAGTTCTGATATAGAATCAAAAGAGATATATGAATAAGAAAAAGAAAATCCAAGAATTAGCCAAATTAATTTGCAAAACAGTAGGAAAAACAAACAAAAAGAAACAAACATTTAAAAACTGAACAAGATGATGCACGATGTAGAAAAATATATAAAATGTATCAACAGTGAATTATGAACACACTAAATTCTCTCAATAAGAGACATAGTCATAATGGATTTTTATTTTAATCTAATTATATATGAATTATTAAGTCTACAGTTTAGTTCTTGGTGTTGTGTAATTGATGTTGTAGAGGTACAGTTATGTATAATACAAGTTATTGATAATGCAGTTTATGGGTTAGATGAGAAAGCACAGCTATTTTTTGTGTTACTGTACCTAAAAAGTTATATCTGCTGCATATAAATCTGTATGTGTCAAATATATCACAATTACTATAAGATAATTTTTATAAAAAGAGTTTGTAAGGGGAAAGAGAGTGAAGTGAAGGGGAAAAAGAGAAAATCATATGTATAGAAAACTCATGCCAGAAGCTGGGCTCTGATCATAGCATGAAAATAGAGTCAGAGTATAAGAAGGATGTGAATTTAGAAATGTCTACTTTTTAAATTATTTTTAACTTCTATTTTAGGTTTGGGGATACGTGTGCAGGTTAGTTATACAGGTAAACTCATGTCATGGGGTTTGCTGTACACATTATTTCATCACCCAGGTATTAAGTCTAGTATCCAATAGTTATTTTTGCTGCTTCTCTGCCTCCTCCTACTCTCCACCCTCATATAGACTCCAGTATCTATTGTTCCCTTCTTTTTGTTCATGAGTTCTCATCATTTAGCTCCCACTTATAAGTGAGAACATGTAGTATTTGGTTTCTGTTCTTGAGTTAGTTTGCTAAGGATAATAGCCTCCAGCTCCATCTATGTTCTTACAAAAGACATAATATCATTCTTTTTTATGGCTGCATAGTATTCCATGTCTATATGTGCTACACTTTTTTTCATCCAGTCTGTCACTGATGGGCATTTGGGTTGATTACATGTCTTTGCTATTGTGAATAGTGCTGCAATAAATATTTATGTGCTTGTGTCTTTATAAGAGAATGATATATACTGCTCTGGGCATATAACCAGTAATGGGATTACTGAATCAAATGGTAGTTCTGTTTTTAGCTCTTTAAGGAATCAACATACAGCTTTCCACAATGGTTGAACTAATTTACACTTATACCAACGTGTACAAGTGTTCCATTTTCTCTGCAACCTCACTAGCATCTGTTATGTTTTGACTTATTTCTGTAGTTCAGTTCAGTCTTACTTTATGTCAAATAGAAATATTACAGTTGAAAAAAATACCCTATTTTAACTGTTTCTTAAGCCCCCAAAACATAGACATTTAAATGTTTCCAATTTTGTGTCAATGATGTTGTAAACAGAAAATTTATACATTTCTATTCATTCATTAGTGTAATATGTAAATATCTCAGTCATAAATTCCAGAATTTATGTCTAAGAGGAATAGGCATGGAATGCCTTTTAAAAGATACTGCCAATCGGACTTAAAAAAAAAAAAAAAGATATCAACTAGGAGACATAGCAACAGCACCTGCTTCCACATAGCTCATTTAAATTGAGTTCAATTTAAACCTGTAAATTGAGTGTTTTACAGGTTTGATAATACAATAGCCTAAAATGATATTTTTCATGTGCCTATTATTATGATTCATAGAGAGTTTGAGTGGTTTTTTTTTCTTCCTTTTAAAGGCTTATGCTTTCCTCCTTTTTTTATTACTGTGAATTATTTTTTCCTTTTACTACTATATTTTCATTTACTTATTGACATGAACCTTGATATGGTTTGGGTCTCTGTCCCCATCCAAATCTCATGTCAAATTGTAACTCCAATGTTGGAGGTGGGGCCTGGCGGGAGGAGATTGGATCATGGGGACAGATTTCCTTTTTGGTGCTGCTCTTGTGACAGTGAGTGAGTTATTTTGAGATCTGGTTGCTTAAAAGTGAGTAGCACCTCTCCTCTCTTCCTCCTGCTCTGGCCGTGTGAACACATGTGTGCTTTCCCTTTGCCTTCCACCATAATTGTAAGTTTCAGGAGGTCTTCCTAGCCATGCTTCCTGTACAGACTTCGGAACTGTGAACGAATTATACCTTTTTTCTTTATAAATTACCCAGCCTCAGGTGGTTTTTTATAGCAGTGTGAAAATGAACTAACACAACTCTTAATGTAACTAGCCAATATTTAGCCAAATCATTGATTTCTATTTTAATAAATTGGATATTATTATGACAAAATAAATAAATTATGGATGTGTGAGAAATTCTTAAACATTTTAGTTTGTTCCATAAAATTTGACACATACAATATATAATGTATATTAAATATTAATCATTAAAGACAGATAGAATGGGAATGCCAGTCATTCAAATTCTATAAGTAAGAAAAGTGCCATTTCAGAGTGAATTTATCTTACAATGTAACCTTAAATTTAGAACTCCACAAAATGAATTTCAGGTAAATGAAAGAAACAAATCCGTTCTGTGTTAGTCAAAAACTGAGAATCATTTGTAAATATATGAGCATCAATTTTTGATGACAGAAATCAAATATGACAGAAAGAGAAAGCAATTCTTTCTCAAAAGTAAAAAATGCTAATTTTTTGTCAGATTAATGAGATTATAAATTTTTTCCACATATTTTAAAACTTTACTGTTCACCAGTGCCATGGAATATTTATCTTTTAATATAACAATTTTAAAGATAATCACAATTTATATAAACAGATAAACATGAGATACTTTTTACAAAAGTGCCAAAATTGGATTACCATATTTCCAATTTGTTACTGCTCTATCTTTCAAAACTGTATACCAGCTTAAAACAGTAAGTAATTATCTAATGGATATATATATTTCTGTTTTTATTTTTTATTTAACATTACATTGTAGATGCTAATTCAAGTTTCTATGTATACTTCTTATTTGTAATATTGATATAAAAGAACGTGCACAGCTATTACACTGTGATGGACATTTATTGTAACTTTTTTTAAAAAGATGATGCTGTACTGAATCTATTTATACACATTTTTCTTCTTTTTACATATTTCCTGAGGTTAAATCACTTAGAGGAGGTTTACTGGGTCATATACTTTTCAATCCTCTGCTTATGTAATTTTGCAGAGATTTCTGAAATGTGAATATCAATTTATGAAACAATTTAGAACAAATCAGAGTGTTTAAATTACAATCTTTCAGTCCCTACCCTCTGTTCCCACAAATAATCACCACAATTTAACAATTTATTTTATGTTTTATGCCAATTTCTCTAAAAAGGTATTGAAAATCTCTAGAGAAATTTCATTTCCTTAGTTTTTTAATTAATATATTGATAAGAATGACTATTTCACATACCTTGTTAATACTTTGTATCCTTTTTGTGTGAAATTACATTATACTTCATCTAATGAGATGTGATTTTTTTTCTATATGTTGTTTCTTGTTTATTATAAATATTAACCTTTACTTAGATTTATGGATATCTATTTCTCGATCTTTATTTAAGTTATCATTGTCATTTTCTACTGGAAGTTGAGTCAATGCAGAAATAGAGAGACCAGTAAGAAAGATACTAACTGCAAAGTAGACCACAGTGCTTTGAGCTAAGAAAATGGAGGTAAGGATGGAAAAGTGAGCACTGAGAAATATTTTGAAGGAAAAAAATTCACTTACATGATAAGAAATGTAAAGAGAAAAGAAAGATCAAAACTGAGTCTCAGATTTCTGCTTTAACCAATTAGGATTTTTGTACCATTTTTTCAGATGGAAAAGTCACAAGCCTACCAGGTATGGTTGTGAAACTTGTGTACTGTACAGAAATGTTGAAAAAAATAGGTGACTTTGTACTCAAATCTAGCTCTCGATCTGCTTCCTGAGATAGTTGTCCATAGACTGCCCCTTCCAGGAAGGCTATATCTTGCTTATTTATGGTAAAGCATTGTATAAGCTATTAGTGGCCAGTAGTGTTAGGAGGAAGAAACTAAAATTAGGTCTTGATGTATTAGGTTTGGGATGCCTTTGAGACATTCAACGCAGATTTTAAGAGTAAGTTGAAATTGGTTCTTATTAACTGTTAATGATATAATTAATACAAGACACATGGCTGAGGTCCTTGAATATAATTAGTTTTTTAATCAATTATAACTAATATCGTTATTATAGCCCAATCTAGAATTATGAGGATAATTATAGACCTCTATTTTTTCCTCTCTTACATATTTACCCATCTACCTGTTATCGCTACTACTTCCTGAAATATGTTTATTTTTTATCTCATCTTCCAAGATCTGTAATAATAATTTATATAATAATTTTCTAGCTGTCATTATTTATTTTGATTGCCCTATTCCTCAATAAACACAGGATAAAATATAAATTTCATATGTGGCCTATAAGGATCACTGTGATTTGCTCACAACATATCTATTGCCTTTTAGTTTTCCTAGACTGTTGCGCTACTAAACTACTTCCAAGTCTTGCTATGTGTCATGGTGTTTGCCTTATTCATGCTTCCATACATGTGATTTTCTTTACTTGGAGAAACTTTTCCAACAAGTTGTCCACAGGATTTTGAATACCTTCTAGAAACTTGCAGAAATATCTGGAAAGACAGTTATCTACTTCTGGTTGTGCATTTAAGCTTGGATTCACTTTTGACTAGAACTTAATAATTTAGAGACAGTATTCTTTGGGTTACTGATGACAATAATTTAAATAGGATACAGAAACCAAGCATACTATTAATTGTTGCCTATTTGTGACAGCATATTTACTGTGTTCCATGCATTTTAAAAAGCATAAGCATATATACATATATATGCAGTAATGATACATGTGTATATATTTTTAATAATTTTATATATAACTTTACATATATATGTATAGTGATGATATGTGTATCAATTTTATCTTCATGAAGAGTAGTGGTATGTTTTGGATGTTTGTCCCCTCCATACCTCATGTTGAGTTGTAATCTCCAATGTTGGAAGTGGGTCCTGGTAGGAGGTGTTTGAATTATGGGTGTAGATCCCTCCTGAATTGGCTGGGTGTCATCCTTGAGGTAATGAGTGAGTTCTCAGCTATGAGTTCAAGTGTGATCTGGTTGTTTAAAAGAGCGTGGAACTTCCTTCTCACTCTCTTGCTCCCTTTCTCACCATGTGACACACTGGCTCCCCTTTGCCTTCCCCTGTGATTATAAGCTTCCTGAGGCCCTCACCAGAAGTAAATGCTGGCACTGTGCTTCATACACAGCCTCCAGAATTGTGAGCCAATTAACCTTTTTTACTTATAAATTATCCAGCCTCAAGTATTCCTTTTCAACAGTGCAAATGGACTAACACAGTGGCAATAAGGAAATAATTTCTTAGCAAGGTTAAGTCCTAATAACTTGCCCCAGGCTTTAGATTTAATCTCAAATCTCTGTGACTATAAAACCCATATCCTTTTTCACCAGATGTGTTTTTTAAAACTCAGTTATTTGTTTCTCCATAGCTGATTCTGACCACTTGGGTGTGAAACCAACACATTTTTCTTAAAAATTATGTCCCTAAAACTTAAAGAAAAGGGTCCTCTTCTGCGTAAGTCTCTCCATGATGCTAAGTTGTTTCATCAGCTGTCTCTAATTTAGGCAGAACTATTTTTTTTTCTTTTGTTTTTTCCTAAACACAAGCCACAAACTCATGAAACTGGCAAAAATAAAGAACACAAACACAGGCTCACTGGTGATTGGTTGGCTCAAGACTAGGAAATACTATTACTTTGAAAAATTACTTGATTGTCAGTAGTCACATATGCACATAAGGAGACAAACATGCCCACACATAAGGAGACAAACATACCCACACATATGTCAAGTTCCCCAGGCTGACTTTTGTCTTTGGCCTATCATTTCTCTAATAGCTTGCTTACTAGAGTCATAAGTTGAAGTTTCTACCCTGCACAGGGCAACCAGCTTAAACACTGCTTTCAAGTTGCCATTTTCTTCCCCTTAATGTTTCTTCATTGTGAGTGCAATAAAGTCTAGGCTCTTTAACTTGGATTAATGACCCTTCAAAACTACACTTGAGCCCGATCTCACATCTCTCACTGCTCCCCTACTGACTGTTAACTTTCCTTCAAATAAATCTTGAACTTAGATTCTGTTTGGCTTCACTTAGACAACTGTCCCCCCTTAAATATATTACCATTTGTTTTCCTTCAAACTATACCTTCAAGGTCTAGCCTTTCCTGTGTTAATCTCAAATGCACTCTCATTTTCTGTCCCAAATCCATTTCTCTTTAAGCGTCACTGTTGTTAAAGGCAGTGCTTTTACTTTAATATTTTCTTTTCCTACATTTCACTATAACTGTTATAATACGAAGTGCTAAGCTATTTTTTAAAAAATCTTGACCACATGATGCCTTTTTCAAGTAACCCTGTATATGTATTGATTAGTATTAAAGCAAAATATTGAGGACACGTAACATAAAATAAGTTGATTCTTATCATAACTGCCACATATATGGTTATTAATTAGAAGTAGCTCATTTATTAATGTAGATATTTAGATTTCTATTTATTTGTTGATATAGATTATCTATAGATTTCTTTTTATTTGGGCCAGATATTGACTTCTGAGAAAAAATATCTAGTTCAATGTGTGAACGTGAATATTTATACTTTGCCTCATCTGTAACTATAAATCTCTCTCTAGATAGGTAGCTACATAGATAAACATACAAGTATATATAAATATCATATGTTTTTTAAAATATATATTTACTTATGCACGCACATATATTCCTGTACACTCTGTATGCCAACTGCTGTTGAAATAAATGTAGCTAAAATATTGTGCACCACAAGTGGAAACAGAATAGAAGGACAAAAGCAGAAACAATTAAATATATATATATAACAATCAGCCAATACTTTCTGATTTCAGGTTAATCATTTGTAAAATGAAATGAATGCCCATATGTACACTTGTTTTGAGACATATGTGATATATGTGAATTGGTTTTGAAAACTTGGAAGCACTATATAATAAACTAGTAAACATTATGTTATTATGCACACACACACAAATGTACTCAATCAGTATGGTTTATGATTAAAAACTCCATTTCCATTATCAATATTTTTGTGTTATGTCAAATGTACTCTCATTTTTTCATCAAAAATCCATCACTTTCAAAGTCTTGCTGCATTGAAAGTAGTAATTTAATCTTGGTATTTTTTGTCTACCGTTCACTAACACTATTATAATACTAAGTGCTATGCTATAATGCTTTAGTCCTAACCATTTCATCATAAAGAAATAAAATTTATTATGAATACCCAAGATTGATGATCTTCTGTCATAAAATCAGACAAAACACACAATAAAACATTGCTCAGATTGGATTTAAATCTCAATCTATTTCAGTTTACCATTATTGTTTTTCTAACTGAAATTGGTTTAATAAGGGAAATATTTAAATATTATGTTTTTGTTTGTTTTTTGTTTTTTGTTTTTTGTTTTTTTTTTTTGAGACGGAGTTTCATTCTTGTTGCCCAGGCTGGAGTGCAATGGCATGATCTTGGCTCACTGTGACCTCCATCACCCGGGTTCAAGCTATTCTTCTGCCTCAGCCTCCATAGTAGCTGGGATTACAGGCACACACCACCACACCCAGCTAATTTTTTCTATTTTTAGTAGGACGGGGTTTCACTATGTTGGTCAGGCTGGTCTTGAACTCCTGACCTCAGGCAATCCACCTGCCTTGGCCTCCCAAAGTGCTGGGATTAGAGGCATGAGCCACCGCGCCTGAATCTTAAATATTATGTTTCTATACAATATGCCTTTTTAATAATTATATTATAGGCTAGACTAATTAAAATTACCCTACATGATAATAATACTAAATGTATCTAAAGAATATTCAGGTACAGGAACATGACCAACAAGAAGAAATAGTTAGAAATAGTATATAATGATTTGGATCAGAGAAACTAGTATGCCAGATAATTACAAAAAAAGTCCTTAATTTTAGATAATAGAAAATATTTATTAAGCAATATAAGTTTCTTACAGAATGACTGGGTTGACTGGGGTCACTGGACCTTGGCTAAAGTTGTCAGAAAACATCACTGAATCATTCAAAAGGTAAGGGCAGTTCTCAAATGACCTAACGCAGCTGTCAATGACAGGGCTATATACATGGAGTGTTTATTTTCTATTTTCAGTCAGTGTTATTAGAACTGGACAAATGTATTTGAATATATCCGTAGGTCATTTGAAGAAAAGGTGTGATTTTTGTTATTCTTTCCAAGGAGCTGGAGAGTTCTTTAAATTGGATTTCCTAGGTATATCGGTCCATTTTCACACTGCTGATAAAGACATACCCCAGACTGGGCAATTTACAAAAGAAAGAGGTTGAATGGACTCACAGTTCCACGTGGCTAGGGAAGTCTCACAATCATGGCAGAAGGCAAGGAGGAGCAGGTAATGTCTTACATGGGCGGCAGCAGGCAAAGAGAGTTTGTGCAAGGAAACTCCCCCTTAAAAAACCATCAGAGATTTATTCACTATCAGGAGAACAGCAAGACCTGCCCCCATGATTCAATTACCTCCCACCAGGTCCCTCCCACAACACATTGGAATTCAAGATGAGATTTGAGTGGGACACAGCCAAACCATATCACTAGGTTACCTGATTAGTTTCTACAATGATATATTGATGTACTTTTTTTTTTCATTCCAGGTGAGTAGCATATGAAGTCTGAGTATATGAGCTAAAAGTTTATAAAGATCATATAACCAACAAATCACAAACTGGTAGACTACTGGCCATGGAATACCTGGATGCTGTCAATGTTAAAAATGAGAAGATTTTATATAAAAGGCAGCATCCTGATAAATTATCCTACAAATATGAAACTACTAACACTGGATCCATGTCTTTCCAAAATTATCATCACCATCATCATCGTCATCATCACAAAGCCATCACAGAGTGCTTTCTGTTTGTCATCCACAGTGCCAAACCCTTTGCAGACATTGTTTCTTTTAATCTTTACAGCAATCCTATCATGTAGGATACCCTATTATCACCTGATAATTGAAGATAAATAATTGTCCAAGAGTATACAAGTAGCAGATGATAAAGCCACATTTCAAACTAATATGATTCTAACCCATCAACTGTCAGCCAATGGTCGTAACTGGCCTGTTTGGATTTTGTGCCCTGCAGTTTGTCACAGTTTGCTCCTGTCTGTACGTGGTCAGCTTTTCCCACTATTGTTATTGGTTGGAAAACATGGCCCTTTGGACCAATGAGTACTGAGGTTTATGAAAACCCTTGTTTTACAGCGGCAGAAACCTCCAAAGTGAAGTCAAGCAAAGTTAACTATGTTAGGTTGTAGAAATATCAATGATGTGTGCTTCTGTCTATTTCAACAACTGACCTTCAGCCCAACACAAAATATTTCTCAATAAAGAATAACTGATTGACTAATTGAAGGAAAAAGTAACAAATGACTACAGGGCATAGTTAACACTGGATTTGTGTTCAAGGTCCTCTATATTTTTGGTCTCCATATTTCACAAAAAATAACAACTGCCATAAATTGTTAGAAAATAGCATTGTTTTATTAATACATAGTGTGAGTTGGCCTGGCTCACTGGATCACTCCTGTGATCATAGCACTTTGAGAAGTCGAGGCGGGTGGATCACTTGAGGTCAGGAGTTTGTGACCAGGGTGGCCAACTTGGTGAAATCCCGTCTCTACTAAAAATACAAAAATTAGCTGGGCATGATGGCGCTTGCCTGTAGTCCCAGCTACTCGGGAGGCTGAGGCTGGAGAATCGCTTGAACCCCGGAAGCAGAGATTGCAGTGAGCCAATATCGCACCACTGCACTCCAGCCTGGGCAACAGCAAGACTCATCTCAAAAAATAAAAATAAAAAAATACGTAGTGTAAGTCATTTCTTCCAGGGCTTTGCTTTTTATCTTATTTAATACTACAGCCATGTTCTGAGCTAAATTTATTATTATTCCCACCTGACAGATAAGTAAAATCCTATCAGGATACTGATAGATAAGGAACTTACCTAAAGTCACCTTGTCTTATGAATAGCTTGATTAGGATGGGTTTAAACCTGATCAATATGATCACATTTCCAAAATGCTATTTTATTTACCATTATTGAGTTTTTCATTATTCAAGATTTTCTATTTTGATCATGGCATTACATCAGCAAGTTAATTGTTTTAACTTTTGAATTATAGTTCATAAAATACTTTGTGTGAAAATGCTCTATTTATGAAAAAGCTATTATATATGAAGTTTTACAAAAGTAATACAAATGTCTCAATTAATTAAACAAAACACTATAGTTGGAAATTCAGCAGTTGTTAAGCTACTTGAGATTAAAGTTTATGTAAACTTTTAATCTATGAAAGATATAAATTATAAATTCTTCAGTTTGTATTACTTTTAATGTAAATTGCTTTTTGGTTCTATTACTTTATATTGGCATAAGTCTAAAATGGGTACACATTAAATCATTTAAAATTATGTTTTAAAAGTATGTTTCTCATAAAACAAATGTGAATTTTAAAAAATCAGAAATATTTGATTTATTTAGAGAAAAATATATGGCTAGTTATCTAAATAAAGTGTTCACCACATTTTAATCATATTGAATATAAATTTATATCATGAACAGAGAAAGTGTTCTATTTACACAAAAGCAACAATTAAACAAAAAAGAAAAATAAGGACCTTCAAAATATAGTAAAAGGTTAATTAAATTTGGGACATAGCAGGCAATAGATAGAGTTAAAACACACATAAACCACTTACATTTATGTATTAATTGTTGCACGTTGGACAAATATATATATATCTATATATCAAGGAAAACCACTCTCATTTTGCACAAAAACAGAGTAAAAAGCTATAAATAATTATATTTTAAGATTGCCATTGACATTTATATGTACTGAAATGTTAACGAAATGTTTGAAATACATTTTTGGTATTTTATAGTAAATAACTCTCGAGACTATAATCTTTTCAGATATATGTAATGCTTGTAATACAAGCTCTTATTATTCATATAGAAATAGCTAAAGTTGCAGTTCTCACACTGATTTCCTCAATAATTTTGTCAAATATCTGTTTTCTCTGAAGTCTAATTTCCTCGTCTGAAAATTGTAGGTTACTTTGTCAACATTTCAGATACTTGTGATGATTTAATAAGAAAATATGTTTAAATCTCATCCCCAGGTACATAAAGGCTTAACAAGTATAAATATGTTTGTATATATTATTGTAAAGATAAATATAGACTACCCCTTCTATTTTAAAAATGAGCATATAACTAGTCAGTCATTCTTAAATATACAATTCGTATGTTGTTCTTTAAGTGTTTTAATCTGTATGGAAATCATATATTTGTGCCCAAATAATAATCATCTTAGGTTTAAATGCCATTTCTCAGTTCATCTTTTCCCCCAGAATAAGTTGATGCTTATATAGACAACGTTTGGACAAATAAAATTACATATTATTCATTAAAATTTAGAGAAACTTTCTGTGTGTACTCAGGGCTATTCTCTTAAGAAAAGCTGGTAAGAGATTTGTGAATATAATTTAAATACCATTAAGTAGATGAAGTTACTATAAGAATTATGCATCAGATATTCAGAGGCTAGACTGAAAAACTACTAGGAAGAAAAAAAAAAAAAAAAAACTAGATGAAGCTGGAAACCATCATTCTCAGCAAAGTATCACAAGGACAAAAAACCAAACACCGCATGTTCTCACTCATAGGTGAGAATTGAACAATGAGAACATATGGACACAGAAACGGGAACATCACACACAGGGGCCTGTTGTGGGGTCGGGGGAGCAGGGAGGGATAGCATTAGGAGATATACCTAATGTTAAATGACAAGTTAATGTGTGCAGCACACCAACATGGCACATGTTGTAACAAACCTGCACTTTGTGCACATGTACCCTAAAACTTAAAGTATAATAAAAAAAAGAAAGAAAATAAAGCAGCAGCCAACAAGTAAGCCAAAGTAAAGAGAATTTGACAAAATAGAAGAAAAATAAAATGAAAAGAATTCCAGTACTACAGGAAAAGCTAATTATCAGATAAAGAGTAAGAATGAAAAATATGTAGAGATATAGATATATACGCATACATATATATTTGTGTTTATACACATATATGTCTAAGCATATTTACACTTATATAAACATATATTTATATGTCTATACCTATATGCATATATGTATATAGACCTAGATATACATGAACATATAGATTTAAAATGGAGGAATCAGTGTGGACAGAGCACTGTGCTACTTAGCCACACAGGAGATTGATGTTGCAGAATAGACAGTTCAGGACTGTCATGATGATCATATTTTCAAAAATAATGGTTTCTGTACTTGTCAGAGGGATTTTTTGTTGTTGTTAACTGCCAGACAAAAGGGCTAAGGGTGAGCACACCAAAGAAAACCTGAAGATATAGAAAAAAATAAGGTCCCAGCAAAATATAGTTTCATACTTTGAAAATTGCAATAGAAAAGGAAAATTTGGCCAAAAGAAAAGCAAATGATAAAATTTGTGTTGTTAACCTAAAGTGTGAAACAAAGTGATCAGAAGTCCATATAAGTATCAGAGAAGCCAACTGTGAAATACAAAAGAAAGGTATAAAATAGGTAGGAAAATAAAAGTTTTTTTTTTCAGTATCACCAATGTAGGAGTTCTCTCTAACTTGGAGAAATCTTTAGATGCAAAAACATAAGGCAAGTTAATTATATTCCATAATTTTAATAAACGTAGTAAAATGGCTCAACTTGCTACCATATCTTGATGATAAAAGGAAAATAATTTTCCTTAGACCTTACTAGCACACAGGTGAAGGGTAGCAGAATGTGCCAATCCAAAATATGCCACTTTGGCATGAAGATTATTTTGAGCTACTGAAAGGCAATAGAAAAGCAGCACATACCAGAAAAGCTTTCTGTCCTTCCCTATTCGCTTAAAAGCAGGACATAAATTTAAAAAGGTGTCCCTCCTCTCCTTTTTATCAGAATGGACACAAATTGATCACCAGAGATGACCTCAGACCCTTACCAGACTACAGATGGCACACAAGGAATCTATATTTTAAACTTTACTAATTAGCCCTTATCTATCATATAGTTGCCTTCCCTCAGTTTGCTCCCCAAGAGACTCAAGGTCGTCCTTATCCTTTGTCTTGTTACTTCTCCAAAAATGTACTGTTTTTGTTGAAGATGCTACACAAGCAGGAGTTCTAAGCCACCTCTTTGATAACTATTCATTTTTTTCTTGAGTATTTCCCATGTGTAAATGAGTTACACATGAGGTATACATGTTAAGCAACCTTCATTTGTTTTCTTCTTGTTAATCTGCCTTTTATTATAGAGGTCCCAAGTAGGAACATACAAGGATTGAAGAGATATTAGTTTTCCTCCCCTGAATAGGCAATAGGTAAAAATAAGATCCATATATATATATATATATATATATATATATAATTCTAAAATATATATATTTTATCCATACATATATACACATTTTGCCAACTCTGCCCCCATATGCTTGACTTCAATATGTCATTACTCCCACAGATATTCCTTATGGAACTGGTGATAGGCACCACAAACCTCCCCTCCCAGCATCCATTTACATGTCTCCTTTCCCATTTAAATCAAATCATATACATGTATGTAAAATATATGTGTGTGTGTGTATTTTTTTTTTTAGACAGAGTTTTGCTCTTGTTGCCCAGGCTGGAGTGCAATGGCACGATCTCAGTTCACTGCAAACTCCACCTCTCGGGTTCAAGCGATTCTCCTCCCTCAGCCGCTAGAGTAGCTGGGATTACAGGCATGCGCCCCCATGCCTTGCTAATTTTGTATTTTCAGTAGAGGCAGGGTTTCTCCATTTGGCCAGGCTGGTCTCGAACTCCTGACCTCAGGTGATCCACCTGCCTTGTCCTCCCAAAATGCTGGGATTACAGGTGTGAGCCACCATGCCCGGCAGATCCCATTATATTTTATACCCAACTTTTGCCAACTCTGCCCCCATATGCTTGACTTCAATATGTCATTACTCCCACAGATATTCCTTATGGAGCTGGTGATAAGCACCACAAACCTCCCCTCCCAGCATCCATTTACATGTCTCCTTTCCCATTTAAATCAAATCATATGTATGTATATATATTTGGGTTTGGCGAATCCATGAACTTATGTGTCAGTGTCAGCCGAGATTCATCCAGAAGCCTCATGCAAAAATGATATTGCAATATTCACCTTGTGAGTCCTCCATCAAAATGTCTTATCTTGCCTTTTCTTCTCCCTCTTTCTCACTTACTGCTTTTATTTCTCATCCTTATCTTCCTTCTCGTATTTCTCCTCTTCCTATTTCTCCTCCTATTCCTCATTCTTCTTTTTTAAAGTAGGTCATTTCTTCATTTAAATTTATATCATGGTACCAAGTTTTCCTCTGAATTTGCTCACTGCAGAGTATTGGTGATAAAGTTATGATTATTGGCCATTTGTCAAGTAACATCATATAGGATTGAGTTTAGTCTGTAGTTGAAAATAATAGGTCAAAGTAAGAAATTATTAAACCTAGCAAATTCGTTCAGGATCTAATTAGTTTCAAATTGCATACAGAGATAGAAATGTTTATATGAGTATTAACATGTTTAATAGTATTAGCACATTTTAGCAACAAAAATATGTACAAGAGTAGATTATGGACTTGCTTGAATAATTTATAGACAGTCTATGTCAGTTTTCCTTAATTCATCTCCACATTTCAAAGGCATTAAGCACTCAATTCTAGATATCCAAAAGAGACAAGTTCATTTTGTTATTTTGGAAAAATAAGAAAATGGCAATGAGCAATTATTTTCCCCTGCTCCCAGAGTAGAAGAAGCTTTTATTTTCTGGGCATTTGTTTATCCTGAGTACTGTCAATAAACATTACAAATATGTATCTCCATCTCAGAGAGTGGGTCTTGGGAATATAAACTTCAATAAATCCCCTTTTAGTTGTCTTTTTTTCTTTCCTTTGCTGTACTTTTTAATAAAAATCCTTCATGTCATATTATTAATATTTCACATACATCCTTTTAGGCAGGTCTACGATATAATGCTCACTTTTTATTTTTAGTTTTTGCTTATGTAACCACATGGACATTGTCACTGTTACAATTACCAATGTCCTTAGTATTGTTTAATACAACTCTATATGATCAGATTTTAGCATTCTTCTCAAAAGTGTATTTTTAACTTTAGTTTGTTTCCTGTGTAATTTTGGCAATCAACTGATCCAGAGCCCTGTTCAAAAATATTTATAATCTGAGATAATTTTATATGTTGTAAGAAAATATTAAACATTTTGCCTTTTAGGAGCCCAAAGATGTACAGTCAGTTGTCATTCTTGCCTTTCCCTGCTGCTAAAGGTTCCTCAGAATCCAATTACACGTAATCTTCTAAGTATATATATGGTATGATCTATTCTCTGTGAATCCGCTTTCCAATAGTGTTGTGTTATGAAGGATTAAAATGCTGACTCATTGGATTCTACTATAGCCTTTATAGGTAATACTGGATAAGTACCATAGCTAAATAGACATATAAAAGTTAGAGTGACAGTGAGACTGCCACTTTTAATTTCAATAGAATTTGTTGTTAAATGACTTTATGGAAGATACATTAATTTTTTCCATATTATTTACTATACCTTTTCTTTTAACAGCAGTGTACTAAATAAATTATGGCTATATGTAGCAAAAGGACACTAATCCAAAAAATTCTGACTTAACTTTCATTATATCTAAAGGCTTAGTAAGTAAAATGACATCTTCTTTTAATACCGAGGCATAAACTAAGAGATGGCAGACATGAATAAAAATATCAGCAGAATAGTAACCTTAACCTTTGTAAAGTCCCAAATGCTTTAAACAGGCTTCTCAAATACTTTTATCACTACTTATCTGAACCAACAAAGTGAACAAATCAGCTCATTTGATTGTCTTTGTTTTCTTACAGCATTTAAATTTTCCAATAGACTTTTATTCTTGTGATTGGATTTAACATCTTCTATGGCATTATTAGACCATAGCCATGCTTCAACATATATATGAAATCAAGTTGATGTATTTTATGCAGTCTACTAGTTTCAAATTCTTGGCCAAGGCCATAATCTTACAGAAAGACATAAATTCAGGATATGAATAACAATACTGCTAATTGTAGAATATAAATATTTAGGAAAAAAGCAACCTACAAGATAAATATATTCGCATCTATAAATAGTGCTGTTTTTAAGTTGAGTAACATTAAAGTTATTCTTTGATATATTTTAACAAATATATAAAGACAATTTTGGTATTAATTTTGTTTTAATTGCTACTTACCAATTATAAAAGTATTTCTGGAAGGATATGTATTTGACATTTCAAAATAAACACATAGATGTTTTCAAAATACTAAAATAATAATTACATTATTAATACAAATATTAGATTCAACATTGTGAGGCCATTTCAATTAATGAATCTTTTCATTATGCTTATTATGCAGCATTATCTTAAATCAAAAGAGATAATCCTAGATTATAAAACTAAAATGTTTCAACAAAGACAGTGTAACATTCAAAAGGTCATTACATAAATCCAAATATGTACCATAAAATTATATTAAAATAACTGGAATTACGATTGCCTCGCAAAAAGCATCATTTATCTAACATATATATTTTAAGTGGTAAAATGGAAATAAGAACTGGAAACTGTGTTATTGAGGTTCAATCCAGTTATAATAAGATATGAACCCTCGTTTTAGTCACCGACTATGTGTGTGTGTGTGTGTGTGTGTGTGTGTCTGTGTGTGTGTGTGTGTCTGTGCATCTGTGTGTGTGTTTAGCACTTCTTTACTTTACAACAGATAAGAATGTTCTAGGATCATCTTGCATATTCCCTCCCGGTCTTGAAATCAGCTATTTCTCAAAAAAAAAAAAAAAAGGTTGGTTTTTTTTTTTTCCTGACTAGAGAATGGTGTTAGAAGCCAAGATTTACCCGTGCCTTTTCTTGTAAGTTAAAGATTATTGAAACCCAGATAACTTTTTTGTTTATGTAACGGCTATGGTTGCTTTCATGTTTGATTGTTACACAGAGACCTAATGGCCCTGCAAACTCAAAATGTTTACAATTTGATGCCTTACAGATGCTTGCTGACCATGTTGTGTAACAGCATAATCACTAACTTATAATAAAAAACTCAATCACTAAACTATTTTGTTTGCTCTTTATGAAGTCAAAGTTTTTTGAAAATTATTCTGTTATTGCATTTCTTGAAAATCTACCTCTTAGCATTGTGTAAGTAAGATTTAACATGTCTATCATATAAGTCATATAGGCTGTTTACACGTAGAAATTTTATTATTAAAAGACTAATATTAGCTTGCACTATAAGTGAAATATATTGGCTTATTTTAATTCATACTATTTTTACACCATATTTTGAATTTGTGGAACAGAGCAAACTAAAAGCCAATACAGAGAAAATTAGCATTTTTAAATTTAATTAATCAATTTTAAATTTTTATTAATTTCACAACTATAGTGAAAAAGTTATTGAATTAAAAAAGATTGAAGAGCAAGTAATGAGCGCTTCCATTTTAGGTACAAATTTAACTTTCTAAAATTGAGCCCCAAATTACATAATTAAGTAGCAATTTCATTTCTTCCCCCATTTTGTCCACCTAACTCATACTTTTCACATGTAAACAATTTCTCATTTGCAAACTGACAAGGGCCAACAAAAACAATTTTTTCAAGTTAACTTTCAAATTATTCTATTATTTCTTCTGATATTCAGACTAATGTTATTATTTTTTATATATCTGAAATCATCAATAAAAATGTTCTTATTAGCTGTTCACAGCCGATTAAACTTCTGCTTTTTCTTCATCTTTTTTCTGGCTGGTTTGTTGAGGGTGACAGATACTGAATTATATTTGTAATGTTTCTAAATAATGAAAAAGATTGTTATAAAACACAGATGTTTTCCTTTTTACAAGGGTCAGAATATGTTAGAAACATAGTTCAGAATATTAAAAAATGCTTAGAAATAATTATGTAATTGTAACAAAAAAAACTCTGTTTCTTCGATAGAATATCAACAGAGTAAACAGACAACCTATAGAATGGGAGAAAATATTTGAAAAGTATGCATTCAACAAATGCCAAATATCCATAAAGTACAGGAACCTTAAACCAGCAATCAAAAAACAAATAACTGCATTAAAAATAGACAGAGGACATAAACAAACATGTTTCAAAAGGCATACATGTGACAAACAAGCACATGAAAAAATGCTTAACATCATTAATCATTAGAGAAACGCAAACCAAAACACAATCAGATACCCTCTCACACCAATCAGAATAGTTATTATTAAAAAGTCAAAAAATAACAGATGCTGGTGTGGTTGTAGAGAAAAGAGAATGCTTATACACTGCTAGTGGGAATGTAAATTAGTTCAACCACTGTGGAAAGAAAAATGTAAATTAGTTCAGCTACTGTTGAAAGCAATTTGGCAATTTCTGGAACAACTTAAAGTCAAATTACCATTCAATCCAGCAATGCCATTATTGGGTATATACTCAAAGGAATATAAATCATTCTACCACAAAGACACATGCACACATATATTATTGTGACACTATTCACAATAGCACAGACATGGAAGCAACCTAAATGTCCATCAGTGATAGACCAGATGGAGAAAAGGTGGCACATATACACTGTGGAATACTATACAGCCATAAAAATGGAGATGATGTCCTTTGAAGCAACACTGATGCAGCTGGAGGCCATTATTCTAAGCAAACTAACACAGGAACAGAAAATAAATACCACATGTTCTCAATTACAAGTGAGAGCTAAACATCTAGTACATACAGGCACAAAGAAAGGAACAACAGACACTGGCACCTACTCGAGGGTGGAGGATGGGAGAAGTGTAAGGGTCAAAAAATTACCTATTATGTACTATGCTTATTATCTGGAGGAAAAACTAATCTGTATACCAAACCCCCACGAAAAGCCATTTACCTATATAACAAACCTGTACATGTACCCCTGAACCTAAAATAAAAGAAAAGATAATTTACTGTCTCACTTTTGCTGGAATATAATACTCTTAGTCAAGAATAATTTGTGACTCACATTTCTCATCAGTTCTATTTGTTTTTACTCCCAATACTAAGAGAAAAATGGATGGTCCATCTCAAATATTAATTACATATCACTAGTAGTTTGGGAAATTTTTGTTCAAAAGATTGTATTTCATTTTTCTGTTATTTAAAAGAGAATAAAAAATAATATTTAACAGCTGAAATTTGTTCTCCTTAAAGTCAGTACTTCGTAATTTAGTGGATGTTTGCTGAGAGAGGAAAAATAAAATGTTATTTTGTGAATATAGTGGCATTGTCTTCTCCAGCTATAGAAGCTTCCTTCTTGGAAATCTAGAGGATTTTGAAAGTTTAATTTTTAATAAAATATATGTTAAAGATCTCAATTAGTATTCCTCCCATACATTTCATCTCATGGACTTACATAATAAAATTTGCAAATACAAAAAATTGCTCTAAAGACAGACCCTCGGAAGGAAGCAGACTGCTGCTGCAGGACCCTGAAGACACTCCAAATACTGTGAGTGCTCCAACTGCGGAAGTGGTAAAAAGAGACTCTCCTCTCCGGAACACACACCTCCACTGGAGAAACTGAGGGTCTGTTTGTGGGAAAAGTTTCCGACCTTACCTGGAGCTGAGTCAATTTAGGGAGCCACGTGAAATATACGGTAGAGGAAGCAGCAGAAAGGCCCTGGGAGCTCACTGGGTCCCCAAGCAGCCCATTCCTGCCTGGCACCACAGGGATCCATCAGGAGGGTGGCTAGAGGAGCGGGGCTAAAACTCCATAGGGAGAAGGAAATCTCTAGCTGAACTTCGTAACAATTCGAACGGGACAAGGAGCTTCCTTGCCAGAACTCCGGTGAAGGGGGCAGGTACAAATCCTGTGTGCAGACTCCTTGGGCGGGAGAATAACCAAGCCCTTTTCTTTCACAGCTGGCAAGTGGGTAGCCTGAGACAAATTTTCAAGCCTGTCTTGCCCACCACCTGGAAACAGACTTATAGCTGTTGCAGGGGGCATGGTGGGAGTGAGACCGGCACCTCGGTTTGTGTGGGAGCTGGGTGAGGTCTGTGATGGCTGGTTTTCCCCACTTCCCTGTCAACCTGCATGACTCAGCAGAGGCAACCATAATCCTCCTACATACACAACTCCAGTGACCTGGGAATCTCACTCCCATCCCCCACAGCAGCCTCAGCAAGACCCACCCAAGGAGAGTTTGAGCTCAGATATGCCTAGCCCTGCCCCCAACTGATGGTCCTTCCCTACCCACCCTGGCAGCAGAGTCACTGGTGGCTAGACCCGGAAGAGAAACAACAATCACTGCAGTTCAGTTCACAGGAAGCTACCTCCACAGGAAAAGGGGAAAAGTATTACATCAGAGAACACCCTGTGAGAAAAAAGAATCTGAACAACAGCCTTCAGCCCTAGACTTTCCCTTTGACAGAGCTTACCCAAATGAGAAGAAAGCAGAAAATCAACCCTGGTAATATGACAAAAGAAGGCTCTTTAACATCCCCCAAAAATCACACTAGTTCACTAGCAATGGATTCAAACCAAGAAGAAATTCCTGATTTACCTCTAAAAGAATTCAGGAGGTTAGTCATTAAGCTATTCAGGGATGCCCCAGAGAAAGGCAAAGCCCAAAGCAAGGAAATCCAAAAAACAATACAAGAAGTGAAGGTGGAAATATACAATGAAATAGATAGCTTAAAGAAAAAAACCGTCAAAAATTCAGGAAACTTCAGACACACTTTTAGAAATGCAAAATGCTATGAAAAGTCTGAGCAATAGAATTAAACAAGTAGAAGAAAGAAATTCAGAGCGCCAAGACAAGATCTTCAAATTAACCTAGTCCAACAAAGACAAAGAAAAAAAAGGAAAATATGAACAAAGCCTCCAAGAAGTCTGGGATTATGTTAAACAAACAAACCTAAGAATAATCTATGTTCCTGAGGAAGAAGAGAATTATAAAAGCTTGAAAAACACATTTGGAAGAATAATCAAGGAAAACTTCTCTGGCCTTGCTAGAGACCTAGACATCCAAATACAAGAAGCACAAAGCACATCTGGGAAATTCATCACAAAAAGATCATTGCTTAGGCACATTGTCATCCGGTTATCCAAAGTTAAGGTGAAGAAAAGAATCTTAAGAGCTGTGAGAAAGAAGCACCAGGTAACCTTAACCTCTAAAGGAAAACCTATCGGATTAACAGCAGAAACCCTGCAAGCTAGAAGGGATTGAGGCCTTATCTTCAGCCTCCTCAAACAAAATAATTATCAGTCAAGAATTTTGTATCCAGTAAAACTAAGCATCACATATGAAGGAATGATACAGTCTTTTTCAGACAAACAAATACTGAGAGAATTAGCCATTACCAAGCCACCACTAGAAGAACTGCTAAAAGGAGCTCTAAAAGTTTAAACAAATTCTGGAAAAACATCAAAACAGAACCTTTTTAAAGCATAAATCACACAGGACCTATAAAACAAAAATAAAAAGTAAAAACAAAAAAACAAAGTACACAGGCAACAAAGAGCCCAAGGAATGAATGGTACCTCATATTTCAATGCTAACATTAATGTAAATGCCTAAATGCTCCACTTAAAAGACAGAGAACTGCAGAATGGATAAGAACTCACCAACCAACTACTGCTGCCTTCAGGAGACTCACCTAACACATAAGGACTCACATAAACTTAAAGTAAAGGGGTGGAAATAGGTATTTCATGCAAATGGATACCAAAAGCAAGAAGGGGTAGCTATTCTTATATCAGACAAAGCAAACTTTAAAGCAATAGCAGTTAAAATAGACAAAGAGAGACATTATATAATGGTAAAAGACCTCGTCCAACAGAAAAATAGCACAATCCTAAACATATACACACCTAGCTCTGGAGCTCCCAAATTTATAAAACTGTTACTAATAGACCTAAGAAATGAGATAGACGGTAACACAATAATAGTGGGGGACTTCATTACTCCACTGACAGCACTAGACAGGTCATCAAGATAGAAAGTCAACAAAGAAAAAATAGATTTAAACTATATCTTAAAACAAATGGAATTAACAGATATATACAGAACATTTCATCCAACAATCACAGAAAACACATTCTATTCAACAGCGCATGGAACTTTCCAAGATAGATCATATAATAGGCCATAAAACAAACCTCAATAAATTCAAAAAAAATTGAAATGATATCAAGCACTCTCTCAGACCACAGTAGAATAAAACTGGAAATCAACCTCAAAAGGAACCTTCAAAATCATGCAAATACATGGAAATTAAATAACTTGCTCCTAAATGAGCATTGAGTAAAAACAGAAATCAAGATGGAAATTAAAAAATTATTCAAACTGAATAACAATAATGATACAACCTACCAAAACCTCTGGAATACAGCAAAGGCGGTGCTAAGAGGAAAGTTCATAGCCCTAAACGTCTGCATCAAACAGACTGAAAGAGCAAAAAACGACATTCTAAGTTCACACCTCAAGAAACTAGAGAAACAAGAACAAACCAAACATAACCCTCACAGAAGAAAGGAAATAACCAAGATCAGAACAAAACTAAAGGAAATTAAAAAGAACAAACAAAAAAATGCAAAAGATAAATAAAACAAAAAGCTGTTTCTTTGAAAAGATAAATAAAATTGATAGACTATTAGCAAGATTAACCAAGAAAAGAAGAGAGAAAGTTGAAATAACCTCATTAAGATACAAAACAGGAGATATTACCACTGAAACACAAAAGATCATTCAAGGCTACTATGAACATCTTTATGCACATAAACTAGAAAACCTAGAAGAGATGTATAAATTCCTGGCAAAATACAACACTACTAGGTTAAATCAGGAAGAATTAGATACCCTGAACGGATGAATAACAAGCAGTGAGATTAAAATGGTAATCAAAAAAATACCAACAAATAAAAGTCCAAGACCAGATGGATTCACAGCAGAATTCTACCAGACATTCAAAGAAGGAGAATTGGTACCAATCCTCTTGACACTATTCCACAAGATAGAGAAAGAGGAGCCCTCCCTAATTCATTCTATGAAACCAGCATCAACCTAATACCAAAACCAGGGAAGGACATAACCAAAATAGAAATCTACAGGCTGATATCCCTGATGATCATAGATGCTAACATCCTTAACAAAATACTAGCTAACCAAATCCAACATCATATCAAAAAGATAATCCACCATGATCAAGTTGGTTTCATACCAAGGATGCTTTAACATATGCAAGTCAATAAATGTGATACACTGCATAAACAAAATTAAAAAAAATCACATGATCATTTCAATAGATGCAGAAAAAATGTTCGACAAAATCCATCATCCCTTTATGATTAAAACTCTCAGCAAAATTGGCATAAAAGAGACATACCTTAATGTAATAAAAGCCATCTATGACAAACCCACAGCCACCATAAAACTGAACAGGGAAGAGTTGAAGGCATTCTCTCTGAGAATTGGAACAAGGCAAAGATGCCCACTCTCACTCCTCCTCTTTAACATAGTTCTGGATGTCTTAGCCAGAGCAATTAGACAAGAGAAAGAAATAAAGGGCATCCAAATTAGTAAAGAGGAAGTCAGACTGTCACTATATGCTGATGATATGATCGTTTACCTTGAAAACCCTAAAGACTCCTCCAGAAAGCCTCTAGAACTGATAAAAGAATTCAGCAAAGTTTCTGGATACAAGATTAATGTACACAAATCAGTAGCTCTTCTATATGCCAACAGTGACCAAACAGAGAATCAAATCAAGAACTTGACCCCTTTCACAATAGCTGCAAAAAATAAAATAAAATACTTGGGAATATACCTAAACAAGGAGTCAAAAAACCTCTACAAGGAAAACTACAAAACAGTGCTAAAAGAAATCATAGATGACACAAACAAATGGAAACACATCCCATGCTCACGGATGGATAGAATCAATATTGTGAAAATGACCACGCTACCAAAAGCAATCTACAAATTTAATCCAATCCCCATCAAATACCAACATCATTCTTCCCTGAATTAGAAAAATAAATCCTAAAATTTATATGGAATTTTAAAAAAGCCCAAAAGCCAAAGCAACACTAAGCAAAAAGAACAAATCTGGAGGCATGACATTACCTGATTTCAAACAATACTGTAAGGCCATAATCACCAAAACAGCATGATACTGGTATTAAAAACAGGCACATAGACCAATGGAACTGAATAGAGAACCCAGGTATAAACTCAAATACTTACAACCAACTGATCTTTGACAAAGCAAACAAAAACATAAAGTGGGGAAAGGACACTCTTGTCAACAAATAGTGCTGGTTGAATTGGCTAGCCACATGTAGGAGAATAAAACTGGATCCTCATCTCCCACCTAATACAAAAACCAACTCAAGATTGATGGAGGACTTAAATTTAAAACGTGAAATTTTAAAAATTCTAGAAGATAACACTGGAAAAACCCTTCTAGATATTTGATTAGGCAAGGATTTCATGACCAAAAACCCAAAAGCAAATGCAATAAAAACAAAAGTAAATAGCTGTGACTTAATTAAAGTAAAGAGCTTTTGCATGGCAAAAGGAACAGTCAGCAGAGTAAATAGATTACCCACAGAGTGGGAGAAAATCTTCACAATCTATACTTCTGACAAAGGACTAATATCCAGAATCTACAATGAACTCAAACAAATCAGTAAGAAAAAAAAATCCCATCAAAAATTGGGCTAATTACATGAATAGAAAATTCTCAAAAGAAGATATACATATAGCCAACAAACATATGACAAAATGCTCAACATCCCTAGTGATCAGGGAAATCCAAATCAAAACCACAATGTGATACCACCTTACTCCTGAAAGAATGGCCATAATTATTATTATTTTTTTTAAGTAGATTTTGGCATGGATGCAGTGATCGGGAACACTTCTGCACTGCTGGTAGGAATGTAAACTATTACAGCCACTATGGAAAACAGTATGGAGATTCCTTAAAGAACTAAAAGTAGAACTACCATTTTATGCAGCAATCCCACTAGTGGGTATCCACCCAGGAGAAACGGAGTCATTATTCAAAAAAGATCCTTGAATATGCATGTTTATAGCAGCACAATTCATAATTGCAAAATCGTGGAACCAACACAAATGCCCATCAATCAACCAGTGGGTAGAGAAACTGTGAGATATATATACACATCATATATATATATATATATACATACATATATACATCATATATGTGTGTGATGAAATACTACTCAGCCTTAAAGAGGAATGAATTAACAGCATTTGCAGTTACCTGGATGAGATTGTAGACTATTACCCTCAGTGAAGTAACTCAGGAATGGAAAACCAAACATCATATGTTCTGACTGATATGTGGGAGCTAAGCTATGAGGATGCAAAGGCATAAGAATGATCAAAAAGACTTTGGGGACTTAGGGGGAAGAGTGGGAGCAGGGAGAGGGATAAAAGACTACAAATATGGTGCAGTATATACTGCTAAGGTGATGGGTGCACCAAAATTTCACAAATCACCACTAAAGAACCTACTCATGTAACTAAATACCACCTGTATCCTAATAACTTATAGAAAAATATTTTAAAATGCTCTAAAAGTATATGAAAAATCATCAAATTCATCCTTCTACATATTACGTTAAACTTTTTTTTTTAATGTATGCTGGAATCCTAATAGTTAATCCACATCACATTTAAAAACTAACTTCATGAAACTATTGTTGGAAAAATTATCAGGGGATTGTTTTGTCTGAAATAATTTATTAAATAAGTTTTAAAAAGTATATTTCAATGTGTGTGTGTTTGCAAGGAAAGAAGCCAGTATTTTTATTAAAAAAAAAAAGGATTGATTAGTTATGTTTTCACCTGGCATCATTCCACACAGTAGAGATAAAGTAGTAATTTGTATTGATAAAATTCCAGCCCCTTGGGGCTTGTGTTCTAAGAGAGAAACATACAATACATGAATAAACAAATAAAACTATGCTATAAAGCCTGGTGGCAATAAGTGCTATGATTTAAAAAAATACGGCAAGAAAAAATGGTAAAACTCCTTGTTGTAGGACTGTACTTTTTTGCAGAGGCTGTGATGTAATGAAGAGCAGTGGATGCCGTCATGTGTCTCCTGCACGTCCCCTTAAGATAGAATGACTTATCCTTCCAGATTCTTGGAGTACTCTCATATATCATTTCTTTAATTTTGCCTTGACTTATGTGAGCAGCCTCACCCAAGGTCACACCAAACATGCATCCAATAGTCAATACAGAGGATTTTCCAATGCCCATTCCAGTCTCCACCTCCTCATGAGACATTTGTTGCAACTGCCAGTTTTGACATCTCCGTCTGCCCTATCCTATTTCCTTGCCTTCGGTTCCACAAGAGCCAATCCACTTTCTGTTCTCCATCTCAGAATTTGCTTCCAAGAGAACATAAACAACAACCTGAAGTAAGCCACAACACATTTTGGGGAGAAGAAATTTCCAGTTCAACAATAATAGCAATTTCAAAAGCTTTGAGGAGAAAAATAACAAGGTACATAAAAGAAAGAGCAAAAATTTCAGTAGAATGAAAAGTGGTTGAGGAGGGGAAGAATAAAACATAAGACCTTCAGACAGGTAGGCAAGATTAGATCATGTAAGGCCCTGTGTATGCTAGTGACGACTTAGGTATTTGTTCCTAAAACTATAGAAAGACTTCTAAGGTTTTCGAACATAAGAAAAATTGCATATATTTGAACTTCTTTCAAAGATAAACTCTGCCTGAACCTTTTTTGTTCCAATTTATTTACAATTATTACCTGAGTACAGAAAATATTACAAATAAATACTAAAGTTAAAATTGGTTTAAAAAATCTTCCCACAAATTACTATTTTTTTTAACAGATTTGTTTTAGAGAATTGTAAGTTAGTCCTAAATTAGTCTACTCATTTCTGCACTATTCTCAGAAGTTTTGATTTTCCATATTCTTTTTAACTTTTCATAGTAAATTCACATTTACCCAATTATTAATTGATATGGTTTGGCTGTGTCCCACCCATATCTCATCTTGAATTATAGTTCCCATAATCCCCATGTGTCATGGGAGGGACCCTTGGGAGATAATATTCCCATGCCACTATTCCCATGATGGTGAGTGAGTTCTCATGAGATCTGATGGAGGGGCTTTTCCCCTGTTTCTCAACACTTCTTCTTGCTGCCATCATGTGAAGAAGGATGTGTTTCTTTACCCTTCTGCCATGATTGCAAGTTTTCTGAGGCCTCCCTGCCCTGCTGAACTGTGAGTCAATTAAACCTCTTTCCTTTCTAAATTACCCAGTCTCTGGTATTTCTTCATAGCAGTGCAAAATCAAACTAATACAGTAAATTTGTAGCAGGTAGAGGGGTGCTGCTATAAAGATACCTAAAAATGTGGAAACAAGTTTAGAACTGGGTAACAGACAGAGGTTGGAACAGTTTGGAGGGCTCAGAAGAAGACAGGAAAATGGGGAACAGTTTGTAACTTTCTAGAGACTTAGAGGGCTCAGAAGACAGGAAGATGTGGGAAGGTTCCAAACTTCTTAGATACTTGTTGAATGGCCTTGACCAAAATGCTGATAGTGACATGGACAATGAAGTCAAGGCAGAGGTGGTCTCAGATGGAGAGGAGGAACTTGTTGGAAACTGGAGTAAAGGTGACTTGCTATGCAAAGCGACTGGCGGCATTTGCCCCTGCCCTAGAGATCTGTGAAACTTTGAACTTGAGAATGATAATTAAGGTATCTGGCAGAAGAAACTTCTACACAGCAAAGGGTTCAAGAGGAGGCAGAGCATAAAAGTTTGAAAAATTTGCAGGTGGATGATAAGATAGATAAGAAAAACCCATTTTCTGAGGAGAAATTCAATCCAGCTTCAGAAATTTGCATAAGTAACTAGGAGCCAATGTTAATCACCAAGACAATGGGGAAAATGTCTCCAGGGCATGTCAGATGTCTTCACAGCAGCCCCTCACATCACAGGCCGAGTGGCCTAAGAGGAAAAAATGGTATCATGGGCCAGGTCCAGGGCCCCTCTGTTGTATGAAGCCTTGGGACTGGGTGCCCTGCATCCCAGCTGCTCCAGCTGTGACTAAAAGAGACTGAGCTACATTTCAGGCCATTGCTCAGAGGGTGCCAGCCCAAGCCTTGGCAGCTTCCATGTGATATTGAGCCTGTGGGTGCACAGAAGTCAATAATTGAGGTTTGGGAACCTCTGCCTGAATTTCAGAGGATGTATGGAAACACCTGGAGGTCCATGCAGAAGTTCGTTGCAGGGATGGAATCCTAATGGAGAACCTCTGCTAGAACAGTGTTGAAGGGAAACGTGGGTTTGGAGCCCCCACACAATGTCCCCATTGGGGCACTGCTTAGTAAAGCTGTGAGAAGAGGGCCACCATATGCCCAAATCCCAGAATGGTAGCTCCACCAACAGCTTTCATTGTGCACCTGGAAAAGCTGCAAACACTCAACGCCAGCCTTGGAAAACAGCCTGGAGTGGGGCTATACCCTGAAAAGCCACAGAGTCAGGGATGCTCAGGGATGTGGCAGACCACATCTTTCATCAGTATGACCTGGATATGAGACATGGAGTTAAAAGGAGATCATTTCAGAGCTTTAAGATTTGGCTGCTTCTCTAAATTTTGGATTTTCATGGGGCCTGTAGCCCCTTTGTTTTGGCCAATTCCTCTCCTTTAGAATGGGTATATTTATGCAATGTCTGTACCCCTATTGTATGTAGGAAGCTGCTAAATTGCTTTTGATTTTACAGGCTCATAGACAAAAGGAACTTGTCTTGACTCAGGTGACAGTTTAGACTTGGACCTTTGGGTTAATAATGGAATGAGTTAAGACTTTGGGGGACTGTTGGGAAGGCATGATTGTGTTTTGAAATGTGAGGACATGAGATTTAGGAGGAGCCAGGGGTGGAATGATATGGTTTAGCTGTGTGCCCACCCAAATCTCAATTTTGAATTGTGGTTCCCATAATCCCCACATGTCATGGGAGGGACCTGGTGGGAGGTAATTCAACCATGGGGGCAGTCATCCCACACCGCTGTTCTCAGAATAGTGAGTAAGTTCTCACAAGATCTGATGGCTTTATAAGGGGCTTTTTCCTCTTTTGCTCGGAACTTCTTGCTGCCGCCACGTTAAGAAAGATGTGTTTGCTTCCCTCCCACCATGATTGTAAGTTTCCTGAGGCCTCCCCAGCCCTGCTGAACTGTGAATCAATTAAACCTCTTTCCTTTATAGATTTCCTAGTCCTAGGTATTTCTTCATAGCAGCCTGAGAATGAACTAATACAGTGCATTATTTAAAAGAGAATAATAGGAAAAAAGATTAAAAACAGGTGATTGGCAGCCAGGTATGGTGGCTCACACCTGTAATCCCAGCACTTTGGGAGGCTGAGTTGGGCAGATCACTTGAGGTTAGGAGTTCAAGACCAGCCTGGCCAACATGGTGAAAACCCATCTCTACTAAAAATACAAAATTAAGCCAGGCATGGTGGCAAGTGCCTATAATCCTAGCTACTTGGGAGGCTGAGGCAGGAGAATTGCTCGAACCTAGGAGGCAGAGGTTGCAGTGAGTCAAGATTGCACTCCAGCCTAGGCAAAGAAGTAAGACACCATCTCACACAAAACAAAAACAAAAACAAAAACAAAAACAAACAAACAAACAAAATGGTGATTTCGGGGAAAAACTCAAGTATATTGAAATTTTATATATAGGAACATTTACATACATGCGGATACACATAGACTTGTGTAATTTGTAAATTGTATGTTTTCAATGCATATAGAATATATGTTTCATTTTAAATATTACATAAGGATGTGCTTAGAAGAAAATTGGAATATTTATTGACAGTTAATTTGTGCCAGTTATTTTTTCATGTATTTTACAAGTATTCATTCAGTTTTAAAACAACTGTAAAGAGTAGGTGCTGTTAATGGCCCCATTTTACAGGTCAGAAAACAAAGGGGTTAAGTAACCATGCAGCTTTTTAAAAAAATGCACTAAGATTTGAAATGTGCTTATAACACTCATCTATGCTATGTATTCAGAGGATCTTATTCTGAAGAATTTTCATTTCTTGAATAGAATAACAAGTATCCTTTACATTATTTTGCTTTCTATATATTCCTTTTTCTCTAATGACCAAGTGTTGTTTTTGTAACACACACAAATAAAGCAAGAGGTGATATTTAAATTATCCCACAGTTTTGGAGTTTGAGAATAATTTTAACATTTTAATTAATATTCAATCAAATTTTCATGCTCTGCATTTTTGAAAATTTTTAAAATAAATTGTAGGTTTTTCAAGTTTGTCAAAAAGAAGCTGCTTTTGATAAAGACATACCCAAGACTGGGCGATTTACAAAAGAAAGGGGTTTAATGAACTCATAGTTCCACCTGGCTAGGGAGGCCTCACCATCATGGTGGAAGGTGAAAGTCATTTCTTACATGGTGGCAGGCAAGAGAAGAGAGCTTGTGCAGGGAAATTCAACCTTATAAATCCATCAGACCTCATGAGACATATTCACTATTACTAGAACAGCACAGGAAAGACCTGCCCCCATGATTCAATTACCTCCTATCGGGCCCCTCCCACAACACGTGGGAATTCAAGATGAGATTTGGGTGGGGACACAGCAAAGCCACATCAAAGATGTTAATAAAAAGCCATATTATTTCAATTTTTAAAGTAAGTATCTTAAGGAGTAACATTTCTTGTACTTTATAAGCCAGTAGAACTCTACCACTTTGGTTATAGTGCTCAGAACATTTTTGAAAAGTGTTTAGAGCAAAAGTGAGACATTTTCTACTAAAAACTAAAAATGAGACAGAGTTATGTGTTTCATGCTGTAAAGCAATGTAAAATACACAGCTTACCTACGAGATACATTTGCCTCCAAAACTGGATTTAAATCTAAACAGTTGTATACACAACTAGTGTTGAGAAAGTATGGTGAAAATAGGAACAATAAATAAAATACCTTCAGAAATGAATTAGTCAAATCCAGAATATCAGCCATTTTAAGAAAACTTACTCCATTTCTTCAAAAAGTCAAAGGCAGTGTGAAAAAGGAGAATGGGAAGGACAAGACTGTTCTATGTTAAGAGAGACATAGGAGATATAACAACCAAATAAAATGATTGCATATTGTTTAAATTCTAATGTTAATAGATCAACTAATTTTATAATACAATTAGAGAAAGTTGACAAAGGACTGGGTATTAGATGATAGTCAGGTATTTTTGTTAATTACATTAAATGTTATAATGGTATTGTCATTATTTTAAATCCATTACTTCTTAGATACACATTGGAATGTGTGATGGTGAAATGACATCATGCCCTATATCTGCTTTAAGATATTGCACCAAAAATAAAGGATAGATGAAACAGTGGAAATAAGATGTGTATTATTGTTGATGGCAGGTTTTGAAGAAATGGGGGTATGTTGAATTCTGCACTTTTCCTACCTTTGGATTCTCTATATATTGGGGGAGCAGAAGGAGCAGAAGTATACTGGTGATTACTGGTGTCCATGTGTGAAGAAGGGTACAGAGAAGCAGGCTGAGTGGATAGAAAAGTGACTGGTTGAGAAACTGAAACAACAGGAGGGTGAGGGGCTGAAGTGGACGGGGAAGTTCTACGTATAAGGTTCCTTTTTCAGGAAACCAAGGACAGTATTTTTCCACTGCCCTGAATAGTGTGACCATATTTTCCATAGGCACTCAAACACTGCCCTGTTTTAACAGGAGTTTAATATATTAGAGATAAGCATGATGTATAGACTCCGCATGACCCATAGTTAACCCGGACCATACACTGACTACTCACCTGTCATCAGGGAGTTGAACAAGTGTTTCTGTGGACCGAACCAGTGACGTTTCTCCACACCTACCAAAGGGAATCGGGTTCCCACATACACTTGGGAAAAAAGAAAGACCATGTGGGTGCCAGATATTGGGGGAACCAGCCCCCATTATTTCAATGTGGGTTCTTTTCTATTTTCCCTAAGTGTTAGCTGGTATGAGAAATAAAGGGAAAGGGTACAAAAGAGAGAAATTTTAAAGCTGGGTGTCCGGGGGAGACATCACATGTCGGCAGGTTCTGTGATGCACCCCAAGCCGCAAAACCAGCAATTTTTTATTATGGATTTCAAAAAGGAGTGTACGAATAGGGTGTGGGTCACAGAGATCACATGCTTCACAAGGCAATAAAATATCACAAGGCAAATGGGGGCAGAGCAAGATCACAGGACCAGGGTGAAATTAAAATTGCTAATGAAGTTTCATGTCTGACTGGGCACGCATTGTCATTGATAATGTCAGGAGACAGGGTTTGAGAGCAGACAACCGGTCTGACTAAAATTTACTAGGCAGGAATTTCCTCATCCTGATATGCCTAGGGGCACTATGGTTGACCAGGGGTTATTTCATCCCTTATCGACAACTGTATAAGACAGACATTCCCAGAGCGGCCATTTTAGAGACCTTCCCCCCAGGAATGCATTCTCTTTCTCAGGGCTGTTCCTTGCTGAGAAAAAGAATTCAACAATATTTCTCCTATTTGCTTTTGTAAGAAGAGAAATATGACTCCGTTCTGTCCGGCCCCTCAGGCTGTCAGGCCCAACAGTTATCTCCCTTGTTCCCTGAACATGGCTGTTATCCTGTTCTTTTTTCAAGGTGCCCAGATTTCATATTGTTTAAACACACATCCTTTATGAACAATTTGTGTACAGGGTCCTGAGGTGACATACATCCTCAGCTTACTAAGATGTCAGGATTAAAAGTTTAAAGTAAAGACATGCATAGGAAATCACAAGAGTATTGACTGGGGAAGTGATAAATGTCCATGAAATTTTCACAATTTGTGATCAGAGATTGTAGTAAAGACAGGCATAAGAAATTATAAAAGTATTAATTTGGGGAACTAATAAATGTCCTTGAAATCTTCACAATTTATGTTCTACTGTCACGGCTTCAGCAGGTCCCTCTGTTCGGGGTCCCTGACTTCCCACAACAATATATAAAGCTCAAAGCTCAATATCAGGGTAAGCAGATATTAATATCATCATGTGCAACCCGAGGATGTTTTGGTCAATGACAGACCACATATATGCATATATGATGGTAGTCCCATAAAATTATAATATTGTATTTTTACTGAAACATTGATAGGTTTAGATACCCAAACACTTACCATTATATTACAGCTGCCTACAGTATTTAGTACAGTAACATGCTGTATAGGTTTACAGGCTAGGTAATAGGCTACATCACAAAGCCTAGGTGTATAGTGGGCTATACTCTAGTTGTGTAAATCCAATCTGTGATGTTCACAAACAAAAAAAATGCCCAATGAGACATTTCTTATAACATAGTTCCATCATTAAGCAATGCATGACTGTAATTTCCTAACTATAAAATTCCAAAAATAATTTTACTAAAGGAATAAAAGAAATATAAACTTATAATATAACAAAGAACTAGAAAGAGACCATTCATGGAAAATGTATTTCAAAAAAATTCTGAAAGATAGAATGTACATGTGTGCATTTGTGTGTGTATATATATTTATATCTACCTATAGATTAAAAAACTCAGTTCAGAATATTGTTCTTATCTTCTTTAATGGTATCCAGGTAGTAAGAGATAAA
This sequence comes from Homo sapiens, assembly GCF_000001405.40. Classification (NCBI taxonomy): domain Eukaryota; kingdom Metazoa; phylum Chordata; class Mammalia; order Primates; family Hominidae; genus Homo; species Homo sapiens. Next base: position 32,644,660 of record NC_000004.12, on the reverse strand, counting down.
GTAATTTACTAAATGTGAGTGGGTAAGTAGGGTCCTGGTCAGATGTTTTAAGAAAGTGGATATAGTTCTAATTATTTCTGTGATAAATGAAAGCAGATATTTTTTAGGGAAACATTGTCCCACTGGTCTACAGATTTGCAAGCTAAAATTGTGGCCAATGTTCTTGAAAATATAGTGGTACTAACATGACTAGATATGTGATTCTTTTTTTCTTGCAGTATTCAGCAGGCTTGATGGAGCTGTGGAAGTTCAGAATTTGACTCAATCAGGACTGAGTGCTAGCTAAAGGAGCATAATGGAAATTTAATTTAATTGGACAAGGACATTTAGTATATTGGCAGAAAAGTTATAGAAATGATGGACCACAGAAACTAAATTCTGTAGAGAATAAAATTAAGACAGAAAGTGAATGGTGAATAAAAACTTCCAGGATCATTGAACTGAACACACTTATGAGATCAAGACTTGTGTTTAAAGTAGTGACATAATCAAGTTGTGGAGATATGGTTCAAAACTGTGAGGAGTCAGAATTCATAATTACAGAGGTTTTGAAGTTCTGGATAATGAGAGAGATAGATAAAAATGTTGCAATAACAAAAATATCTCTAGTTATTTCTGGATAAGGTGTTATTATCTGTTGAGATATGTTAGCAATTAAACTTTTTACTAATTCCATTATTATGTAATCCCTAATCTTTTCATTTTAAAAATTACTTTTAAATATATTTATTAACAATGATCTCATTATTGGAATAGGAAAAATACAGACAAGTCAAAAAGGAAAAAATAAATGAAAATCATATGAGATGTCCCAAAGAAAAAATGTTTATTAACTAGTTGTATTCAATTTGAGTCCTTTTGTGCTTTTAGAGTATTTTTAAACAAATTAAACTAAAGTAAACAAAAGGTTTGTATCTTTCTTTAGAAAAACCTCATGAAATATTGAATAATCTTCAAAATATGATAAAGGCTACATATTTCTTTTTTAGCTATTATTTTAAGTTCGGGGGTACATGTGCAAGTTTGTTACACAGGTAAACTTGTGTCATGGGGTTTCGTTGTACAGATTATTTTATCACCCAGGTATCAAGCCTAGCACCCATTAGTTATTTTTTTTTCCTGATCCTCTCCCTCCTCCTGCCTTCCACACTCTGATACACCCCAGTGTGTGTTGCTCTCTCTGTGTCCATGTGTTCTCATAATTTAGCCTCCACTAATAAGTGAGAACATGTGGTATTTGGTTTTCTGTTCCTGAGATAATGGCCTCAAGCTCCATCCATATCCCTGCAAAGGACATGATCTCATTATTTTTTATGGCTGCATGGTACTCTATGGTGTATATGTGCCACTTTTTTAATACATATCCAGTTTATCACTGATGGGCACTTAGGTTAATTCCCCTCTTTGCTATTGTGAAGAGTGCCATAGTGAACACTGACATGCCTGTGTCTTTACAGTAGAAGAATTTATAATCCTTTGGGTATATACCCAATAATAGGATTGCATGGTCAAATGGTAGTTTTGTCTTTAGGTCTTTGAGGAATCACCACACTATCTTTCACAATGGTTGAACTAATTTACACTCCAACCAACATGTATAAGCATGTGATGAACATTTTTTCCAACATTTCTAATTATTTCCTTAACTTGAAGTGATTATTGGAATAAAGTAGATTCTGTTTTATTCCCAATGAACTGCTGATTTTTTTTAAATTATTGACAAGTAAAATTCTTAAAATAAACTTATCATATGTCTTACTATTATATTTTAATTGTTTGAGAGGCAGGATATTACTGAGGACATGTTTTTCAAATATAAAATTATATCTATTGCTTAAGTCAATGGCTTTAAAAAGGCAGTCACTAAATTCATATCAACAAATCAAAGCAGACTTTATCAAACAAAACATTCACTTTCTAAATGGATAAAAATATTCAAAAAGACTAAATTATTTGTTTTTGGACACAATACTAGTTAGTGGATGAGGAACAGCTAGAATTGACTTCATGTGATGAAAGTGAAGAGTTTCTGTGGTAGGCAGAATAAATGCTCCTCCAAAGGTGTCCACATCTGAATCACTGGAGCCTGTGAATATGTTATTACATGGAGAGGAAGCAGGGATTATGGTTGTAAATGAAATTAATATCTCCAAATATCTATATAACAATCAAATAAAAACATTGAATAAATGTGCTTATATTATTTCCCAACATTTAGATCAATTACTTCATATGTGGAGATTTATTTATTGACATCCTTGTGACCTTCCCATGCCTGTGTTTGTGGGGATCCTAGGCTAGGCATTGTGCCCATAGATCCACAAGAAGCACATGAGATGGGAGAATGCTCCTGAAGGGAGAGGAGAGAAATTCTGAAAATGTAGTAACACATATTTTAATATATATTTTTGTACAAAATAGTAATAACACTTACGAAGTGTTGAAGTGCTCAAAAAGTGCCATGGATCCAGAAAGGGATTTACATTGTTTCATCGTATTTTATACTAAACTTGTGAGGCAGGGTTTGTACCACCATTAAACCAACAAGTAAACAAGAATATCTACTGCTGCCATTAGTGTTCATTGTTGTACCAGACACTGGCAAATATTATTAGAAGAGAGAAAATTATAGAATTAACTCTAAAAAGTAAATGAAAACCTCTTATTTAACAAGTTACAGCATTGATTAAACAACACAAGTTTATACATTCAGATATATTTAATTAGGTTTTCCTACCACTCTTGAAACTTTGCATTTGCATGTAGAGAGCAAAGATGTTACGTCTACAAATAAAAGTATAGTTTATATTATATATAAAGTATAGTTTATATATAGTATATATACTATATATACAGTATATATAGTATATATATACACTATATATATACTATATAGTGTATATATAGTATATATAGTATATATATATACTATATATACACTATATAGTATATATATAGTGTATATATAGTATATATAGTTTGTAGTTACAAAGGAGATATATTTTAAATTATTATTTAAGGATTAAGATGTTTATAATGGCACTTCAAATTCTATAGTATTTATAAATATTTTAACTATATTTTGGGTAAAATATTTAACTTTTATTTAGTGGCTCTTGGATTTCATTAAGATCACTAATGCTCTTACAAACATGTTTTCCAAATATAGATAGTATTTTTTAGTTTTTCTAAGAAAAATCTTGAAGTGAATGAGGAAGGTAGTAAAATGATAAATTCAGTTGGCAAAGATAGTCAATGTGGTCATTGCAGCAGACTGTCAATAGCCATCCCTTTTCTAGTTATTAAGTCATTTCAGTACTTGTGAATTTCATTTCTAACATATCTAATGTTACCACCCCTTCCCATTTATCTTAAGTCTCTCTATTTTCATCACCTTTCAATAAAACAGTCATCATGGGCATTATATATATATATACACATATATACATATATATATAAGCTCATCATTTATATATATACATATATATATATATAAAGACTATTTTTACCTCTTTATGTTGAAGTTCATTATTATTATCAGTACTCCAGAGGGAAAAAAAAGCGGGCCTTTCAGATGACAAAATTAATTTCTAGACATTGAAATAATTTAATATGGGCCAGGCACAGTGGCTCACGCCTGTAATCCCAGCACTTTGTGGGGCTGAGGTGGGTGGACTGCCTGAGCTCAGGAGTTTAAGATCAGCCTGAGCAACATAGCGAAACCCTGTATCTAGAAAAAATTAGCGAGGCATGACGGCATGCACCTTTGGTCCCACTACTTGGGAGGCTGAGGTGGGGCTTGAGCCCAGGAGGCAAAGGTTTCAGTGAGCGGAGACAGAGTAAGATTCCACCCCGAACCCCCCAAATAAAAAGAAAAAAAAAACAGAAAGAATGTAGTAATGAATTTTAGCCTGAAGGTGTTGATTATGACAATCCCTTACTCCCCCGACAAAAAACAATTTTTTATTTGGATATACTGAAAGTTAATGCATCCTCACTGAAACATTTGCCTTTGTTTTAATTCTTATTGTAAAATCTTTATGTGTGCACAACGCAAAATGATCTGTTGGCCCCTTGTTGATCTTTGAGGTCACACTCACTTATTGATGCTAAAGTAATCAATAGCAGCATCCTTGAAATAAGAGGACATGCATTTTTGGGAAAAAAGATAAATTACTCTGTGTTCTATAATGTGAAGTCTTTGTTAAGCAAATTAAAAATTTAAATACATATGTATTCCAAGTCAGCTGTCATATTTATAAACAAAATATTAGAAATAAGATATTTTTAGAGGATATTTAGTTACCCATGCAATTCAATTCAAATCTTTTGTGGAATAGCAATACTTAAAGGTATTAACCCAGAGATGATCTTGCCTTAGAGTTTCTGCAATTTCACTGTCCCTACACTGAGAAATATAGCTGGAATTGTGTGTCCCTCCTGAAAAGTGATGTGGCTAGTTTCTGTTATATTAAGCAAGCCAACTTTTTATACCTACACAGATATCGTAAGAAGATTATACCCAAGCCAAGACAATGATATTTAGGGTTTTTTTCTAAGAAAATCACATACAGAGTGAACCCAAATACCCCAATTTTATCTAAGGTGGCTTGACATAAGAATCTGCCCAGTAGAGGAGAATCTATTACGTTTTGAAAACCACATTTGGTCTGAATTAAGAACTTTAGTAATCTTAAGCTTTGAAAAATATTACAAATACCCTAGAGGTAAATTTAAATAAATATAACACCAAATCATAAAATAAAATTTAAAACATAACCAAAATACACACAGACACACATATTGACGTTGATAGTTAACTTGTGTGGAACATAAGGAAGGTGCCATTTAAGAACTAATTTTCAGATAGTGAGGTGTCAGGATAAGAGATTTCCAAAGTCTTTGTTGCTGGCGCAGGACTACTTAGTTCCAGTCATGCCCACAGCTGTCTAGTACTTGCCCAGGAAGCAGGTGCTTTTTATAGGCTCTACAGATGAAATCCATAATCAGGTTTGCTGATTGGTGGTGATTCATTATAATTTCTCATCATGAAAGGAAATCAAACTGAAATCAAAGAACAATGGCTGACAATTCTCTAATAGCTAGTCATCCTCAGAAATCTTTTTGATTGTTATTTTCTCACTTTCTAAAACTTTAAATTTTATAATATTGCAAAGACCATTTAGAATAAACTCTAAAGTCTTTTAACAATACAATCATTTTATTTTTATAGGTAAAACTTCTACTTTATGGCCATTGGCCAGCACTGTCTATAAACTAATCCTGATTAGAACACATCCATTGTATAAAAATGAGATTGTATGTCTTCAAGCGATTTGAAAACTGAATAATATTGCTATGGTTTGACGTTTTAATTGCCCCAAATTTTGTATGTTGAAATCTAAAGCTTGAAAGTGGTGATATTAGCAGGCAGGGCCTTTGGGAGGCAATTAGGTCACGAGGGCAGAGACTTTAAGAATGAGTTCAGTGCCTTTATAAAAGAGGCCCAAGAGACCCCTGGCCTTTTCTTCCACGAGAGGACACAGTGAGAAGTTGTTGCCTATGAACCAGAAAATAGGCCCTCAAGAGACATTGTATCTGCTTATATCTTACTGTTGGACATCCCAGCTGTAGAGTTGTGAGAAATAAATTTCTATTTTTCGTATGTCTTCTAGTCTGTGATATTTAATGATGGCAGCCTACGACAAATAGTATGCAATTATCAAAATTGGTAGAACATACTAGTAGAGCATACAATAGTCTATTTTTGCCATGAGAAGTAGCAATGCCATCTTTGAAATCCTCCATCCTCTAACCTGCTTAGTTGATATAAACACTATCAGATTTATTCTCTCATAATAAATCACATTTGCCTGTTTACATCATTTTTTCCATGATACAGTCCTTGAGGGAATTCATTTTATGTTGCTTGCATTCATGTTCATAGCATTTAACTCCATTTCTGACAGTTGGCTTTCAACAGATACTTGCTATAGGCTTAATAAATTGTGAATTATAAAAGACTTCTGATAAACAGTTTGAGGCTCATATATGTCATTACCACTTTCATTTACAATCAATGATTTTATTTTAGATTGACTCACTTTTTGTGCAGAAATGGAGCCCCTGACAAATGAATTTTCAAAGGACAATATGGAAAAGAACTATTTAAGAAAGTGAACACCACGTAGGATACAAAAGGAGCAACTATAAGCTTCTTAAGAAAACCCTCAAAATGATAACCACTTCAGAAAAAGTGACAGGTGAGGAGAAAGGACATTGCATGTTGAATGCCATCCAAGTCTGAAAGTGCTGGATAGTAGCTTAAGTTGTGTTATGTTCTCCAGAATGACCAATTCTAACAAGGTTTTATATATCCATGTCCTTTTGATTAAAGAATGGTGCTGCTGAGGAAACATCCATTAATGATCGAGTGTTTGCTAGACTTATTGATGTTTGTATTTCTCTTTCTTTAACCTATTAATGTCAGTGCTCCTGCTGCTAATTTATGTTGTTAGTTTGACATGAATGTTGGTGCTATTTCAGTTCTATAGAATATCAATGGTGCTACATCATTGATGTCAGATCTCTTGGCATTTGAACTGATTTTCTTGACAATTTCTTTAGGCCTAGTTTCCTCTATTTGGAAAGATGTCTAGATTAATAGGTATTTGTCTGTGTATTTATCACTCTATCTATCTTTTAACTCATCCTGGCCTTCCAAGTTAGGTGTGATTCAGCCCCTAGTCTGGGCTTAAAATACATAAAGCAGAGACACATGGGCAAGACATTTGTTAATTAAGTCAAGCTTGATATTACCCATTTACCTTCTTTAACCTTGACCTCTGACTGATAGCTGTGTCTTTTGAAAGTGGGAGTTTAATCCTGGTAACGCAGTCTCCTAATGATAAAATAATGGGGTTTTATAATAAAAATCTTTGCTGTTTAGAAGAAAAATCTTTCCTAAGTTACTGATCTCTCTCTAATGAATTTGTCCTTGAACTGATTTTTTTCCTGTTTTTGTGCCTGGCCTTATTTTCAGGTGTCTTCTTTCTCATTAAATCAGTTGGTAAGTTTCCTTTTTTTATGCTGCTTGTCTTCTGAGAGAAGTTATTTTCATTTCTTAAAGACATGGTAACTTCAATGAGGGGGCAATTTGGCCAAGGTCTACTTTAGTTTACTTCATTTAAATAGACAACAATTCTGACATCCCTAATTCTGTTGATATAATTAGACCAGTAAAACTATCTGCGATAAATGCTTAGCAAATAAATAAATAACCAAGCCTTGAGACAATTACAGCAAGCAATACAGTTGTTATTAGAGACTATCCCATGATTGCAAAGATGAATATTACCTTAAAACAAAAATATTGTGTGTATTTTTTTTTTTACAAAATATCATCTGGAATTTTGCCTCTGGCTTTTATAAGTATAGAAATAGTCAAACCAATGTAATGTGTTTCCTTTTCATTAAAGCTGAGCAAAAACCTTTTAAAACAGGTAGGATTTTACTTTGATTTCCACTACCAGGAAGAAAAAATAGTCTAAAATAACATAATAAAGTTCTTGAAATATATTCCTACCAATTTTTTCCTCAAAATAATGCTTTCAGGGAATCCAGAGCTTGTTTAAATTTTACTATTAGCAGTCTTTTAGAGACTGCTTTATCTTCCCTCTAATCTCTCTCCTTTTAAGATGTTGTTCCTTCTTTGTGGTTTTTACCTCACTACTTTACATTGAATTGGCATGTAGTTGGCAATTTTTATACCTAAGAGCATTAAGAAGGGAAGTTAAACATTGAAAGAAATGAGAAAAGATAGTGCAAGGAAACCTGGACATGGTTAGAAACTTAAGAACATAGAGTCACATGCATTAAGGACCTGTGGAGTAATATATTATCATAATATTTCTTTTTTTTTTCTTTTTTTTATTATACTTTAAGTTTTAGGGTACATGTGCACATTGTGCAGGTTAGTTACATATGTGTGGTTGCCCACCTTGCATGTCATCCACTGAAGTCATGATAGATGACTTTACAACTTTTAACTTCTGCATGGTTTTCCTTTGAATAGGTGAAGTTGAGGTAATTTGTAACTGATCCTAATGTAATTCTTAGATGCAGTAGATACAACATATAACATTTATCAGAAGGCACAGTTAAGATTGTGTTTTTGGGTGAAGGATGGATGCTATAAAGTATAAGGATTTTATTTCCGAGAGGATGAAAGAGAATGAAGGAAAGAAAAAAATATATAAAAGGAAACTGAGGACAGTGAGTGGTGATGAACTGGTCGGGTAAGAAAACTGAGAATGTCAAGAAAATCAAACAGATTTTGGAGAAGAAACATAAACGTAGTTTTTGAAGTTGTACACTACTCATCAAGAGATGTTTATATCATGAATATGTTTACCCATTTACGTTCCTCCCAGGGGTACTTATGGGTAAGGGCAAATCAAACTAGAATTCATCTCTATCCACAGTCATGTGGTGTTTAAAAAAAATGGAAAACATGAGAATAGGTTAGTCATTGTGAGAATGGACTTTAAAATTTTTTTTTTCTTTATTATACTTTAAGTTCTTGGATACATGTGCAGGTTGGTTACATAGGTATACATGTGCCACAGTGGTTTGCTGAACCCATCAACCCATCATCTACATTAGGTATTTCTCCTAATGTTATCCCTCCCCTTGCCCCCAACCCCAGAAAGGCCCCAGTGTGTGATGTTCCCCTCCCTGTGACCATATGTTCTCAATGTTCAACTCCCACTTATGAGTGAGAACATGTGGTATTTGGTTTTCTGTTCCTGTGTTAGTTTGCTTAGAATGGTGGTTTCAAGCTTCATCCATGTACCTGCAAAGGACAAGAACTCATTATTTTTTATGGCTCCCTAGTATTCCATGGTGTATATGTACCACATTTTCTTTATCCAGTCTAACATTGATGGGCATTTGGGTTGGTTCCAAGTCTTTGCTATTGTGAACAGTGCTGCAATAAACATATGTGGGCATGTGTCTTTATAGTAGAATGATTTATAATCCTTTGGTTATATACCCAGTAATGGGATTGCTGGGTCAAATGGTATTTCTAGTTCTAGATCCTTGAGGAATCACCACATTGTCTTCCACAATGGTTGAACTAATTTACACTCCAACCAACAGTGTAAAATTATTTCCATTTCTCCACATCCTCTCCAGCACCTCTTGTTTCCTGACTTTTTAAAGATCTCCATTTTAACTGGTGTGAGATGGTATCTCATAGTGGTTTTGATTTGCATTTCTCTAACGACCAGTGATGATGAGCTTTTTTTCATATGTTCATTGGCAGCATAAATGTCTTCTTTTGAAAAGTGTCTGTTCATATCCTTTGCCCACTTTTTGATGGGGTTGTTTGTTTTTTTCTTGTAAAGTTATTTAAGTTCCTTGTAGATTCTGGATAGTACAAGGGATGTGAAGGACCTCTTCAGGGAGAACTACAAACCACTGCTTAAGGAAATAAGAGAGGACACAAACAAATGGAAAAACATTCCATGTTCATGGATAGGAAGATCAATATCATGAAATGGCCACACTGCCCAAAGTAACTTATAGATTCAATGCTATCCCCATCAAGCTACCACTGAAATAGAAAATACTATTTTAAATTTTATGTGGAACCAAAAATTAGCCCGTATAGCCAAGAGAAATCCTAAGCAAAAAGAACAAAGCTGGAGGCATCACACTACCTGACTTCAAACTGTACTATAAGGCTACAGTAACCAAAACAGCATGGTACTGGTACCAATACAGATAAATACACCAATGGAGGTGAACAGAGGCCTTAGAAATAATGCCACACATCTACAACCATCTGATCTTTGACAAACCTGACAAAAACAAGCCATGGGGAAAGTATTCCCTATTTAATAAATGGTGTTGAGAAAACTCACTAGCCATATGCGAAAAACTAAAACTGGACCCCTTCCTTACGCTTCACACAAAAATTACCTAAAAACAAAAATTACTTTACACCTAAAAACAAAAATTCACTCAAGGTGGATTAAATATTTATATATAAGACCTAAAACCATAAAAACCCTAAAAGAAAACCTAGGCACTACAATTCAGGACATAGGCATAGGCAAAGACTTCATGACTAAAACACCAAAAGCACCTGCAACAAAAGCCAATATTGACAAACGGAATCTAATTAAAGAGCTTCTGCCTAACAAACAATAACAACAACAACAAAACTCTCATCAGAGTGAACAGGCAACCTCCAAAATGGGAAAGAATGGGCTTGTTATAAAAACAAATTCAGTGCCCTGTTGTTCTCCTGATTCCTTGTACTCTCTTGCCCTTCTGCATTTCTGGCCTCTTAACCTTGAACTTCCCAGTCTTCAGAACTGTAAGAAATAAATTTATTTTCTTTATAAATTACCTAATATGTGGTGATCTGTTATAGCACTACAAAATGAATAAAAATACAGTAGGTATTTTGGCCAAATACTTAAAGCCACTTTTGCTAAGTATCTAATCAACAGTAAAGTTAACTTTTAAAAAATATACTATTTTGTCTGTATATTGTTCCCTGACTTGAGGTAGTGAGTAAAAAGTAAGAATGTAATTTATTAATCTGTTTTTAAAAATTAAAATAAAGTCTCTTTCTAAGTGTTTTTGACATATTTATCATCACAGTAGCTGTGTCGTTTTGGTATTTAAAACAATTGTGTTAGAGATGCAGCTAGTGAGACTAAAGAAAGATGGAATTACACAGTGAGAAATGAATAAAGTTAAAGAAGTGGAGGTAGTAAGCTTAGACTTTTTAACCATAAACTTTGCTCATGCAAAGAAGCAGATATTACTTTAAAGTTCAGAAATTTGTGCATCAATGAATCAGCCAAAGTAAATGGTTAAAGTAAAATTCATTATAAAATATGGAGATAAGTTACTCAATTTACTTATTTATTTATTTATTTGAGATGGACTCTCACTCTGTCTCCCAGGCCGGAGTGCAGTGGCGTGATCTCTGCTGGCTGCAAGCTCCACCACCCGGGTTCACGTATTTCTCCTACCTCAGCCTTCCGGGTAGCTGGGACTACAGGCGCGTGCCACCATGCCCGGCTAATTTTGTTTTTGTATTTTTAGTAAAGACGGAGTTTCACCGTATTAGCCAGGCTGGTCTTGACCTTCTGACCTCGTGATCCGCCTGCCGCAGCGTCCCAAAGTGCCGTGATTACAGGCGTGAGCCACTGCACCCGGCCGTTACTCAAAAATTTTTAACAGGAAGTAAAGAAGTTTTAAAATGTCAATCTAAATGACCAGAGATTCTCCAAAGATAGTGAGTTTATGCGATAGCATCCAGGGTATTTGCAAATGTGGGAGATGCAAGCAATTGGGGCCATAGGCATCTCCAAAGAGTTGTTTTGAGACAAAAGAGGACATTGATTAAAGCAGCTTATCACAGGAGTTGTTGCTAGTCTATTAGTGGAGACAGTAAGTCAGGCAAGTGTTCTTGTGCATCTGGCTAGTTGTCCTCGTGACTCACGTAGCAAGCTGCAGTTTGGAAAGTCCTTAGCAAAAGTTTTTAGTACAGGTGTATATGCGCAAAAACCCTTTAGAAAGTCTTGGTAGGCGCGGTGGCTCACGCCTGTAATCCCAGCACTTTGGGAGGCCGAAGCGGGCGGATCACCAGGTCAGGAGATCAAGACCATCCTGGCTAACATGGTGAAACCCCGTCTCTACTAAAAATACAAAAAATTAGCCGGGCGTAGTGGCAGGAGCCTGTAGTCACAGCTACTCGGGAGGCTGAGGCAGGAGAATGGGAGAATGGCGTGAACCCGGGAGGCGGAGCTTGCAGTGAGCCGAGATCGCGCCACTGCACTCCAGCCTGGGCGACAGCGAGACTCCGTCTCAAAAAAAAAAAAAAAAAGAAAAAAAAAAGAAAGAAAGTGTTGGTAATAATTGGCCGGGCGCGGTGGCTCACGGCTGTAATCCCAGCACTTTGGAAGGCCGAGGCGGGCAGATCACGAGGTCAGGAGATCGAGACCATCCTGGCTAACACGGTGAAACCCGTCTCCACTAAAAATACAAAAAATTAGCCGGGCGTGGTGGCGGGCGCTTGTAGTCCCAGCTACAAGCGCCCCAGAGCGAGACTCTGTTGCAAAAAAAAAAAAAAAAAAAATAGTTTTTATCATAGGATATGTGCACGAGGGCTTTCCATTCTTAAATTCCTGGCTTTATTTATCAATTTTTTATTTTTGTTTCGAGCTTCATACAAATTACTTCATTTTGATTCTGACAACTTTTGCAATCTTAATTTTGGGAATTAATAGTAATCTAATTTTAAATGTTTCTTAATATTAACAAGTTTAGAAAAATTTTAAAATTATTTCTGGTACTCTGAAGAAAAACAATGCCACACAATTAATGCTGTTTACAGGTTGATTTGAACTAAAAGCTTCCCAACTAAATAAATTTTTTACTAGAGGTTTTTTTTCTTGTGGCATTTCTTCTACTTAAGTTTATATTCTGCAATAGTGAATTAAATTAGCACTTCCTTTATTATGGTAATCTAATAGTGTGTCATGCAATGGTGCAGGTCCTTGAACAACACTCAGTAGGAGAAGTAATTAACTGCTGAAATGTCAACGTGTGTAGAATCTAGGCAGGGACATACTGGCTTGACCTAGAAACAGCAGGACGAGAATTAGTTCGCTCCAATCCCAGCAAGCAGGAGTGAATCTGGCAGTGTAAGAGAAAGAGGTGCAAAAGGACACTTAGACATTCAGACATAATTTTGTGAATTTCCTATCTTGTCATGCTTGTGGTAACCCCATCTAAAGAATGTTCTTTACTGATTCTGGAAATATTTATCCGCATCAGTGTTATTGTTTTTATTTAAATTAAAATTTATTCTAAACTTTCCAGCTTTGTTGATGTCTAAGTGGCAAATAAAAATTGTATATATTTATTGTGTACGACCACAATTTGTTGGGAGTTTTTATCATGAAAGCATGTCAAATTTTGTCAAATAATTTTCTGCATTTATGAAGAGAATTGTATAAATTTTGCTCTTCATTCTGTTAATGTGGCGTATAACATTGATTGATATGTGTCTGTGGAAGCAATCTTGTATCTCAGGGATAAATTCTATTTGATCATGGTGTATCATCATATTAAATTGCTGGTGAATTTGGTTTGCTAGTATTTTGTTGAGAATTTGTGAATCTGTATTCTTCAAGGATATTGTCCTGTAATTTTTTCGTTTTTTTTTTTTTAGTAGTGTCCTGGTCTGCCTTTGGTATTATGGTGATATTATTCTCATAAAATGATTTAAGAAGTATTGTCTCTTCTTCAATTTTTTGGAAGAGTTTAAAAAATGATTGGCATTAATATTTTAATAAAATGTTTGGTAGGACACAGAAGTGTAGCTATCAGGTCCTGGGCTTTTATTGATGTGATTCTTTTAGTTACTGTTTTACTATTTAATCATTACGGGTCTGTTCAAATTTTCTATTTCTTCATGATTCCGTCTTGGTAGGTTGTATTTTTTTAGAAATTTATCTATCTCTTCTAGGTTATCCAATTTCTTGGTGTATGATTGTTCATAGTAGTCTCTATTGGTCCTTTGCATTTATCAGTTATAGTGTCCCCTCTTGCATTTGTAATTTTATTTATATGACTTTTCTCTCTTTTTATAATCTGGTTAAATGTAAATTAATTATTATTTTCAAAAGGAATCTCAATTGTATTGCTTTTTTATGTATTTTTACCTCTATTTCATTCATTTATGCTCTTGTCTTCATAATTGACTTCCTTCTACTAACTTTGGGCTTAGTTTGTTCTTATTTTCTAGTTCTTTGGGTGTAAAATTAAGTTTTTTATTTGAGGTTCTTTTTTTTCTTTATGTAGGCATTTATCACTATAATCTCTTCTAGAGCTGCTTTTGTTGCATCCCATAAGTTTTGGTATATTTTAAATTTTAATTTGTCTCAAGTTTTTTTATTTACATTTTCATTCATTTTGTGCATTGATTATTTAGGAGGGTGTTATCATTGATTAGTGAATTTTCCAATTTCTTTTTTTTATCAATTTCTAGTGTAATATCATTGTGGTCAGAAAAGGCACTTAAAATATTTTCAACCTTTTGAATTTCGTTTTTGTGGCCTGACATATGATTTGTCTTGAAGAATGTGTGTGTTTGAGAGGAATGTCTGTTCTGCTATTGGTTGGCATGTCTGTTAGGATCATTTAATCTACAGTGTCATTGAAGTCTGTTAATTCATTATTGATTTTCTGTCTGGATGATCTGTTGATTGTTGAAAGTGGAGTATCGAAGTACCCTACCATTATTGTATTGCTATCTATTTCTCCCTTCAGTTCTGTTAATATTTGCTTTATACATGTAGGTGCCCTTATGTTGGCTGTGTATATGTTTACAATTGTCATATTCTCCTGATAAATTGACTCCTTTCTCATTATATAATGATGCTCAATGTCTTGAGACAGTGTTAGACTTAAAGTTTATTTTGTGTGCTGTAAGAATAGCACCTTGGTCTCTCTTGGTTTCCATTTTCATGAAAAAAAATTTTTTTTATTCTTCTACTTTCAGCTTATTTGTGTTCTGAAAGCTGAAGTAAGTCTTCTCTAGGCAGTATATAGTTGATTCTCATTTTATTTGGTTTGTTTCTTTCTTATCTATTCAGAGATTCTTTATCTTTTGATTAGATAATTTAATACATTTACATTTAAAGTAATTATTTATAAAAAAGAACTTATTCCCACTTTTTTTTTTTTTTTTTTTACTGTTTTGTAGTTGCTTTCTCTCTCCCTGGATTTCTTTATTATTTGATGAATTTTTGTAGTGACATGCTTCGAATACTTTCCTTATATATTTGTATATCTATTACAAGTCTGTTCTTTGTGGTTATAATGTTGCTTACATAAATTATCTTATAGTTATAATGGTCTGTTTTAAAGATATAATAGTTTCAGTTTTACTGCATAAAAAAACTCTATACTTTAACTTTTTCTCCCCTATATTTTTTTGTTTTGAACTAACAGCTTATATATTTTGTTATTGTGTATTCATTTAAGAATACTTGTGTCTGTACTCATTGTTAAAGCTTTCGTCTTTTTTACCTTTTCTACTACAGTTAAAAGTTTATATTCATATACCACTGTTATAGTATTAAAGTACTCTGAATTTTATTGTATTATTTATATAATAAAAATATGAACTAAAATTTTATAGTGTGTTTGAGAATTTCAAATGTTTTTATCATTAGTTAGGATCCTTTTATTTCAACTTGAAAAATTTCCTTAAGCATCTTGTAAGGCTGATCTAGTGGTCATAAACTTCCTCGGTTTTTATTTCGGTAACATTTTTATCTTACTTTCATTTCTGAAAGAAAAATTTTCTCAGCATAATATTTTTGGTTGGCAGTTTTTTTTTTTTTCTTTCTGGACTTTGAGTATATTATTTCACTATCTCCTGGCTTGCAAGGTTTCTGAAAAACCCTTTGATAATCTTATGGTAGTTTCCTTGTATGTAATGAGTCACTTTTCTCTTACTGTTTTCAAAGTTCTCTCTTTGTCTTTGACTTACGAATATTTGATAATAATGTGTCTGGATAAAGATTTCTTTATTTTTTTCTTTTTTTATTACACTTTAAGTTTTGGGGTACATGTGCACAACGTGCAGGTTAGTTACATATGTATACATGTGCCATGTTGGTGTGCTGCACGCAGTAACTCGTC
Source organism: Homo sapiens (assembly GCF_000001405.40). NCBI lineage: Eukaryota > Metazoa > Chordata > Mammalia > Primates > Hominidae > Homo > Homo sapiens. The sequence continues at coordinate 32,628,919 of NC_000004.12, read as the reverse complement.
ATTTACCATTAGGTATATCTCCAAATGCTATCCCTCCTCCCTCTCCCCACCCCACAACCACAATGAGATACCATCTCACACCAGTTAGAATGGCAATCATTAAAAAGTCAGGAAACAACAGGTGCTGGAGAGGATGTGGAGAAATAGGAACACTTTTACACTGTTGGTGGGACTGTAAACTACTTCAACCATTGTGGAAGTCAGTGTGGCGATTCCTCAGGGATCTAGAACTAGAAATACCATTTGACCCAGCAATCCCATTACTTGGTATATACCCAAAAGATTATAAATCATGCTGCTATAAAGACACATGACCATGTATGTTTACTGCGGCACTATTCACAATAACAAAGACTTGGAACCAACCCAAATGTTCAACAATGATAGACTGGATTAAGAAAATGTGGCACATATACACCATGGAATACTATGCAGCCATGAAAAATGATGAGTTCATGTCCTTTGTAGGGACATGGATGAAGCTGGAAACCATCATTCTCAGCAAACTATTGCAAGGACAAAAAATCAAACACTGCATGTTCTCACTCATAGGTGGGAATTGAACAATGAGAACACATGGACACAGGAAGGGGAAGATTTCTTTATTTTTAATCTATTTGGTGTTCTTTGGCTTCATGGATCAGGATGTTTATTTCTTTGAAAATTTTCCTGTCATTATTTTTTAAAATAAACTCTTTTCCACTTTTCCTCTGCTCCTTCAGGGGTTTGCATATATGTATGTTGATTTGCTTGATGGTGTCCCATAAACTCCACAGGCTTTATTTACTCTTTATTCTTTTTACTTTTTTGTTTTTCTAACAGGAAAATTTCAAATGACTTATTTTCTAACTTGCTGATTCTTTCTTCTGCCTGACAGAGATCTTTATTGAAGTTCCCTAAGGAATTTTTCAGTTCAGTCATTGTGTTCCTCAGCTCCAAAATATTATGTTTGGTTCTTTATTGTGGTTTCTACATTTTTGTTGAACTTATAATATCCTTCAGGCATTACTTTCCTGATATTGTTTTGTTGTCTGTCTGCGCACTCTTGCGGCTCACTGAGGTTCTTTAAGACAATTGCTGGGCTTGATGCTGCAGTCCTTGAACGAGCTGGACTCATACCTTGCTTAGTGGCCGTGTGGGCGTAGTATTTGGGTCTTTCCTGAATCTGCAGAGACAAGCCTGGAAACGTGGTCCACTAGGGTGGGTCAGAATCTTAGGTATACAAAGCTCAGTCTGGTGCCAGGGTCCAACGGGGTGGGCCAAGAAAGTGGATTTGTAGGGATATACTTGAAGCCCAGGGCTATGAAGCCAGCTGGGCCCTCAAAGGTGTCTCAAGCCTGCTGCGACAGTGCTTAAGATGGAGCCTGGGGCCATAGGGGCCAGCCTATCACCAAGGTTCACGGAAGCAGATCTGATGCTGGGGTCTGCAGAGCAGTCCAGTGCTCCCTTCACTCTCTTTCCCTCATGCAAAGATGATCTCTCTCTGCATTGCATTGTTACACTTTGGAGAAGGGTGACACAGGTAATGTGAAACTTTTTTTACCCTCTTAAATATCTTTTTTCTTATCTCTATCCTCCACTTAAGTGCAGTAATCTCTCACCTGTGTTTCTTAGTTCTTTTGAAGGTATTATTGGGTACAGATGGTTGTTTAAATTGATGCTTCCTTGAGGGGATGAGCACAGGAGCCTGCTATTCCAGCATTTTTCTGATGTCACTCTCCAGGAGCTTTCAGTGCTATTGTTAAAATGTCTAGCCAACTGAGAAAATTGTCAGCTTCTGTATTTAGTTATTAAGTGAAATAACATTATAGTTGTCATTTATCAGGGAAATAAATGGTCAAAGTTTGTTTGTTTTTTTAATTTAGAATGTGACAAGAAAGGAGTCTGAACATATTTATTTGTGGTGCTTTTATAATACTTTAAAAGATTCAGATTGTTTCATATGATCAGAAAGAAATACTAATTTCAATCAATTGCTCAAATGCCACTAGCCTATGGTGACCAATGGTTGAAGTCAAGTAGTAAAGAATGTATCTGACTGAATGTATTTGACTACACCTGTACTTCCTGTTAAGAGGATAGGTGATAAAACATTTTTATAGTATAGTGAATTTGGGGTATTTTATTTGCAAGGTTTTTTTTTTAATCATGTGGATACTCTAACAGGATAAAATAATCCAAATCAAGGAGCAAAATTTTGATCTCAGGATATCAAAAACAACAACAACACATTAGGGTCTAGTAATTTCCTGAGTGAATAAAAATCCAATTTTGCAGTTGTTTTTGAAATAAGAGGCATAGGAAGACACTATAGAAAGCAAGGTCAAGTGCAAATGATTGTGACATGTCCAGCTCCATTATATCATCAGTATATTATGAGTTAAGAAGTGCACTTGGTGAACAAGAAGCAGCCCTTTTCTTTGATACTCTCTATATTTCAATGTAAATGAGACATCTCATTTACTCTTTTACTTGACAAGTCTTTCTCTCCTTTTCTGAGTAAAGTAATGTGAGGCATGATCTAAAGAGGACATCAGTATAACTTTACAGCTGTGTGAGCTCAGGGTATTAATCAATGCAGAGGCACAGAGAAAAGAACATGTGTTTAATAGCTTTGATTTTTTCTTTTCATTTTCAAAGGCATTATGTTTCTTAAGTATGAAAGGAAAGGCATTGAGATACACAATTGTGATATCCTAACATGAATAGCTTTTATTCTGGTTCTTTAACACATGTGCTGCTCCTCTCCTCCCTTCTTATTTGCTTATGCAACCGGATGAAAATGTACTTTTCAACATTTTTTATAATGACTTTTGGAAATGGGTGGGAAAGGTAATTTATGTCTGATATGGAGTCAGAAATAGGTAATGATTACTATTCAGGGTCAAGCCCGCTCATTTCCATCCTTTAAAAAGACAAGCTACATATGTAGCCAACGTAATAATAGTCTGCAGAAAATTGCATGCTCATCTATGTCACTCAAACAGAAAGGTAAGGAGAAATTTCAGTGAATTCCTGGTGTAATAAGTACTTCTTCCCCCAGCCCCTCCCCTTCCTCCACATGGATAAGACAAGACACAATGTTGTTAAAGCAGCAATTATCACCAGTTCCTCAGCAATTTGTATGTGATGGATGTCAACTTCCAGGAGCAGAGATGTGTGCTGCAGCAAAACAATTTTCAGTGCTTGCAGCCGTTGGTAACTACTATGCAAACCTATTTTGCAGAAGATATACAAATAGCATTACTGTCATAGTCAGCTACCTATCAATAGCCATCACCCTCTTCTTTTCCAAGAGTATCCTCCTCTCCTCACTGGGTTCAATGTTATAAATAATAACGTTCTTAGTTTTTCTTAGAACTACGGATGGCCATTTCATTCGGTTTTAGTCAATGATATCCAGGGAAAAAGCTATGGTAAGAGTTCTTGGGAAAGTTTGTTCTTCATAAAAGGAGCAGATGAAAATGTGGCAACTTACATCATTTCCCCCTCCCTTTTGCTAAGAATGGGTGTGTAATGCCTGGAAGTTCAGCAGCCAACTCGTGATTATGGAGTGACAAATATAAAATGGAATTCAACCCTCTAAGGATAATAAGATCACTTAACTTTCGTTGAAAACTAATATGTTTGTGTAATAAACAATTTGACTCCAATTTTGATATTTGACTACTGAGAGCTTTCAAGTCCCTCCATTACTTCTCCCTTTTCAACCTGCATCTGAGAAATCTGATAAAAAATCCCAAGTGCTGACTACTTTGGCACCAAAGAGCAGTTCAAAGTACACAAGCCGTATTCTCTCTATGCTTGGGGAACTCTTATCCAAGCTTGAGCCCCTAATCCACAAAAAGAGACAATGCAGTCTCGTAACTTCTTCTCCCAAGCCATTTTCAGATGTGCTTAGTAGCTTGCTCTGCTGCACCTAGAAAGCCTCATAAACACTTTTTCATACCCTCTTTGTGTATGTGTGGTGTCATCAGATTAATATCTTATTCAAATTTTGAGTAGAGTACCCATTTTGTTCCTGTGGGGAGACTTCAATCATTGACATTATGAACAGAATACCTGGGTAAGATCACCACTACTGAGGGTCTTTCTTCTTTTGCTCTAGCTTACTAATTTACTCTGCTGCCTGTTGGCCAGCTTGCTCTTTGAGCTGTGTTGCTGTCTGCTGGTGAACTTGAGCTGTGAGTTGTTGTCTGCTGGAAATCTTGCTCTTGCTGTTTTGTGCTACATTTGCTGGATTTTACTGAGCTTCTGTTATAGATTTGACTATATCAGAATTTTAAATAAGTGATGTTTAGGAGCAGAATATGTGTTTGAGATCCACTTTAAAGTGGCTTTTGTCCTATGTCTCTGCCTGAACATATCCATGTATCTCAGGTTGAATTGTTTGTCTTAATTCCAGCAAAACCAAGGATAGATTCTAGGCTCAGGAAAACAATTCTCCCCCTATGGTCATGGGTTCTGTGTCTCAACCAGGTGTTGGCTCCCAATGTATACAGTAATAAGGGGAAGTCTAATATCTTGTGTGATATAAAGCCACATTGGGTGGTCTCATGTGAAGTAAGACTACATCATGTGGCCTGTTAAGATCCATCCTCCTAAAACCAGGTGGCTCACTCGGATCTTACAAAATAACTTTGCTGCACTTTCCCCTATACCTCTGTTACCAAATGATCCTGACCTACAGGGCTTTAGGGAGAAGTAATTAATGCACTCCAGTGTATAACCAAGACGTTAATTTAAACCCAACATAAGCCTGGGATATTTAAACTCTATAAAGAAACCATTGTCATGAAGCAGGTCCCAAATCCTGATGACACTGATTTGAGATACTCTAAAGAGAGAAACTTATAGATATGATTACGGAGGAGAAACCACTCAAAGAATATACAGACACCAATGAAGCAAAGAAAAACCAAACACTTGGATACAGGAGGAGGAAACAAAACATAAAACAAAGATCCGCAATTCAAATATTTGCTAAAAGAATTTATGAAAAAAATAAGTGGGTGCTGATTGACTTTGCAGGTTTAAAATTAACTTTAACATCTGCTGAAGTGTAGCAATTGGCAAACTTTCAGAGACTTAGTTGACACTAAGTCTCAAATTAGAGTTAAACTTGAGTATTCCACTAAATTTAAACTAGGTATCTGCTATGCTCTTAGAAGAGTTAGTAAACATACAAGAGAGGACAAAATTATATATGATTTACAACTTAACCATCAGAACAATTGCTGATATCACTTGGCAGTGTCCCCACCCAAGTCTCAACTTGAATTGTAGCTCCCATAATTCCCACACATTGTGGTAGGGATCCAGTGGGAGATAATTGAATCATGGGGGCAGTTTCCCCCGGAATCTTCTCATGGTAGTGAATAAATCTCATGAGACCTGATGGTTCTATAAGAGATTTCCCCTTTTGCTTAGCTGTCACTCTCTATTGCCTGCCACCATGTAAGATGTGTCTTTTGCCTTCCATCATGACTTTCAGGCCTCCTCAGCCACGTGGAACTGTGAGTCCATTGAACTTTTTCTTTATAAATTACCCAGTCTTGGGTATGTCTTGACTGGCAGCATGAGAATAGACTAATACAATTGCCTTGCCTAAATTCTCCATAGCCATAGAGCCTATTTCCCTATAATATCCTATAATAGGCATAAATAGCCCAAAGATTAATAATTTGAAATTAAATTACACTTCTGGCACTTATAACTAGCTTGACAGAAAGTACACCCATGGCCTCTCACCCCTGATTAGATGGTAAATACAGCTCAATATAAGTTAAAAAAAATGTCTCCAAGGATTCAAACTCATTATACAAGATCTGTGCAGAGAAGAGGTAATTTTGCACACTGCTTTTCCGTCTGCCAATCAAATTTGGCTTGTTCTTCAACATGGACAGAAAGACTTTGTTTCATAATGCATTGCCACAACCTTAATGCTGTACCCCTCCCATTAAGGCCCTCGTGCCCAATATTATTTAAATTACTGACTCTATCCAATCAGCCAGTGATACTTTGCAGTTATGGACTTGGCTAATATATTCTGTTCAGTGTCTGTTTCTGTTCAGCCCCTCAGCTGTCCTTTTCCTTCAACTTCTAAAAGACTCAATACACCTTTACCCTGCTACCCGTGGTGGGTTATCTCAATTCCTGCCATCACACATAATCTTTGCACCAAGATCTTAATTACATTCAATTTGTTCCTAGAGCACAGGTATGACTTTACATTGATTACATCCTCCTCCAAGGAGATTCATCTGATACACTTATTAAGAATATACAGATACTTACAAATGAGTTTAAATAAAGGGGATTGGCCATTGTCACATACATACTACAAACAATAAATGGCCTTGCTACTTCAGTTTAATTCTTGAAAATTGTTTGCTCAACCAAGGGTCACTGCATCTGTGACACTGTCAACAAACAGCTATTGATCCTGTCAGTACCCACAACATTAAAGAAAAAACAACACCTTTTAGGCCTTTTTGGGTTCTGGAAGTAGCACATTCCTTGTTTACAAATTTTACTTAAACCTATAATGCTGTTACTCAAAAATCAGCCCATCTTCAATGGGGACCCCAATGACAAAAGTCTATAATCTGAACAAATTGCAATACAATAAATACTCCCCACTAATGCCTCCAGATATTCCTTAGGAGTAGAGGCTTTAGCAACCTCGTATTATTTCCCCTACAGTTTTTCAGTCATTCATGATGGTGATAGATGCCCATGAACTTCTGGTACAAGAAACTGTCTTGCTGAGCTCTACACTACATGCCATTATATTGATTGCTGGCCAAACACTGGACTCTTCTGGAACTAGAGGCTCTCATGGGTACTATCCATGACCCTTGGTACACAACTTTTCGTTATGCCTCGGGCCATGAAGGCAGCATCCTCATCCACAGCCGCTAAGACCTCCTTGTTAAAATGGAAATGATACTTACAAAATAGAGCCACACCTGAACCCTTTGGCCTAACACATCTGCAGGAGAATATGGCCTGCCCATTCCTTAGTCTCTTGCCAGATGCCATAATACTGAAGGATGTCACCCTCTCCTGGACATACCAAATACCTAGTGAGCTTCTTGGAATCAACTGAGTGAACAGAAAAATAAGTGTTAATAATTTTTGGACAATATTTCAATAATCACATGTGATGGGGCTTCCTGAAGAGTTAGCAATTTTCATCTCTTAACTAGAGCATGATTCCAGTGTGAACAAATGACTAACAATGTGTGTAGTAGTCATTTTAACACTGGATACCATGGCCAACAATCCACACATTTTTAGGCTTTTAGGATATTGCCAATGGTCTGGCCATCTGATCTATCCAACAGTAGCAACAATGATTACTTATCCAAGGTTGGCCCCTTTGGTAGAAAGAACTTCTGGAAATCACTTACCTCATATTTATCCCAAATATAATTCAAAGTCACTCACATCCCAATACATACTAAATACACAAGCAAAGCCTCACCAAGATGGGGCATTGATATTGACTAAGACACACATTTCACTTAAAAAATATACAATGCTAGTCTTAAGACACTCAAGGGAATTTACTTCTTTTAGTGGACTCATACTACTTGTCTCAAAGAGTGCTACAGTGGCTTAATGAAATGAGATAAAAATTCAATTAAATAAAACATGACACATTTCCGTTTTCTGTCAAACATAAAGAGTGAATTGCATTAAAAACTCCAACTTTTGGGAGGCCAAGGAGGGCGGATCACCTGAAGTCAGGAGTTCGAGACCACCCTGGCCAACATGGTGAAACCCCGTCTCTGCTAAACATACAAAAATTAGCCGGGCATGTTGGCAGGCGCCTGTAATCCCAGCTACTAGGTGGGCTGAGGCAAGAGAATCACTTGAACCTGGGAGGCGGAGGTTGCAGTGAGCCAAAATCACGCCATTGCACTCCAGCCTGGGGGACAAGAGTGAAACTTTGTCTCAAAAAAGAAAAAAAAACCCTCCAAATTTACTTTCTATGTTTGCAAGCTGAGGGCTTGCGAGCTCTACCACTTGCCCCTTCCCTTCTACCCCACATCTTGGGCAAGTTGATAAGAAAAGCAAGTGTTCCCTTTTTGGGGGGCTGGTAGGAAATGTAAACTATGCACACATAGGCTATGTGTGCATAGGCTATGTAAACCATAGCCTACGCGTGGGTAGAAACACTTAACCAAGTTATACCTCCTAACCACAGCAAAGTCTAAGCCATCTCTTTTTCCTGCTCCATCAATACCTTATTTGTCCTGTTGTGGAGTCCACCCTATTTTCCCCAGAAAGCAACATTTTGTGAGTAATAAGCACTTCTTACTTTTTAGTGCATGTGTACCATCATCAGCCTTGGCACCTGAAATAAATTGGAGCAGTGGTGTCCTTTCTACTTCTGTAGGTGTCTGCAACAGGTTGATTGTATTCTGATTCTCATAGAAGTCCTATGAGTTACGTACTGTTATTATATCTATTACCGACAGGAAGAACATAAAGAAAAAAGATTAAGTAAGTTGTCCAAGGTTGTGTGGCAATTTTGTGATCAAGATGGGAAGTAAACCAAGAGGTCTGACCCTAGAGCTGTGCACTCAAGCTCTAACTAACTGCTTCTCAAAGTTATACCTGAGTGGAAAGACAGAAAGCCAGCTGCCTAGTATATCTATTTTAATATTTATCTGTTTTTTAATAGCAGGACTCTCTTTAGTTTGCCTAAGCAAAACAAATGAATGACAAGAAGTTCTGGTGCTGTGAAGGCAGGGAACATTATTAAAATAACACTGAACTATTGTGGGGCATACAAGGAGGAGAATTACAAACTAAGCAGTAGATGTTAGATTGTCTTTCAGGAATACTGTCATTAACATAACTCAGCTCCCAAATCCTGGATCCATAATTATAACCACTAGGAAGGCACTTTTATAGGATCAGTTTGAATCAGAAATCCTGGACTTAGTCAATCAACTGTGAGCTGTGGTCACATTGTCCCACCATGGCAGTTGTGATTATACACATGTGGATGGTGGATGTGTGGATAGTTTGGGGATGGTGGAACTAAGAAATGTAGTTTCTTAAAGATGTTTACAGGGTAAATTAAACAGTAAGTATGCTCTGAATATAACTCATGAGCCTTTAATATCTAATTGTTGTTATGAAAGAATTACAAAGAAGTGACATCAAGAACTAATTTACTTTTTCCAGATTTCCCAGTAGTAAGGCTTTAGACATAATAAATAACATGTGTAGAGCCCTTACATAATAAATTTAATTTGATCCATTAATTAAGCTAGTATTACCTAATTAACAAGTGAAGAAATTGAAACTCCCAAAGAGCAAACAATTGTGTTAGGGGTCTCCAGAGAAATAGAACCAACAGAATGTGTATGTGTGTGTGTGTGAGTGTGTGTGTGTATTATACATACACAAACATATTCATAGCAAAACTAGGAGGAAATACTCATTAAAACTACAGTCTTTATTTCCCTAACTGGTCAAGAGCTTATGACTGATATATATATAACTCTCTTCTTTCACCACCCAGTATATTACCTTTGCCTTCAGCAAGCACCTCAGCTGGTCATTATTCTTCACCCTCTTGGATGACCCAAACCTTTATTCCTGAGGAGTCTGCGCCATTAGTAATCCTGCCTTGATTGGGTTGTTGTAGTTTTTTTATGTACCTTAATCATAAGGCACAGTAATACTACGAGCAGCCCTAAGGCTCTTATGTATGCTAGATATTTTTTTCTTACCTCTATAGCACAGAAGTCATCTAATTTCCCCTCTGTAGTCAGAACCAATCACCCCAGCAGACACTGTAACTCCCTTCTGAGCCTGTTAACTCAGAGGTAGGGGGAGCCCAAAGTGGCTGGGTGGTAGACCTAACTTCCAGTTCAATGAAATTGTCGTTGTGTCCCTGGTGGAAGCATTCATTCCTCTGAAACTAAAACCTCTAGGTCAGCAAAGCACTTAAGGTTACTATTTAGGTCACTGCTGCATCACTAGGAGTAACAGTAAATGGTGCTGATCCCACTACCAGCACTTTTTTTTTTTTTTTCAGGTGGAGTTTCACTCTTGTTGCCCAGGCTGGAGTGCAATGGTGCAACCTCGGCTCTCTGCAACCTCCACCTCCTGGGTTCAAGCGATTCTCCTGCCTCAGCCTCTGTAGTAGCTGGGATTACAGGCACCCACCACCATGACCAGCTAGTTTTTTGTATTTTTAGTAGAGACAGGGTTTCACCATGTTGGCCAGAATGGTCTCGAACTCATGACAACAGGTGATCCACCTGCTTTGCCTCACAAAGTACTGGGATTACAGTCATGAGCCACCAAGCCCAGCCTCCATTTCCAGTCCTTGATACTTAGACCTGTAAGTCCTTGCCATCAGGGGACTAGCATCATATAATGAATGCTGATTCCTAGCACATACAACATATTGGAAATCCTTGCCCAGCCCTGCAAGGTATTGCTACCTAGTTGGTGCTGTATCTGAGTCTTCAAAAGTCCATTCTACTGTTTTATCTAGCCAGCTGCTTCAGGATGGTGGGGAACATGGTAAGACTAGTAAATTTCATCAGGATAAGCTGATTATCACACTTCTTTTACTGGTGGATGCGTTTCTTGTTCAGAAGCAATTCTGTATGAAATACCATAATGTTAAATAGGTCATTCTGTTAGTCAACAGATGATAGCTTTTCTAAAAGCATTACACACAGAGAAGAAAAATCTATATCCAGAGTAAGTGTCTATTCCAGAAAGAACAAAACACTGCCCCCCTCCTTTTTTTTTTTTTTTGTTTTTGATGGAAGTGGTTAAATGTAATCAACTTGCTACCAGGTAGCTGGCTGATTGTCCTGAGGAATGCTTCCATATGGGGGCCTCAGGCTCAGTGTTAGTCTCTCTTGTTAGCAGATTGGCTTGGTTACTGGGACTTTATGTTGCTGATCTCATGCATAAACTTCATCCCTGCCAGTATGGCCATTTTGTTAATGAGCCCATTGGGAGATAACAGCAGTGGCTGAGGAAAGAGACTCATATTCACAGGATGGATCAGCCTATCCGTTTGATCATTGAAATCTTACACTGCTAAAGAAGCATTCCTTGGTGAGCATTCACATGGGATGCAAATATCATCATGGGTTTTTATTTTTTTTTTAGTTTCTGTGTGTGTGTTTGTGTGTGTGTGTGTGTGTGTTTGTGTGTGTGTGTGTGTGTTTGTGTGTGTGTGTGTATTTGTGTTTTCCAGCGAGGTCTACTCACAAACCTCTTTCTTAAATTTCTTTGTCACTCATTTTCCAATCACGTTTTCTCCAAATTCCGAACCATCCAGCCAACCATTTTTCACAACCTGTGAATCATTATATAATCAGTTGAACATCTGGCCTTTTTCCCTTCCAAGCGAAGTTAACAACTAGGTGCACTGCTCAAAATTTTGACCACTGGTAGTGTTTTTCTTTACTAATATCCTTCATGTATGCTCTAGAGAGGAATTGTAGTGCTGCCACTGTCCACTTTTGAGTGCTGCCTGCATATCATTCAGAAATCTCTGTAAACCAGTCCTGAGTTTCCTTTTCCTCCATTAGCTGATTGTAGGGACCTCTCCATGAGGCCATAGGTAGAAGCTGGGATAGAGAATGCAGTATAACAGGAGGGGGAACTGTGGGTATTTGGACAATTTCTTTATTTAAATTACTTGTGTATTCAGTACCTGTGTGGGTCAGATCATGTATATACCACTTACATTTGATGATGAAGTGTTATTGTGCATACCCAACTTTATGGCTTAGTGGATCAGGTAATTGTTAGCTTATAATAAAGAGATCAAGTCACATGGTAACTTTAACTTAGTGGCCCACAGTTAAATGTTTGTTCTCTGTAAGACCCAGTAGCAAGCCAAGAGCTGTCACTCAAAAGGACAGCAGTTTTCTGCAGAAGATCCCATACTTTGCTCCAGCATTCTAATGTTTACTGCTTTGATTTTTCTCTCCATTATGGTAACTATGCCAATCTTTCCTTTAGCAGTTAAGTATCACCCCTTGGCCCTTGTCATCCTGGGATCCAATTATTCCCATTGCATTTTGGTTTCCCAGCAGGAATGACTGACATTACTACTGTGAGGTTTGGCCTATGAAAATGAGTGATCACAGAGCTCTTCATTGATGCCAGGACTCTCCTCACAAATTTATTCCTCACAATCTTCTGGACTCCCTGTGTGGATGAGTACTTCTGAAATAACAAATGACAAATTCACTGTAACAGTCCAATCCCCCTAACTCACTAAATCTCTTTCTGCACATGAATCCAAGGCATGTCTGTCATTTCTGGCTCACTCATCACGGTCCATCTTTTGGTCCACGTTTCAGGCAACCAACCCACCAAATGATTACAGCTCTTTCTAAGGCCTCAAGCTGCAACGTTAAATTCAGAAGCTCTTCTTATTGAGCCTATGTCAATAAATACAGCCTGCTCCAACTTTATTGTTCCTTTCACCATTATCTCACATCCTCAGTTGCTTTGTCATGCATGTTTTCCAGATTTCTTTCTGTATACATTAGCAAACTCAAGTAGTTCTTTTGGAGTGTGACACATCTCCTCATGGATCATAATTATACCTCACTTTTAAAGGCCTGCTGGATCGTGAGACTAGTTACAGATCTAGAAGAAAAGAGGGGTGGTGATGGTGGGTCCTGAGAATAATCAACATTGTTTTACATGGCACCTTAATCAGTGGAGGCCATTACAGTTTCGTCATGCGATGCAGTGTTAATCCCCTCAGATGGATGTGGAAAGGCTGATACCACTGTGAGTGGAGAAGCAGATATCTCTGGGAGTAGGGATGCCACTGCCCCTGAAATATGGAGAACACTTATGCTGAATGTGGGGAGATCTCTTACACTGCTGAAGAAAACTTACAAGAATTGAGGGGCTCAATAGCTCCAGCTTCATCAGGATCTTTCCACACTTCCCCATTCCAGTTTACTTCACCCCATGCTTTCCCAATAAATGCTCTTACCTTAACAGTGGCACCCTGAGGCTGAGATTTAAACTTGCATTTTAATTCAGCCAGTTTCAGGATGAGATTGGTTATTTGGTTTTCGGTAATTTTCACACTGCTGCTACAGGAGATAAGGGTATCCTCTCTTTTAGAGAAAAATAGAAGAAATTAGGGCATGTATGCAGTGCTTGACCTGGAAATTCAAATCCCTAAGCTAATCTTTTTCTTTTTAAAATTTTATTTTTAAGGGATAAATAATTGTGTTTATGGGGTACACTGTGATGTTTAATATATGTTTACATTGTGAAATCATTAACTCAACCTACTTAACAAATCCATCACCTCATATACTTATTATTTTGTGTATCTTTTCCGTACTTTTTCCAGCAACATTAAAAGCTACCAACGTATGCCTTTATATTTATTAATTTGCCTACATGTTTGAAGTATCATATACAGAGTCACTTAACTACTTGCTTCTTATAAGTGATTGATAGGGAGTATCCAATGCAGATATTTTGCATAACTCTATAAACAGTTCACACCACAAATTATTAATACTGTCTTTATTAATAGAAATAGAGTCATTAGCATCCTCAAACCTAATCAGATTAGAGATTTAATTCAAGAAACCCCTTAAAAAATCTAGAAAACTCATTCTTAAAATTCTATTCCTCTAGAAACACTTTCTGTAACAAAATCTATATTAGGTTTTCTGGAGGAGCGGAACAAATAGGATGGATAGATGCGTATAAGATATTATTTATTATGGAAATTGGATTATGAAGGTCAAGACTTCCTTGATATGATGTCTGCAAAGTGGAGAACCAGGAGAGCCAGTGATGTAATTCAGTGTGAGTCCAAAAACCTGGGAATTCATGAAACCAAAGATGTAAATCCCAGTCTGAGAGCAGGACAAGATGAGATGAAATGTCTTAGTTCAAGCAGAGAGTCAGAAAAAAATGGAGTCGATTTCTCCTTCCTTAGCCTTTTGTTCTATTAAGGTCCTAAATAGAACCTAAAGGGATTTGGTGCTGTTCACCCACATTAGAGAGGTGAAACTACTTTACTGAGTCCACTAATTCAAACGTTAATCTCATCTGGAAACATCCTCACAGATACACACAGAAATAATCTTCACTCTAGGCACAGCACACTGTGACCTGTCAAGTTGATACTGTCAACTGATGAATCAAGAGGTTCGTAAATTTGGAAAGGAGAGCTTTACTTCTCATAAAGTGTTGCAGCCTGCAGGGTGGCCATTCTGACAGCCTGGGAAGTGTAGCCTCAGTCCAGAAACCAGAAAAAGGCCTTTCAAGGGAGGGGCAAAGAAGGGAACAGGAATTTATGCTGAGTGAGGTGGCTGAAGATACATATTTAATAAGCTATAGGAGGAGTCATGAATATGTATAAAAGGAGAAACACGAGTGTTAACATTTAAGCTTCATGGGTCACATGTTCAAAAAATGGTGTTGTCTGAATTATTTGAGGGTGGAAATTTCAGCACTCTGATGACAAATGGTGAAGGAGAGGACATGAAAACCTTCGCTTCACATCCTTCCAGAGTTCGACAGAAACTTTCTGGAGATGATTCTCAGTTCTTAGGAAGGGATGCATTGGAAACTGATAAGAGGGAGGGAGGGTGAAGTTGTGGCCTCATATGTTTAGCTGAAGGTGATAAAGGAATGAGTTGTTTATTTCTCGTTTGCTAGTGTTGGTTTCTGCTTACTCCTGAGGAAAGAATTCTAGTTAAAAGTTAATAAGGAAGGGGCATACCAAGGCATGTCTAACCTCTTGTCCAGCCATGGCCAGGAATTCAAGAATCAGGAGGTTTCTTTGCAGTCTCCTTGGCAAGAGGGTGTCCATTCAGTCAGTGCGAGGGCTAAGGATTTAATCTTTTCTCAACGCTTAAAATTAACAGTGGCAACAGCCTATGTTTTTTCCCATAGAATTGCTTATTTTTACCTTTTGCAATTAGAATATCAAAATAAATTTACATTAAACTTACAGTATGTTTATTTGTTCTTTCAATAGGTGAATTTGCCCATCAACATTTGTTTCTGACAATCAGAAATCCATTTGAAATATTCAGCATGCAAAAACTATATATTAAATATTTTCTATGGTAATTGACAAATTTCCTCTTTTATTTTAAATCATGCTTTAAAAATTCAATTGTATAATATTGGAAATCATAGAAGTTTAAAGCTACTACTAGTAACCATCATTCAAATACAAATAACATAATAATAAAACCAACTGCTAAATAATAAAAAATAACCCTATATTATATATGACAATGCATAAATGTCAGAACGGAGATTCAAATTCATGTTTGTTTGACTTTAAATTCTGGTTACTCTTCCCTTTATATTGAAGCTTACTGAAATGAAGTCTGACGAGTTTCAGAAATTTTCAGAAGTAATGCATTAATGTTGATGGTTTCTTAAATGTGATCTAAAGCATTAAATTAACCCTACAAATTTATCAAAAATATTAAGTAATGATACAGTGAAAAATCTTCCAGTGCCATCACAGAGTTAAATAATACAAATATAAAGGGCACAAATCAACCAACTACTTTCCCCTTGCTTAATTTAAGCCATCAGTGAGGTGTGGTTAACAAAGGTAATACAATCTTAGGATGCATAATAGAAGTTAATTGCCTAGATAATGGAAAATAATATCCTCATTGGACTGTGTTGGTCAGGACACACATAGAATAATGAAATCAATTTTGTGTTCTCTAGGACTTTACTTGGACCCATATTATGACAACTAACAGCTTGGCTTATAGGTAGTTTTTATGTATCTTTCTTCTACCATAGACTGTGAATTACATGCATGCAAGGATCATGACTTATCTAATGTGATATCATTTGCACTTAGCAGAAAATGTGGCCATTAGTATCTGCTTAGTAAAGCATTACATTCATTAAGTCACCCGTCTTATCTCCTTGGACTCTTGCCATAATATTATAACTAGTTTATTTGCCTCCTTCTTCTCTTCACTGAGTTCCATTCTCTACATAATTGCTCAAGCAATAAAGTAACCTCTCCAAGGTCAAAGGACTAGTAAGTGACAGACATTAGATTTAACTTAGGTAGACTAACTTGAGAGCTTTTAAAATGTTCAAAATCTGATTCATTAATAAAATCTTCTCTCAAACATAAAAAGTCACAAAACAAATAAACAAAAGAGTATTTGAAGAGTGTTTTGATTGAAATGTTTGTCCCCTCCAAAACTCATGTTGAAACTTAATTCCCAATGTGGCAGTATTGAGATGCAGGGCCTTTAAGAGGTAATTGACTCATAAGGGACTACGAGATTAATCAATTAATGGGTTAATGAATTAATGGATTATCATGGGGATGGGACTAGTGGCTTTGTAATAATAATAAAAGAGACATAAGCTGACATGCTCAGCATGTGATGTCCTGTGCAGCCTTGGGATTCTGCATAGTCCCCCCACTAAGAATGTTCTCACTAAATGTGGCCCCTTGACCTCGGATTTCTGAGCCTCCATGACTGTAAGAAATAAATTTATTTTCTGCATAAGTGACCCAGTTTCAGATATTTTGTTAGAAGCAATAAAACAACAGACTAGACAGAGAGGAATTAATTTTTCTTGCTTAGTGGCATTCTCCACAAATTAATGTGTAATGAGTTGAACGTTTTAAGAGAGACTTTGACAAATAGAAATAAGGAAGTGAAGAAGTAACCAGGAACATGACCTGGCTGAAGAAAGTTCTATAAAAGGAAACCTGAAAGAATGAGAAAGGTTTATCTTAACAAAACCTTGTTTAAGGATATATATATTTACCATCTTTAGAGTATTAACACCTATCATGAGATTAAAAAAAGTATTCTGTACTTTTACAGGTTTTCTCTGTCATAAAATAGGTACTTAATAACTACTTGATTGCTTAATTAAGTAACGACCAATTGATAAGGCAACACAGAAGTCAAGAATAATGTAATAAAACAAAGTTCTTTAAAATTATCGGATCATTCCAACAATGCAGGCTATGAAACAAACCACAAGAACTGAATGGAGATACTGATTGTCTACAAGTAGAAAAAGTTAGACTATTTGCCTATCTTGTTTAGCAAAATGAACACCAGTCTGGGACAAAAATGTAACAATTTAAGCCTTTTCGTTAAAAGTAAATATACTGCTATTCTAAAAAGTGTCTATAAGCCCATATGGTTGTTATTCACAATTGTAGGCATTGTACATTATGTAATTTATAACAATGCTCCAAGTTAAGCTGTCACCATCTCGTCACTAGTGAACGTTTTACAAGGTTGCATATCTTACCTATAGTTTGCAAATTACGTAAGATCTTTGTAGATTTAAATTTATATAAAAATTAACTGTACAAAATTTATGCTTTACTGACTGTAATGCTTATTGTCTTAATATAATTTTTATAGTAGAGAGAAAAGACAACAGATTATCATTATCATCATAATTATCATCAAACTTTCTTTAGCATTATGTTTTGTAGAGTAACTTGTCATAAAAAGCAGGTAACTACTCATGAGTTTTTGTTCTTGTTTTTGTCCTTTGTTATGGCTTTTGACAAGGAACTCATAATGCTCTATGAGTCTAAATTCCCTCATAAATAATGTGAAAAATACCTAACTTGCGTATTTTTTGGAGAATTAAAAATATTAAATATAAATCAACCAGCAAAGCAGATAACATATGGTGTAAATATATAATACCTATTGTTTGTATTATGGCACAGAAAAATATCAAGTATTTATAATGGAATGGAAAAACATAAAGCAAATGCTACAATTCTAATTTTTATAAACCGAGTTTCAGCATTATACGTGAAAACCATAAGATCATAAAAACAATAAGTTGCAATGGGGACAGGCATATCAAAAATATCAGAAAAGACCTTCAACATTTGCTCCTCCATAAAAGCAATGAAGAAAAGGCAGAAATTGTCAAAAACAACTTTTTTTTCAGAATTCTGGAAATTAACTAAAGGCTTGCAATAATCTTATGAACGTTTATTAAAATGAAGGGCTAAATCTTAAAAAAAAACAACAATGAGCTTTGTGGTGCTTTAACCTTCCCCATTTTCATTCTTATATCCTCAGCTCTATTGGAGCATTTAAAATAAGCTTTCTTGGAAATAATATATCTGGGAAAATCAGTAGCATTGCACTGAAGGTTAGATTAGTTTTGGAGATCTCTAATAGGTCTATTTTCCCAAATTGACCATATTTTCCTATTTGACAGCTCGTTGAAAAAACTGTATTCATAGGGAGGGCTTCTCTTAATTTGACTTGAGTTAGAGCTAAGTTGGTGAGGAAAGATTTATTCCCAAGGTATTCATTGAAAACAACTAGCAAAAATTGTTTAACATTACAGCTAGCTGAGGTAGCAATACCAGCTGGGGCAAACAAAAGGCTGCACAAAAATATTAAAGGAAAATCTAGGGAATAAAATGCCCATGGGAGCTTTGAAAAACTCCAATATATCTTTGGGGATATAGAAGGACATGCGCATATGTAGAGATCTTCACATGTTTAGTAAAGGTCTGAAAGCATATTAATCTCTCACTTCTGGCTAAACTCAATGCTAAGTGAAGCTAAAAGGTGGAGGCTCATAAAAAGTTATAAAGTTCTCAGTATTAAAGACATGACCCAACGAATACATTTTTGTGTCATTCAACAAAGACTAGGAGAACTATAGTTCAAAGCAACTAAGAAAATATATGTGTAATCATTAAGTGAACACTAAGTTAAACAAGTAAACAGACAAGTATACATACATAACAGATAATATACAGGCTTACCAGAATTAGCCCAGGAATAAGCCAACATCATCAGCAGCAACAACAATTAAAGAAAAACAAAACAGTAAACAACAAATTCTGGGGGGAGTAGTGAATTTTATTTCCAGAGTTGCAATGGTATATTGTTATAAACGTTCAATTTTCACAATAAGTATTTAAAACACGGAAAGAAAAATGAAAGAATGGCCCATAAGCAAGGGGAGGAAAGCAGTTAATAGAACCTCTACTTAGAAAGCTCAGACATAGACTTATAGACAAAACTTTACATGGGCTATTATAAATATATTCAGAGAAGTAATGAATGCTATGTCTAAAGAAAAAAAGGAAGTAACCAACAATGTATTACTAAATAGAGAACGTCAATAAAGTGGTAGATTATAAATAACTAATAAGAAGGAAAGTAACAGAAATAAAATTTCCTAGAGGAGACAGCCTGGGAAAATGGCACAGAGAAGGCAGGACTAACTTGCAGCTCCCACTTGGACTGACAGAGCGGTATGTGGAGACACATCATGAACTTTTGCTCCAAGAACTGCCACAGAAACGTACCAGGAAAGCCAAGAGATCCACAGACCTTTGAAGGAGGCAGACTGCCACTGCAGGCTTTGTGGGACAGCAGAGGCACTGTGAGTTGGCTGGCTTTCTCAGCTGTGAGCCTTGTAGCCTGGGGCAAGTTCTCAGCCCTGCTCACCCACTGCCTGGAAATAAACTCCGTGCTTTGGTGGGGAACACAGTGGAAATGAGACTTACAAATTGAAGAAAACTAAGGAACATGGAATTTAAATGTAATGTAGATTATGGATTTTATCCACAGACATATAAAGACAGTAATATAAAAACAGTTCAGATTCAAATAAAGTTTAGCTAGTAGTATTGTTTCAAAGTTAATTTTTAGTTTGATAATTGTACTACGGTTATATAAAATTTTGCATTTAGTGGAAGTTGAACAAAAATATACAGGAACTCACTGTACTATTTTTTGCAACTCTAGTCTATGTTTAAAATTACTGCAAAATATAACGTTTTAAAAAATTTATTAGAGGAGCTCAATGGCAGATTTAAGAAATAAGAATAAACAACTGTTGACCTCGAAGATCAGCCAGTTGATATGTTCCTGTTTTATTTGCGGAAAAAAAAATAAAAGAAAGAGGAAAATTAAATAGAGCCTCAGAGACTTATGGGACACCAGGAATCACGTCAGCCTGTGCATAGTGGGGGTCCCAGAAAGAGAGGAGAAAAAGAATATGGAAGAAATGATATTTTAAGAAATAATGACCAAAAGCTTTCCAAGTTTGATAAAGAACATTAACCTATGCTTCCAAGAAGTACAACACACTTCAAGTAGGATAAATTCAAAGATCTACACAGCAAGGTATATTATAGTAAAACTATGAAAAACCAAAGAGAGAGAACATTGAAAGTAGCAAGATAGAAATAATTCATTACATTACAAGGGATCTTCAATAATAACAACAGCTGATATTTTTTTAATTTCAACTTTTATTTTAGACTAAGGGGTACATATGATGCTGGTTTGTTACATGGGGATATTGTGTGATGCCGAGATTTGAGGTATTATAGATTCTGTCACCAAGGTTATGAGCATGACACCCAGCAGTTTTCCAACCTTTTCCCCACTCTCTCCCTGTCTCCTCTAGTAGTCCCCAGTGTCTATTTTGCCATCTTTATGTTCATAAGTACTCAGTGTTTAGCTGCCATTTATAAGTGATAATGTGTGGTATTGGGGTTTCTGCTCCTGTATTAATTTGCTTAGGATAGTGGCTTCTGGTTGCATCCATGTTGCTGCAAAAGGCATGATTTTATTCTTTTTAATGGTGGCATAGTATTTCATGGTGTACATGTACCACACTTTCTTTATCTATTCCACCATTAATGTGCACCTAGGTTGATTCCATGTGTTCGCTACTGTGAATAATTCTGCTGACTTCTAATTAGAAATTATGGAGGCCAGAAGACAGTGGATACCACATTCAAAGTGCTGAAAGGAAGATACTGTCAACTAGGAATGATAGATTTGTAAAATTATTCCTTAAAATTGAAAGGAATATTACAACATTTTAACATAATTAAAAAACAAAGATTTAAATGCTAGCCTTGCCTAATAAAGTAAAATAGTAACAAAAATCTTTTGGGCTTAAATGAGAGTGCATTAGACAGTAAATTGCATCCACATGAAGAAATAAACATAATTACGTAAGTAAATGTAAAAGACAATAAAACGTATTTCTGTTTATAACTCTTTTATATCTTACTTTCTTAAAAACACTGGCATAAATTAAATGATAAAACTGTTAAGATGTTTATAATATTTAAAGTTATAATTTGTATGACAGTAGAGGCACAAATGAGAAAGAAGTAAAGAGAGTTACATTAAAGCAATTGGTCTGCAGACTATGGAAATTATGTTGGTATTAGTCCAAAAAATGTGGCAATGAGGGAATCCCAGAAAGAGAGGAGAAAGACAAAAAAGACATCAATATATTAAAAACTAAGAGCAAAATGTTATACATCAGTCCTACATAATCAGTAATTATATTAACTATAAATGATTTAAACATTATTTCAAAAGGTAATGGCTGGCAGAACGCATTAGAAAGACATGATTCAATCATATTCTGTGGAAAAACACATACTTTATATTTAAATGATCAAATAATTTAAAAGTGAAAGGATGGATACAGGGATTCCATGCAGATGGCAATCAAAAAAGACCAAGAGTGGTTATACAAATATCAAACTAAATAGATTGTATATTTAAAAAGAAGTTGCTAGAGGTAAAGAAGACATTTTAAATGCTGAAAGAGCCAAAACACCAGAAAGACATGACAATTATAATATATGTGTATCTAACAACTGACTAAAAGGAGAAATAGACAATTCAACAATAAGTAGTTGGAGACTTTGTATCCTATGTGCATAATTGGTAGAATTAAAAGACAGAAGTTTGAGAAAGAAATAGGAAACTTAAACAACCCAACAAACCAACTAGACCTAATAGACATCTATAGAACGTTGTATTTAACAACAATAAAATACATATTTTTAATTGTACAAGGTACATTTTCCATGATAGAACATATATTTGACATAATATAAACTTTAATAAATTTAAAATCATACAATGAATGTTCTCTGGCAACAACAGAATGAAATTAGAAACCAATAACAAAAATTAAGAAAATTAAATATAAGGAAATTAACATATTCAACTAAAATATGTGGCAGAAAAAAATATTACAAAAGAAATTACTTCTAATTTCCTTTTCTAACTTTAATTTCTTTGAGAAAAAAGTAAAGAAAAGCCTAACATACCAAAATTTATAGGATGCAGTCAAAAGTGTGCATAAAAGAAAATCGATAACTCTAATTGTCTATATTAAAATGGTCTTATTTTAATAGATATGTTTGGATTTGTGTCCTTGCCCAAATCTCATGTCAAATTGGAATCCCCAGTGTTGAAGGTGAAACCTGGCAGGAGGTGACTGGATCAGGGGTCAGATTTTCCTCTTACTGCTCTCATAAAAGTGAATGAGCTATTGTGAGATCTGGTTGTTTAAAAGTGTGTGGCACTGCCCCCACCCCATCCTCCTGCTCCAGCCATGTAAGATGTGCCTCCTTCCTCTTTGCCTTCTTCCATGATTACAAGTTTCCTGAGGCCTCCCCAGTTATGCTTCCTGTACAGCCTGCAGATCCATGAGCCAATTAAACTTCTTTTCTTTATAAATTACCCAGTCTCAGGTAGTTCTTTAGAGCAATGTGAGAACGGACTAATACAGAAAATTGGTACCTAGGTGATATTATTTGGCTGTGTCCCCACCCAAATCTCATCTTGAATTCTCACGTGTTGTGAGAGGGACCAAGTGGGAAGTAATTGAATCATAAGGGCAGGTCTTTCCTGTGCTGTTCTAGTGATAGTGAGTAAGTCTCATGAGATCTGATGGTTATTATAAGGGGGAGTTTTCCTGCACAAGCTCTCTTTTCTTGCTGGCATCCATATAAGATGTGACTTGCTCCTCCTTGCTTCCCATCATGATTGTGAGGCTTCCTCAGCCACATGACTGTAAGTTCAATTAAACCTGTTTCTTTTGTAAGTTGCCCAGTCTTGGGTATGTCTTTATCAGCAGCATGAAAACAGACTAATATACTAGGAGTGGGGCATTGCTATAAAGATACCTGAAAATGTGGAAGGGACTTGGGAACTAGGTAATGGGAAGAGGTTAGTACAGCGTGGAAGGCTCAAAAGAAGACAAGAAGATGAGGGAAAGTTTGGACTTCCTATAGAATTGTTAAGTTGTTGTGACCAAAATGCCTCATAAGGAGAAACTACCATCCCCACACCAGACTCTGTGCACAGCCAGGAGATCACAGTCTCTAAAGGTTGCTGATCCAGCTGCAGCTGTGGCTAAAAGAGCCCCAGATACATCTCAGGCCACTGCACCAGAGGGTGCAAAGTATACACATTGACGGCTTGATGTGGTGTTAAGCCTGTGGGTACACAGAAAGCAAGAGTTGAGGCTTGGGAGCCTCCCCCTAGATTTCAGAGAATGTATGGGAATGCTTGCATGTCCAGGCATCCAGGCAGAAGCCTGCTGCAGAGGAAGAGCCCTCATGCAGAACCTCTGCTAGGATAGTTCAGAGGGGAAATGTGGAGTTGGAGCCCCCACACAGAGTCCCCACTGGGGCACTGCCTTGTGAAGTTGTGAGGAGAGGACGGCTGTTCTCCAGATCCCATGATGGTAGATCCACCAACAGCTTGCACCATGCACCTAGAAAATCTGTAGGCATTCAACGCCAGCCTCTGAAAGCAGCCGAGGGGGCTGTATTCTGCAGAGCCACAGGGACAGAGATGCGCAAAGTCTTGGGAGTTCACCCCTTGCATCGGTGTGGCCTGGATGTGAAACATAGTGTCATAAGAGACTATTTTGGAGCTTTAATATTTAATGACTGCCCTGCCTGGTTGCAGACTTGCATAGGTCCTGTAATCCCTGTGCCTTGGCTGATAGCTCCTTTTTGGAATGGATGTATTTACCCAATGCCTGTACCCCCATTGTATCTTAGAAGTAACTAACTTGTTTTTCATTTTATAGTCTCATAGGTGGAAGGGACTTGCTTTGTCTCAGATGAGACTTTGGACCATGGACTTTTGAATTAATGCTGAAATGAGTTAAGACTTGGGGGACTATTGAGAAGGGATAATTATATTTTGCAATGTGAGAAGGACATGAGATTTTTAAGGGAGCAGGGCTGGAATGATATGGTTTGGTTCTGTGTCACTGCCCAAATATCATGTCAAATTGAAATCCCAGGTGTTGGAGGAGAGGCCTGGTGGGAGGTGATTGGATCATGGGGGCAGATTTCCCCTTTGCTGTTCTTGTGACAGTCAGTAAGAACTCATGAGCTCCGGTTTGGCACATACCACCTCTCACTCTTCCTCCTGCTCTGGCCATGTAAAATGTGCCTCCTTTTTTGCCTTCTCTCATAATTGTAAGTTTCCTGAGGCCTCCCCAGGCATGCTACTTGAAAAGCCTGAAGAACTGTTAGTCAATTAAACCCGTTTTCTTATGAATTATCCAGTCTTAGGTAATTCTTTATAGCAATGTGGGAACAAAGTAATATGCCAATATTCTAATCTTCTACCATAAAACTTGGAAAAAAGCAAACTAAAAACAAAATAAGCAGAAGAAATAAATTTATATATTACATAAACTTTATAATGTAATTAAAGCTACTATAAGTAATATCTATTTGGGGAAATAAATAAAATAGAATAAAATAACGAATGAGTTGGTTCTTTGCAAATATTGGAAAATGTTTAGCCACACCAGGCAAAAAAGAAGAAAATATAGTAATAAAATCAGAAATAAAAGAATATACATCACTAATGACCTCACATAAATAGAGTGTATTATAATGGAATACTATGAGAAATTCTACACCTACAAATGAGGTAATCCAAATGAAAAATTTTTTTGCAATGAAACATTATTTGGTCACCAAAGGAAGTACTGATAAATGCCACAGAGTGGATGAACCTTTAAAGCCTATGCTAAATGAAAGAAGCCAGTCAAAACATTACATATTGTAATATGTAGCTATTGTAATGTTATAATATGTAATTTTTAAAAATGTAATATATATGTATATATATATATGAAACAAATATAAGAACATTACTATAAAAGGTCTCAAATTAGCAAATCTGTATAGACAGTAGCATTTGTCAGGAGACGAGAGGAGTGGAAAATGAAGAGTGATTAATAACAGGTATCTGGATTTATTTAAGGCTAAGGAAATATTCTAAAATTAGTTAGTGGTAGTGATTGCCCAACTCTGAATATAATAAAGACCAATGAGTTTACATTTTAAAAGGGTAAAGTTTTGGGCATATGTGTCACATCTCAAAAATTGTTATAAATATTATAGGTAGCAGAAATAAGATTTAAATGTAGATCTCATTACAGTTTCATTCCAGTGTGCTTACCATAGTAAGTAAATATTACCCACATTCAAACTTATACTAAGAAAATAACTTTACACTTTTCTGTATTCATTTAATCTTAGTACTTTCCAGACTCCAGAGATATCCACATATATCATCTTATTTTGATTCTTCCCAAATCCAGTTGTGAAATTGGATTATATGATCTCTGTTACTGTCCCTGTGTAATAGTGGAGAAACCTTGGAATCAAAGATGATAATAGATATAACCAAATTCACAAATTTAAAAACTGGCAGAGTTTGTCAATAGTTTTTTGGTGCTCTGAGCCTTATTCACTTGGCTCATCTGTACTTTTGCAGTTCTGGTTAACAGGATTTACATATAGAAGTAGTGTCCCTTCTCAAGCACCTTCCATGTTTTATCTTTCAGCTTTTATGCCCAGGGATTTTGTCAGAATCTCTTTTCAGCCTCTGCAAATTAGCAATGGGAATTCAAACGCTAGGACATCCTCACCTGAAAGACATGGAAGTCATGGATAATTGCCTTGGGTGCTCATCCTTCAGAAGAAGGATTCTAAGACACAGTTTTATCAGAGCATGTTGGAAGAGACCCAGTTGCCCCAGCAGTAACACTTTTAATAATTAAGTTGCATTTTATTTTCTTCGTTGCATTTTTCATTCTTCCTGTTCCATCATATGCACCTTACTTCTTCAGAACAAACTCCAGAATGAGCTTACGCATTCCAGTTGTTTTCTCAGGTTCTACGTTTCTACAAAACACAAACTAAGGCAGATATAAATATGAGTAATTGGGAAATCTGTCACAATCAAGCAGTCTCCTCAAAATACTTTGTTGGCAACATGGTAAGAACATATATTTCTAACTTGCATTTACCTCCATTTTTTTCCAATACTTATTTTACTTTCAGTTTCTGTGGATCTAAATTATTGCTTCATATATCTTCATATATACCATGTTAGAAGTGGCTGAAAACTGAGATATCTTATCATGTTTCCCTCACTAGCCCTGCCTATTAAAAATATGCACTGAAGACAGAACTGTCAATGCCCTTTAAATTATGTCATATATACATTTCTTTACTAATCTATAAGTTGGAGAGGGCATCTCCTAATGATGAAGCCCATCTGGGTGTCTGTATTAACTATAAAAAGAAAATAGAAGAGAAAAAAACACATTTTGTTCTGAGAAAACTTTGTTTTGGGAACTCATATATTTTGAAAATGATGCATTTATACTCAAGGTAAGTCAAGCTAACTCTATAATAATTACCTGTTTTGACTTTAGAAATTGAGTGCATTATGAACACTTTCATTGTAAGGTGAATACAAGAGTACCCAGAGGCCTTTTTAATGGAGCTACAATTAGATGAAACTATATTATTCTTTACCATGCTGTGTTTCCCATTAGTTGGTGACCAAAAGAAAAATTCCAAAAAAGATCAGTAGGATGCAAGATTGATTACAGACTGATTCAGTAGTGTAATCACTAGCTAGTGCAATCTCAGCATGAATGGAGTCCCCGGAGAGTCAGTTGCTATGTGATAGCACTAGAGAGGGGAGAAATCAAATGACTTCTAGAACGTAGATTGGTTTAGGTTGCATTACACAGGAAAGGATTATATCTCATACTGTCATCCATCCTGGCATCTGAGAACAGTGCATCTAAAACATCTAATTTCCACAGAAGGTATACATCAACTTTGCTACATAGCCTGATTCAGCAACTCCTGAGAAGAAAGGGAAACTGTACCGCTTCTATGTGAAAACAGCTGCAATTAATTATAGCATGCTTTTGGTGCTTCTTGCCAAGGACATAAAACTAATTTTTCATTATTATTCAATTTATATCTATTATGTTTATCGTTTTCTCTTAACATTATAAATCTAAAACAGAGTTTCCTGTCTACAGCAGCCATTGCAGTAACTATTGAAGGGCATTGGGAATAATAGAAGAAATAATGAAAAGGGATACTTAAGGCTTAGGATCTAGTTCTAGTTCTGTCAAAATCTGGCTGTGTGAAAGTAAATGATTTAAATTAGCTGTGCCTCGATAAGCTCATCTAAAAATGTAATAATCATAATTGAAATTCCTAAAAAAAGAGCTCTGAATTTTGTAGTTTTTGAATTTTACTTCAAATTTTATCTAGAGCTATGATTCTTCAAACTATTACAAACACGTAAGTTTCTAATGGAATGTAGGTACTTTTCAGCACTGCTGAGACAAAGTAACTGTACTTGAATAATTTATATTTGTATCTTAAATCTCTTTTGTCTATTGATTAAAATAACTTGAATAGTTTAGTATAAGGAACAGGGTAGTAAATACTTTCCAAAATAATCATATCATTGGTACATCAAATCAAAGCATTTCATTGGAACATCAAATCAAATCTGTGTTGGTCAATATTAGTCAAAAATGAAGTAAAGTATATATCTAGCCCTTTCATTTGACAAGATCCAGAGGAAAATACTGTTCATAAAAAATCCTAGTATTTCTTAATTATCCTGGGCATTATCTCAGATTCAGAAGAGAACCCAGAAGGTGGCTAGTATGAGCATATTGATGGTGCATTGCAAGGTCTTTCTTGGATACACAGAAAACAAATTGAACCTGGCAAATTGTCTAGCAGGGGAGATGGTTTCAGCCTAACTAAAAAAGGCTGTTTATAGCAACTAGCAAATGGCAATCAGTGTTTTTCTAGATCTCCCATTGAATTGCTGCCTCTAAGGAGGAATTACAATAGTTTACATATTTTTGTATCTAGGCTCCAAACTCATTGTAGTTCTGCTATATATCTCCAATGGCTGTTATTACAAATCTGAGTGTTTTATATTTTCCCAGCTCCTCTATTTCATTAATAAACCTACTCTGGGTCACTTGAAATTATTTTTATTTTTAATTAAAATTTTTATCACAATCAAATCTATAGTATTCAAGAGGATAAAAAGGGAGAAGTATGAGAAATTCAGTATCCATTAATTTGACAAATTAGGTACAACGGATAAATTCCTTGAGAAACACAGGGTTGTAAAACCAATTTCAGTACAATTAGATAAACCAAATAGTAATGTACTTATTACAAATGTTGAAATCATTCTTAAAATATCCAACAAGGGGATTTCCAGAATCCGTGGATTCAACTGGTGAATTTTCCCAAAGATTTAAAGAAGAAATGAAACCACTTCTTCAGAATGTCTTTCCGAACATAGAATAGGGACACTGTTTAACAAACTAAGAAGGTCAGCATTATTGTGAGGCTAAATATGGACAAAAATGTTACAAAAACAAAAAAAAATCAGAACAATTTTTATCAAGAACATAGCTACAAAAGTTCTCCACAAAATACTAGCAAATCAAATTTAACAATAGATCAGAGAAAAAATATATCACAACCAATTGATTTTTATCCTGATAATTCAAGGATGTTTCATTATTGAAGATCAATTAGTGTAACTAATCCTATTGAGTGGTCAAGAAAAAAAAACATGAGATATTTAAATAGATGCAGAAAAGCATTTGACAAAATTCAACATCTATTCATAAGGAAAATTAGTTGAGGGAACATTTATTACCTGATAAAGTATATCTACAAAATCCTACATCTAACATAATTTTAATGATGAAACTGAATATTTCCTCCTAAAATCAATAACAAAGAATGTATACTTTCATCACCTGTATTCATTATATTACTGGACGTCCTATTTAGTGCAATGAGGCAAGAGAAAGTAAGAAAGAAATATACAGAGTGGAAAGGAAAAAAAAAAACTTTTTATGGGTGACAACTATCTACATTACATTTCTTTCTAATTATGTGTAAAGTTTCAAAACTAGTAACTCAGTTCATCCAGGTCTTGAGATTCAGGATTAAAATGACAAAAATCAATTTGATTTTTATTCTATCAATACACAGCAATAAAATGACAGTTTTTCTTATAGCATCAATAAAAAATGAAATGTTTGAAATAAATCTAATATTTGTAAAATATTGGTAGCTAAAAATTACCGTACTGGAAAAAAAATTCAATGATAACACAAATAAATAGAGAAATATGCCATATTTATGAATTAGAAAACTCAAAATTATTAGAAATCAACTCTTACCAAATTAATTTAAAACACACAAAGTTGTACAACACTTTTTCACCACGACTGACTGTGCATAAAAATTCAAAATAGTTCTAAAGAAAAAACAAAATATAATTCACAGTTTTGGGATAATAAATATTTTATTATGCACTTACAGGTTCTGACTTTACATTTGTAAAATGTCGTAAAATATACTTTTTCCTGTTTTAATCATAACCAGAAGGTTCAGAAGAGTACTAGCTTATTTCCAGACTGTCTCTGCATCTGATGCAAATCTCTCCTTCATCTTAAAGCCGTCCAATAGTTGCTTCTTTCTGCTCAAAACACTAATACAGGCCTATTCTATTTTCTTCATCAGTATTTGTTTTATTCTAGGGTCATATTTTGATAGGAATATAGTTGAAAAATGTAAAAACTCAAGTTTTTTTTTTTCATTGAATGAGTGAGAACTTGGCAAAGATGGAACAGAGAAAGTTATAGCACTAACTTTTCATATCTGTATTCCCTGTCTTTTTGACTAGAATTGGAATTCTTGGGCAATGAAAATTGTGTGGTCATTCATTTTAAGCATGGTGCGTTGGAATTAGGACAAACTCAATATATATAATAGTATCTATTTTCTGTACCAGTTAGCTATTATTGTTTCTGATAATGTTGATATATAAATTATTTCAAGATTTTTTCATTGTTTTAACTTAACACATAAGAATGATACATATTTAAGGTGTACAGTGTGTTTTCTCAATATATGTATACATGAACCATATTCATCCAATTAGATTATGATAGTTATGACATTATATATAATGAGATCTTACATAGCAGAAATGATGCTAAGAAAATGCATTAATAAATCTGTCAAACCTAACATGGGTAAGGATTATGTTTATACACATTTTATAGAATACTTGATGGAGTGCCTTACCAAATAGTTGTTTATTTTTCTCATGTTCTGTAATAGATGTTTGGAAATAAGCATTTTAGTACTGGTGGGACAGAAATATGAAGATATGAAGGAACCAAGCTCTTTTGAATTTTCACTTGGACATTTGTAACATCTTAAAAATAAATTCTATCCTTATGGTCTTAAGATGGCTACTCTATCATCATTCACCAAATCTATTTTCTAGCCTGAATGAAATGACATAGCATAGAAAAACAATATGACCTATAATGAGGAGAATGAAACTTAACTTCTGCTTATAATGTATTGAAGGGATTATCCATGGTTGAAAAGGGAAACTATGAAGCTGATCATTGGGTCCATTCTATCTTATGCTGCATCAAGGGTTCTGATCATAATGAAGAAGAGAAGTATAATTTTTGGAGGAACAAATAGCAGAATTTTCCACAAATGTTTAATCAGCATCAATAATTTAAAGGCATGACTTTGTGGTGTTGGTTAACTATTACTTAATGATCAGCCAAAATAAGAGGTGTTTATTTTATATATTTTATTCTTTTAAAAAACTGAAGTAGCATAAGTAACTTGCATATTGGCATTTAAGTAGTAATTGGCAGAATTTAGATTTAAATCCAGTCTTCTGAATCTCAGTTCTCAGTTATTATGCTCAAAGTTCTATTTTATTTTATTTTATTTTGTTTTATTTTAGGCTTCTATTTTATTTTGTCACCTTATAATAAAAACTGAAAAAAATAGAGCTGAATTGTGAAGAAACTCTCTGGCTTTCGTTAACACAATTTTTTTTTCAGAACAGCACAAACTTTTAGAAATAAGCTTGACACTAATTTGATACAAATGTGGGACCTCAAATGATGCCTCTGTAGAATAGCCTCCCAAAGGCAACATGCAATCTTCATCCATTAGATTCAACTTCAGTGTTCTGCAAAAAATTTGTCCCTAAAGTAGATTCCAATAAACAAGACTGATTTAGTTAGCAAGGACAATGTAACACTGATGCTACCACCATCCTTCAAAACTATGCACAATTGCACATTATCGTTTTCCTGTACCTAGCTTTCAACATAAGTCTCAAGAGCCTGTATGTCAGCATAATGTGAGTACTGCATCACTAGTCTAGCTACAAATTTTCTTCACAGGAAAATAAATGGTGTTTATCTTTACTGTTATTTCTGACCCTTCTGGCTCAACCTCTGTATTGTATTTTATTATAAAGAAAACTCAGACCTTGAAAAGGGTTAGGTGTGTATTTGATAACAGCAAACTATGCTTGTGTTTCCTATTTCTCCCTAAACCATGATTTCAAGTCAACGAATTATATTCTTTTATGAGTACACAGTAAGCCAGTTATTATTTCTTGTGGTTTGCATAAATTTAGTTGGTAGTAATTACTTAAATTTCCTCAGTTCTTCATAGTACTATATGCAGAATTTTATTCTGTATTACAACCTTGTTTGTTTATTGGTAAATTTAACATCTCACTCTTATTTAAATTCTCCTTAGAGAGTGTAGTTCTGTGATTATATTCTCCTTAGAGAATTTAATTCTGTGATTTTTGTCAATAGTCCTAATAAATCAATTCTACATTTATTCTCTTTCACTGCTTTAATTCAGATATTTTAAATTGTATGTCTCTTTGCCTCCTGAATGTATGTAATGATTTAGAAGAAACAATGTAAATCTGGAGCTATGAAACCTGGGTTAATACTGCCCTGCCATTTAGTAGTCAAGTATCCTTACGACAAATAACTTAAGATTTTAGTATTATAATTCTTCCTTTGAAACATGGTGAGACTAATGTTAGTCCTATCTACTAACAAATCAAATGTGTGTAAAACCATATAGTGTTTAAAAACCTTGCTATGTATGCATTGTTTTAGAAGTTATATCTTTTATCTAATACTATCTAATATTTATTTAATACACCCTATGATCCAAGATCATTCCTGAAAATCATACGCCATTCTGAAAAAGAAAATTTTATGACTTTTTCAAGTAATATTTGCAGATATAGTTGATGGCGATGAGTTTTTGTTAACTATTATTTCAATTTAGGCAGCCTAGCACCTTAGAAAATTAATTTGTCTTTTATCGTCCTTCTTGAAAATTTTGTCAAATAAAATATATTGCAATCATATTAAATATAGTTACTGAGATTAAAAACTAATTCTTCTCCTTGAGGATCTTCTTGGAGGAGATGGAATAACCACAACAGTGAGGCAATTGACATAATGAAACGATAGAGAAAACACAATAGGAATAAAGGTGGGAGATGATTGATGATTAAGTTAACGCCAAGATAGTGTGAAATTTAAAAAATAAAGAAGCAACTATAATCAGAGTTGACTAAACAGAAAATTTCTTTTATCATGGCAATGAAGCTTATTTTGGATATCTTCTTAAGAAAATGGCAGTATGTTTTCACTTGATGGATTATTAGAAGTGATTACATTAATCACCCCTCAGAACTGTTTGGGATATTGTGTCCATGCCAAAGTTGAGGCATACAAAATAAATTGGTATGGTACATTTGGAGCAGTTACAAAGAAGGATCATAAGCATTACAAATTTAAAGATAAGCACTAAGACAAAGCATCAGAAGGTTAAGTATGGCCATATTGAAATATTTTTGAATATGTAGCTGGACTAAGTCCCTTTAATTAGTAGAAAACATCAAAGCACCTTAAAGCTTGATACATATTGAAATGGTTATTCTATGCATTGCTTTTCACAGTATTTGACTCCTTTTGTCTGATAGCTTAATTAAATAATATCTTCCTTTAAAAATTGTTGACATCCCTGTTTTCCTTCATACAAGAATTTGAGAACAATTGTTCTTCTCATATCTACTTTGAAAAATGGACCAAAGAGCTCCTAAGATAAAGTTAAATAAGCCCCTGGCAGGTTCGGAAAAACAGTTGGTAGTTTTAAAGCAGTGATGTTAGCACACATCTTTTGAGGATAAAACAGCGCTTCATAAATTATTCTTACAACTCCACAGAAAAAATAAACAAAATGAATCATATAGAATTCTGTAACATATGCAGACTTTGGCACTTTTACTGGAATTTAAATTTTATTATTCATTTGGTGATATAATCTTCCTAAAATAGAGTAAGTATTATGCACCTATACTCTTTAATGGACTTAGAATTTTTTTTCCTCTAGCATGAATTCCAAGCACTAAGCAAGGAATATAAAGAGCAGGGGTTTGTAACCTCCCTAATTTTTGATAGTTTTATTGTGTTATCATTCTATATTGCTTATATTTCTGAAACGCTGGCTGATGTATCACATTCAAATTAGTGTCCTCTTTTTGAAATGCCCTCACTTAATTGATCTCCCAGTTAAACTCCTGTTTATCACCTAAAACACTTACAAGGATGTTGTCTCCTGTCTTCATCCTTTCCTGGTATTCTTCAGATGAAATTAACCAGTCCTCCTCCTGGGTTACTCTTAAACTTTGTTCAGGCTTAAAAGCAAGAATTACTAAATATGTTTAGAGATCCTCAACACTTCAGTAATTGCCCCTCTATCATCCATGTCAGCGTTAATTCATCTTGTTACCGATCCTGAATACAGTAGATAAAATTCTAATGTTGCCCTCATTCATGCTCTGAGTGGTTTCACCTCTTGACTAACCTTTGTCACTTTCCCTATAACCACAAGCCTTTAGTAAATTCAGTGATGAGATTTACCTATACAATTTCCCAAGGAGCTGCGAATTTATCCAATTTTAACTGGATATTTTTTCTTTCATTCATTCTCTCTCTTTCTCTTTTCAAACACATACTCACTTATCCTTTTCCCTTATTGCCTTAATTTTACTTACTTCTCAAACTCCTATCTTACATTTTACTATTCATACGTTGGAAATACCAGAAAGATCAGACTAGGTTAGCTGTTTCAATTTCTTCATAGTTCATCTTTGGATTATGTAGCTCACCCTGGGATATCAGTAGGAGAAGACACAGAGTGGCTTTCAGTGGTAATTAAATGTTTTAGTCAAAGTGTAGCATTTTATTTTCTTTACATTTCATTAGTTAAATTAAGTCACCTGATCTCACCAATCTGTAAGGGGCTGGGGAGGGTAGACATTTATGTGCCTGGAAGAAAAGAACTGTATATCAGAGAGCACTGGTAGCATCTAACACATATGCTCTTTCTTATTTTGTTTGTAGGCTTTCATATCTGCCTTACTATTAAGTTTCTGATTATTATTTTACTTCATAATTATTATTCGGTCCTCATTTCCTTTACTAGCTCTTCAGTATTTGACATATTTAATTATCTTTTTATTAAGTGTTTTTTTCCTCTGCACACTTCCATTTTTCTGGCCAGCTCTTTTCTCTATGCTCCTTTTCAACTTCTTCACTCATACTTTTTCTTGTATTCAATATTTTAATATGCATGATTCTTAAGGTCCTGTTCTTATGCCTCTTTTTTCCTATGCAATGCCGTTTACTTACATGTTTTTACTGTTCATGTATACATTGGTGACCCCTATTTTTACATGTTTTTCTATTCTTTTGGCTTTTCATCTCACACTTCTTGGATTAAGTAATTTTTTACAGGCATGCATACCAAGAACTCATACTCACTATACCACAAATTCAAACTTGACTCAATACATTTACCCAGACTCAGTCTTCCTTCAGTGTCTTCCTTTTAAAAATTATTATCTTATTGATAATGGACAGATGAATCTATTAAGAGGCCATAATGTAATTCCTCTTTCACAGTTTCCTCTCTAGTAAGCAAATAAAACATTCATTGAAGAGGCAGTTATGTATCTCCTACTGTAAGACATAAAATGAAGCTACATATAAGTACATAAATGTGTAATTGTATTAGTCTGTTTTGGATGGCTACAAAGGAATACCTGGGGCTGGGTAATTTATTTAAAAAGAGGTTTATTAGGCTCCTGGTTCTGCAGGCTGTATAAGAGGCATGATGCCAGCATTTGTTTCTGGTAAGGGCTTCAGGGAGCTTCCAAATCATAGCAGAAGGGAAAGGGGAGCCATCATCATATGGTGAGAGAAAGGAAATGAGAGAAAGAGGAAGAGGTGCCAGGTTGTTTTTAACAATCAGTCCTTACAGGAACTAAGGGTGAGAATTCACTCATTACCATGAGAAAGGCATGAAGCCATTCATGAAGGGTCACCCGCATGATCCCAACATCTTCCATTAGGCCCATCTCCAACATTCGGGATCGAATTTCAACATGAGATTTGGAGAGGACAAACATTAATATAAGAAATTTTGTTCTTGAGTTGTCCATAATCAGCTTTAAAAATAGATGGGTTAGGTAGGGTGCAGTGGCTCATGTCTGTAATCCCAGCACTTTGGGAGGCTGAGGCAGGCAGATCACTTGAGATCAGGAGTTCAAGAGCAGCTTGGCCAATATCATGAAACCCCATATCTACTAAAAATACAAAAATTAGCTAGGCGTTGTGGCAGGTGCCTGTAATCCCAGCTACTTGGGAGGCTGAGGCAGGAGAATTGCTTGAACCCAGTAGGTGAAGTTTACAGTGAGCCGAGATCACATCACTGCACTCCAGCTTGGGCGACAGAGCAAGACTCTGTCTGAAAAAAAAAAAAATAGATAGGTTAAACAATTATAACTTTGAAAAATGCAACATATTGTGAGATGTTCTACAAATAAACCATAGTTTCTGATGAGAAATCAGAGGTAAGAAAGTTTATTGATTCTGAGTCCCAAATAATTTTAGAAAATAGTGTAATTTTGCATTAGTTTGTTAGGGCTGCTAAACAAGATACCACATTGGCTTAAGACTAGTTGGCTTAAATAATAGCCATTTAATTTCTCACCATTCTGGAGGCTCGAAGTCCAAGATCAAGGTACCATTGGGTTTGTTTTTCTCTGTGAGTCTTCTTAGCCTTTCAGATGGCCACCTTCTTAGTGAGTATGCACATAGTCTTTCCTATGTGCAGTATGTCTTTGGAGTCTGTGTGTGCACATTCCTTCCTCTTATAAGGACACCAGTCCTATGAACCTCATTTTAACTTAACAGCTCTTTAATGGCTCTATCTCCAAACACTGTTGCATTCTGAAGGACTGTGGTTCAGGGCTTCAACATATGAATTCTAAGGGCATGTGTGGGCACATTGTAACCCAAAACTTTATTTTGGCTATTGTAGATTTTAAAACTTTTAAATCATCTTTATGTGTTCTTGCTTCACCTTCCAAAGTGGTTTTCCCACAGTAGTTATAATAAGTAATTATTGATTGAAATAATGCTTATATATCAGGAATTAAATAAGAAATCATCTTACCTGGCTGTCTACATTGACAACATTAATTTTGTAGAGCCGTTATTTTACTCAAGTATCTTAAAAGAGAACTTTGCCTTACTACAGTCATTTCCAATTGTTGTGAATCCCTTTAATATATATGCACGTGCAGGAAAAATGATCAAATCTGAATTTATTGTCTTAGCTTTCAGGCAGATCCTGAATGAATATCTGAGTAATCTTTTGTAGAGCACTGTAGTCAACAAGATGCTTTTTAAGACTGAAATCCTGGAATAGTGGAGATCTTATTTTTAAAACCATGTAGCTTTCAATTTTAAAACATATAGAGGCTTAATAATTTTTTATTTCTGATATATTTTATGTTGGTATATTAAATAATATATAAATTTTTGAGATTTTATTATTTTGGAGTAGAGAATAATCATTAGTATTTAACTTAATGGTTACGGATAAATATTTTAGTTTTTAAGCCAATGTGTTTTAAAGATATTTTCCTTAAGTATACTAAAATATAAATATAGCTTGTGGGTAAATTTAATCATATATGATATTAAGTTATAAAGCCACATTAAAAATTTCTTCATCATTAAATTAAATAAGCAGGAAATATGTATCAAATAGCTCCAAGTGCACTTAAATGGAGTTCATATTTATTAATAGCAAAGAGATAATATATGTGAAATATTCTTTCATGAGCTTTACAAATATTACATATTTAAATCCCCAGCAACAACATGAAGCATATGGTATTATTGTTACGATTATTGTTATACAACATATTTTTATAATGTGGAAACCGAGGTCCTTATAGGTGAGCTGCTTTGCCTAAAGATAGTTTATAAGCTCGAAAGCTAAGACTTAGTTCTAAAGTTTATTCTTAAGCACTAAACACTCTTTTACTGCAAATACAAACCTGTTATCACCAAACTTACTGTCTGGTTCACAAAACAGGGTGTGGGAAACAGTTTAACTAAAGAAAATTTTTAGAATTTTGTCATGTGGTATCGTATTGGACATGTTACACCTTGAACCAGGAACCTATAAACCCCAGGCTAGTCTTTTCTCACAAAATTTAATTAAATGGACGGTTCTAAAAAGGCATTCTGATTAGAATCCATAAACCACACGGTGCACGTGTGGCCCAAAGGATTTTCCTGTTTAGCTCATCCTCTTCCTCAAAGCAGAAAGCACAAAGATCTCCTGGCCCATACACGGAAAGGCTCTCTCTTCTGCCTGTACGTAGTCTTTCTGTGTAGTTGATCCCCAGGTCTTGATTCTGGGAGGGTGAAGAAGGGATCTTTATGTCTATGAAAACAGTACTTTTCTTGATTTGGCATCTTCTGCCAATGTGATACACCCATGCCCTTATCTTCCAACATTCCCCCTAATTATTTCTGAAAACTTTACACACACACACACACACACACACACACACACACACACACAGAGGATATTTATTTAAAAAGTATTTTCAACTGCAAAATTCACCTTTTCATTCATTAACTACTTAAGCTCTGATCTCTTGCTTTGTTATCTACTGCTGTCGTCCAATGTCTGCAAGTATCGTGCAGGTATTGTGTAAAAGTATTGTGCAGGTCCACCACCTCAATGCTGCTGTTTGCTGCCACTCCCACAGGGGCTATAGTGATAAACTCACAGCTGCAGCTTTGGTACCATCTCCCACTGATGCTAATGATGTCCCACTGTGCGAAGCTGCTTCTTCTGAATTGTCAACATTGCAGATGTTACCCTGGTGTGGATTTAGTTAAGACACTTTCTATGTTCTCTAATGAAGCAACAGGGAGCCACCTGTACTCTCTGGGGTGATTCACCCTGTTTGTTATACCTGATGCTAGACAGCGCTGTTTTGCACTTCCCATGTATCACAGAGATTTTTGTAATGTCAGAATTTACTTTTTGCAGACACATCCCCCTATGAAGAAGTACAAATCCATGATGTCTAGGCTAGAGGTCAGCCTTATTTAAAATTATCTTTCCTCCCTCATCCTGCCTGAGGTATTGTTTTTAAGGCAGGCATAGCTTTCTTCTAATCTTCTTTTTTTCTGGAGAGCTCCTTGCTAGGGAATTTCTCATATCTCATGCAAATTACATCCTCAGAGATTTATTCCATCAATCCTGCATACATGGCCTGAGATGACTGAATTCTAGGTAAAAACAGCTTTGAGAAAAAAATGCAATCCTTATAATTAACCTCTTGGACTATGGGATGAGCCATACTTGTTATTAAAACATTCATGATGAAGCTGCTTAACATTGCACTTCCCCTTTCTGGTCGTACCTAACCGCCATAAAGATGTTCCCTATTGGTTTATATTATATGCTGACTTTCCTTTCTTTACCAACTGTTTTGTGTATCCAGATTTTAGATCAGAGACAATATTTTAAAGTTCTAATGGGGTAAATGTATATCATGTTCTTTTTGTTTGTTTCTTATAGCAGCCACCACTATGGAGATGACACAGAAAATGCCATGTAAATGCTTAATTGTTTACATACCACAAGCCATTTCATAGTTGGCTTATCAACATTTTGTAAAGTTTTTCTAAATGATAGCAAAATATGGTATCAAATTACTATTTAACTAAGTCAAAAAATTTACAATGTTGTTTTATATTTCACGTCATATTTTCTTAAAAATAATACATTGCATGCTTTTTTACCAAAAATCAACATTTTAAGAAGTGCAAGAAAAGAGTATGAAAATAATTTCTTCCCAGGCTAGTGTAATTGTTAAGTAGAGAGTGATTTATACTTAAACCGTAATTCAAACAAAATTTAGCCTGACATTTCATAAAACCTCTCAAAATTAAAATTGTGTACAGGGTAAAGTGGCTGATGTTTTTTGGGGGGATAGCTTTAAATCTGTCACTTTCTATCCTTCCCCTCCTAATTCACATCTTCCTTCCTTCTTGCTTGCTTTGCCTCCATTCATCACAGACACCACAGCTATAACAGCAGCACTATTCTTCACTCTTAAATCATGGGCTGTCTCTGGCACTGTCACGGCCAGTGTTTGAAACAGGAAAAAGAAAACCCAGAACAGTAGTTGCAATAGCACAAGCATCATAAATGTTCCCCAGGACTCCCATCATACAATCCATTTGTGCCAAGTTTAGGTACAGATCTCCTCGCACTACTGACTAGCAAATCATACAGGAGCTGTAATTGTATAGTAGATGACAGTCACCTGGCACATCTTGCTGTTCAAGAGGGAGAGGAATTTAGGGTCCATGGCTTCTTAAAAGTAAATAAATTGGTGAAATATTCTTTGAAATAGACCATCCAAACAAGTTCCCTTTGGAAAAATTGGTTAGAAAAATATTTTAATTATGTCAAAATTTAAGAGTTTGAATATGACACTTAGGATTTTTGCACACACAAAAAACATAATCATTCCTGGTCACCATTCCTGGGTATCTGGAAGAACTAAGCAAAAGCAGACAAATGGTGGAGCTCAGTCTCTCGCTAATAATTTAAGCATTCATTTTCTCATGATTTCTTTTGCTTATTTCTCAAATACTGATCTGATGAAAACCTAAGCATAAATGCATTTAATCAGTATTTGACGAATGAATGGAAAAAGTCAAGTGTATAAATGGTATAAAATGACACATTTTTTAAATCTTCTGGAGGCTTAAATTTTATTAGAAAGAATGAGATATATTCATAATATACACATAAACAGCTTTATAATAAAGTAGAAGTTTACCACATCCAAAGCGTGGTAAACTTATTCACTTATTGCAATATAGTGAAATAAAAACAGTGACCAAAACTTTATAATGTCTGTATATACATTAGGTATTGTAAAATCATTTTAAAATTGTCAGTGTCCTCCTTTGATCTGTAGTTAAAGTTGTAGTTTTTTATTTTGTTTTTACTCATTGCAACAAAGAAGTGAACACATCATTGAATACTGAGGTATCTCAATACTAGGGTGATGGAAAGGATTGATAGGATTTGGCCTTTGTAAGTGATTGGGGG
The DNA here is from genome assembly GCF_000001405.40 of Homo sapiens. Classification (NCBI taxonomy): domain Eukaryota; kingdom Metazoa; phylum Chordata; class Mammalia; order Primates; family Hominidae; genus Homo; species Homo sapiens. The sequence goes on along the minus strand of NC_000004.12, from coordinate 32,588,328 downwards.
AACGTTCAAGGAAGCAGAGCTTTGCTCTACATTGTGTGCTGTCAGAATATGAAGATAATTCTACGACTGAGCATCTTAAAGACTTTATGTAAAAGGTGAGAGGAATAAAGTCTAAAGCTGTACTTGATGAGCAGCAGTCACTCATGTTAGCCAGAAGAGCAGAAGGATGTATGGTCATCTTTGTGATGTAGTCAGCGTTCATTTGTTTTGCTTTCTAAGTTCAGAAATTATTAATGAATGGACATGGTTTCATCTTGATTTATTATGATCATAGAGAGACTTTGTCTGATAGTATTTTGTGAAACTCTTTATGTTCAACAAAACAATGCTCTAGCCCAGCTGTGAGTGAGTAGCCAGCTCTTAGCAACACCGAACTGACAGAACTATGCCAATACTCGGACTGTCAGACACTGCTTTTCTCTTTTTCAAACTGCATCCATGTCCTGGCAATTTACAAACCTATTCATAGAAGTCAAAAATAAGTAAGACCAACATGATGGTGAATGACAAAAGCAGAAACAAATGAGTATTAACTATTGACTCCACGTACATAAAGCGGATAAGCAGACAAATCAAACACGTGGTATTAAGAACTAGGATAGTCATTATTTTTGAGGAATGCTGTGGTCTGGGAAGTGACATAGAGCAAGTTCTGCTTATGCCAATATTGATTTATTTCTTGACGCAGGTATTGGATATACTGGTATATGTTTTTTCGTTTTGTAACAATTCTTTGAGCTATGTATTTAGCATTTTCTCTCCTTTCTGTATGCATGTTATTCTTCACAGAAATGTTATAAACTAAAATAAAAATTAAAAAATAAACCCAAGTGAATGTAATAACTCATAGATGAAAGCTGAGTATTTAAGACAACTTTTGCCTGGAGGATTTTTGCATGAGATTTATTTAAATTTCCACATTAAGTTGAGATAGGGTGAGTGGGAGATACAACCCTGAACCCACTACTATCTGGCACAGTTTGGAGTCCCATTTCCACGTTCCTAGAGCTGGGAACTGACAGGGATAAACGTGTGCTGTCCCCTCTGATAGCCACTAGCCACATGTGTCTATTGAGCACTTGAAATTTGGCTAGTCTGAATTAAGGTGTGTAGTAAGTGGACGATACCCACTGGGTTTGAAAATTCAACAAAATAATGTAAAAAAATTGTAAATACTTTTATAGTGATTATGTGTTAAAATAATATTTTAGAAATATTATGTTAAAATGAATTAGTAAGATCTTCACCTGTTTCCATTTTTAATGTAAATACTACAAAATTTAAAATTATATTTTAAATATAATTTAAAATAAAGCTTATATTTGTGGTTCAGATTATATTTCTTTTGAGCACCCTCAATGTAAGAATGAAATAACACTTCCCTAGGTATTGAATTAGATAGTGCTTAGGTAACTTGGGATAGAGGAAAGAGGGTGAGGGTGTCATTCCAATAACTAAGGCACATAATTGATACGCCAGCATTGGCTGTGCTTATATTGTCTCTGAAACTAAAGCACAGAAGAAGACATCAGGCAGAAGAAAAAGGATATTATATGATACAGTATCAGAAGGCTCCAAGAATATACCAGGGCAGGGCAGATGAACAAACTGACCATAGTCATAAGCAGTGTTCTAAGGGAATGCTTAGGAAGCCTCCAAACACTATATATCAAGGAAAGATTTCCTTATTGCATTTTCCTCTGTCCTCTCATATTGTGTAATCTCAGATCTTTCTAGAAGGAGCACATGGCAATGAGATTCCCCAAAACAGCAAAGAGAATCTTTTCTTTGGAGTAAGAGCAGCTCTACCACTAGTGTTTCCTCTTTCTTTATCTTTATTTTTGTTTTTTTTTTAGGGGGATGGTAAGACAAAGAATGTTTAATGGCAGTGATGAATCTGTACCATCTAATAACCTGTGTGGCTGGCAGGGAGGATGTATAGGAGACACCAGTATATAATTACAAGCATGCTGTATCCCGGCTTTGTTACAAACTCTTCCACAGAATAATAGTATTTCTCTCTCCTTTTTTGATGAAGCTGACCACATGTCCCTATTCATGTATTTGTAGAAATGAATCGGTGAGAGACTAAAGTCCACACATGACAGGAGGAGCCAGAAACTCAAGTCATGGTGATGATTGAACTATATTATGACTGACAAATAGGAGACATTTTCCTCTAGGACAGGCAACAGTCAGCCCCCAGAAGCAGAAGTTAGCCAAGACATTAGCCAGGCAACAGCAGCTGTTGCAGTAGAACAAGCAACTGAGGATCCAGGAAATGGGGCCACAAAGAAAATAAGAGCAAACAAGTAAAGCACATGCACTATGCTACAGGATTCTGTAAAATGCAGAATGGTTATGGTAAGTTAATAAAAATGGATAATTTTGTTGATTAACTATCACATTAATTACTTTTTGCCTGAATTTCTTGTATCCTGGGTTTCTCAGATTCTGCAGGCTATTATAATTGGTTAAATTTGCACTCTGTATCTGAACTGCTGACTTCAAAGACTTGCTCCGTTGTACATTTCATCATCTATAAGCGGGAATGATGAGAAAAATATCAGAAAATCTATCACCAATTAGTCTTGAGGATTAAAAATGCTTATACTAATTATGGTTCAGCCGTCCTAGGGTTATTATAAAGATCATGCAAATATTTACTATTTTTCCTACCATCATTATCATCATCATCATCAACATCATTTAATCATCTTTTTAATTATCATTTTACTAAGTCCAGCCTTGGTTTCATCCCTCCAGACTTTTCTTCATACTAATACAAAAGTAATCATTTAAAAAGGCAGAGTGGACATTGCATTCCAGTTTAAAATTATCTAGGGAAACCTAATTGACCAGGAAATATAAAAATCTGTTCTTTTGGTTTATCAGGCCCTTAATGATCTAGCTTGTGGACATCTCTTCAGATTCATATCCTACTTCTTACAACATGTATCTTTCAATTTCATTATAGCAAGCTAGCTGCTGTCCACTGACCCCAATGTATTTCATTTTTCCTTTATTTCCAGGACAATGCTGCACTCTCCTTAGGAAGAGATCTCTCAGCTGCCAGAACATAATTTCCCTTCCAAGACTCCGCCAGTATATCACCTTCTCAAGGAGCCTTCTAACTCCTTTTTTGCTCTTTTGGCATAAATTTGTGTTCCTTGGACTTTCATAGCATCATTTGGTTATGCTTCTGATACAATTCTTAAAATATAATACTGTATTGTCCTTGTCATTTGTCTGTTCTTTATAGATCCTCAATATATATTTGGTACTAAAACAGAGAATGAGATACTGTGCTCTGAGACCCAGATAATATGGAATAAAAAATACTAACGATAGACTGGATAAAGAAAATGTCACATATATACACCATGGAATACTATGCAGCCACAAAAAAGGATGAGTTTATGTCCTTTGCAGGGACATGGATGAAGCTGGAAACCATCATTTGCAGCAAGCTAACACAGGAACAGAAAACCAAACACTGCATGTTCTCACTCATAAGTAGGAGTTGAACAATGAGAACACATGGACACAGGGAGGGGAACATCACACACTGGGACCTTTCAGGGGATGTGGGGCTAGGAGAGGGATAGCATTAGGAGAAATACTTAATGTAGATAACGGGTCGATGGGTGCAGCAAACCACCATGGCACATGTATACCTATGTAACAAACCTACACGTTCTGCACTTGTATCCCAGAACTTAAAGTATAATAATAAAAAAAAATTGGCATACGACTATGAAAAAGTCAAGTTTCACAAAATTTTAAAACGTCTTTTACATTTTCCAATTTTAATGTGAAAAAGGAGTGGTACAGTTATGCAATTATGACATGGTCTGTCATATCAACCCACATTTTTTCATCCTTTTGTGTACCAGAATGTTAAATATTGAGCATACTTTAGATGCCAGAGACTCTCCATATTTTCATACATAATTGATGCTTACAGCAATCCCATGAAATAATTTGTTATCTTTATTTTACAAATGAGAAAATTAAAGCTGACAAAGCTATTGTAGAGCACTAGGCTGGTTCACGCTTTCAAATACCGGGCTTCTAGAGGTATTTTTGTTTTGCTTTGTTTTGTTGCTTGTTCTACTATTATCTTTGTCTCAAGAAAACAGCTCTTTTACTAAATATGTGTCATATTCTTGTTTAATCCCAATTCAAATATTATTTCCTTCAAATCACTAAAGTTTGTTGATTTTGACTATTGCTTTTTGCATATTTTTTCAAGGAGAATGAGAGTATTTATCTTGTATATAGTAGAAATAAGGTAAATATATATTTTAAATGTGTGTGAGTTTTTTTCTAAATAATAAGAAAATTTAGTACAATAAATGTTTTTCTGAGTCAGAACTTCACTCATTTCTTTAATTTGCCACTAAGAAACTTTGTAATTGTAGGAAATTCATTGGACTCTCTTGGTCCTAGTTTCCTTATCTGCTGAAGGACAAGGATAAATGAAGGATATCACATTGTTTGTGTAGCTCTTAGGGTTTATGAATCACTGATTTTTATCATTCAATTACTGTTACCCTGTAAATCATAAAAAATATTACAAGAGAACGTGCATTTCTGAGGAGTTAATAAAATTGCCATTTACTGTCTACATTATAACATCCTACATTTTCTTCTGAATCTTCATTTGTCAAATAAACATAATTCATATGTATTGTTTCTATGTTTGTATCAGTCTAGGACATACCTAGAAGTCTCAAGATAAATGATCCTCCAATTACATATTTTTCTGTATACAATGAAAGGTGGTTTATAAAAAATCTATACCTACAAGCTGAATTTTGTAACCGTAAAAGGAATTTTTATTTTGTACATACATCATACTAATAAATTAAATTTTTAAAATTCTAAATCAATTCAGTAACTTTCAGTAGGCATTTGTTAGAAATAGATTTTTTTAAATATGCACAATATAAAAATTTGAATTAAACAATTCATTTGTATTTAAATATGGGACACTGTTATATTTAACAACTTTTTAACAAGACTACTATTCAATGAACAAGATACAAAATACATTTTAAGAGAGCTGAAAATAATCAAAATTTGACTGAATTTAGGTAAATAGATTGGAATACATTTCAAATAAATTTTCCTTATAATCTCCCTAAAATAAAATTGTATGATCTTAATTGTCCTTTGACCATATTATTCACACATACACAGATGTCTTCACTTTCTTATTTATAATGTTTCTATAATATAGAAACAAACTGTCATACACTGAGGGGTGTGTGTGTGTGTGTGTGTAAAAATAATTATTGAGGTTTTCTTTCAAAGGGTAAAGGTATATTTACATATATTGTTATATATTATATATCTATCTATATTAGATAGATATAAAATGTATCTGTTATATAGAAAGAACAGTCCCTTTGACCTGTTTGATACCTGACTCTCCAGACATATCGTTAAGCATATTTGGTTGATATCATAACTACTCACTCATTTATATTTAAGTAAATCTGTCATTTGTTTTCTGAGGTTCTGTTTTATGGGATTTTAGACTATAAAAGCAAAACAACAAGCAGTGAGGTGAACCACAAATAACATTATATACGTGGGTAAGGTCTTACGAGTCAATTGGAGAAGTTGCTTTCTTGCTCTTCATAACCACTTTAAAGCATTTTAAAGCTCTGTTGTCACTTGAAAGTAAAATGTTTACTTGGTAAAACAAAGCTTTTTAAAGAAAAAAATAAACCTAGCTGAATATCTTCTGACCTTCTTTGTTTCACAGAAATAAGCCTTAGCATTTATCTTAAAATTATATCCTGAATATCACGTATCAGGAATGATGCAAACAGATCAAAATGGATTACATTTTTTTTTAAAGGGGAATGAAGCTTCCATTTGAGATATCATGCATTTTACATTTCTTTATTTTTGTTCATAATGATCCTGATGAGTATTTATCAGGGCATTTGTCAAGGATGTACTCTTAACTAATAATATCTTACTGTATTTTACAAATGCTGTATAAACTCTCTGTGACTCAGTGTCCTCAACCATAAAATGGCGAGACCAGTTCTTACCTCATTGATGTGTTGCAAGGATTACATGACCAAACTATGTAAATAACTTAGAATAGAGGGCTCTCTAATAACAATGAAAATAATGGAATCTTAAAATATTCGTGATCAGGTGGCAGTTCTTGACCACCAGAAGACAGTGTCTCCAATTATCATAGTGAGTGAATAGGTGGGAGTGGCAGCTAAGAAAGTTGACCAGAGAGATGCTTGGAGATGCTTAAATAAAAATGGCATCCTTAAGCCTAAGTAAGAATGGTATAACTCTATGTATATAATAAAATAAATAAAGCCCATATCTTCAAAATCAATGGACTGTAAGTAAATCCTGGTCACCAGCGAGAATGACCCAGCAATGTCACAGGAAGCCTGTAATGGAAATGATTTGCCCAGACCTCCCCTCTGGTGTCATACAGCTATTTAATTGAGTAACCAAATGATATGAAAACAGGAATATTTTGTCTTTTTTGTACTTAAAATATATTTTTAATGAGGTAAATATAACATAAAACCATTTTCAATATTCTATGTGTATAGTTCACTATAATAAATAATAATATATATAATAAATAATAATAATAAATATAATAAGTACATTTATATTTTTGTGGAATCATTATTACTATCCATACCCAGTACTATTTCATCTTCTCAAGTTAAAATTATGTAACCATTAAACGATAATTCCCAATTTGTCCCTCCTCCAATCTCCTAGTTACCACTATCTTACTTTCTGTCTCTAAGATTTTTGACTACTACGGGTGCAATCATAAAAATGAAATCATACACTCTTTGTCTTTTTGTCTCTGGCTTATTTTAGCATAATATCTTCAAGGTTCATCTATGTTGTAACAAGTGTCAAAATTTAATTCCCATGTTAGGCTTAATACTATTCTGTTTTTTGTACATACCAGAGGGTTATAGAAAATTAAAATATATATATATATATTTCTGGCCTCACACTGGGGCACTTGTCCTTGTGATAAATGACCACATGTCCACAACTAAGCGACCAACAGTAATTTATAAAAAGATGGAAGTTGTACATGTAGGCTTAGGCATGAATAGCCCAAAGGGCACAAGCGAGCTGTATGATAAAATATCCTAGACCCCAAAGTCATCATCACTGTTGCACCTCAGCTCAAATGCATGGTTGCATAGAGTCCTTTACAAGCTGTTGAGAGAAAAAGAAAAAGGTTAATCTTTGTCCATATATGGGTCAATCTGGTAATTTAGGAGAGCAAAAAAATGGACTCTAGGTGCACTAAAACAATACTCAGGGGTGGCCCTGAAAAATAGTGGTAAATATATATCCAATCAAAGACAGACTATCAAGTCATACAGCCAGTTATCTTTTCACTGGAAAGAGAAGTAGCCTGAGGTAAGACTGTATACAGATTTATAGGCAAGATTTAATCATTGACTATAAATGGTTAATAGGCATTGGCTGGTCAGGGTCTAGAAAGAGAAAGGCTGGAAGGTCAGTAGAAAAGGATTGCAGGGAAGAGTCATGTGAAATACCTATAGAAAAGGGCACAAGGTGTGGAAATGATTATCTTATCTATTAACATAAACTATGGGGCCACTAAATAATGGAGAACATTTAATAACATAGCAAGTTGACATCTACTAGATTGTGTCATTGGCCACTTAATGCTAGCACAAGGTTTGTGTGAAGAGGGTAGCCAGGGTGTCAGGGATGGAGGTATTCATGTACCTAACAGCATATGTATCAGCATAGGCTGATTTAGGCACTGCCCCAGCCCAATGTATAAACTGTCAGCAGAACAGACTTACATTGAATCCTAATAAAGTACAATCTCTGTTGGAAACCAGCTAGCTATTTGGCTACATGTTTACTATACACTGACCCCACACGTCCTCGAAGAGGCAGCAGCCTGGATGGGACTCCATACAAAGTCCAGTTACAGATTTTCTTCTGTCTGCAGCCCTCAGCCAGCACCATTATCTGAGAACTTATATAGGGTTTGAATGACTGACACAGGAACCAATATACTATTGCATTTGACCAAATAATGCATTTACAGTGAAGGAGGTACAGCAGAAGACACCTGTGAATCACTGATCATATTATTTACTGCTCTACCCAAAAACCCTCATCCTCAGAGGATGATAGAATGACATTTAAAGGAACAACTGAGACACTAATTTGGAGATGATTTTGTGTGAATATAGAGTGTCATACTTCTGTATAAACTAAAACAATAACCATTATATAGTGATGTGTCCCAAAAAGGTAGATTACATGGGTCCTGGCAGTAGGAGTTGGAATGGCCCTGCTTACCATTACCCCTAGGACACACTTGGGCAAGCTGTGCCTCCTGTCTCCACGACTCTCCATTCTGTAGATCTAGAGATTCAGGTTCCCAGAGAAGGTAAGCTTTCATCAAAGGACACCAGCTACCACTTTGATATTTTGTGCTTATTATTGCCAAGACCAATATGGGAGGGGTAATTGATCCTGATCATCATGATGAGGTAGAGCTGCTGTCGTACAGTGGTGTAGGAAATACAACCTTTGGTACCAAGGTGGTTACTAAGGGATCTCTTTGTCCCCGCTTGATTAATTTTGATGGTGAATTTACAAACGTATTCGCTATAGTCTGAGAAGGTTCTGATGAGCTATGGTTCAAACCACTCAGGGATGAGGGTCTGGGTCATCATATCTGATAAGCCACTCAGTCCAGCTGAGGTCCTTGTTGAGTGTGAGGAGAAGTTAAAATGGTTAGCAAAGAAGGAAGAGGATTAGTTTCACTTGTGACCCAGAGACCAGCTGCAAAGGCAGGGGTAGTAGTTAGGTCTACTCATCAATAGACAAATACGTTTTCTCAGAAAAAGACACAAAAAACTGAATGGAGTTAGTCCGAGATGGAATAAACATTATAGAAAAGAAGTTGATCCATATGGTGGATTCTAGGGGGACACACTCTGGACAAGCTGCAGTGTACTGCCCAAATCCCCCTTCAGGAAAGGACACACATTCCCCTACCTATTGGGCACATTGCCTGCTGAATGCTCAATGAATTTATTCCCAGACATGTTCTTCAGTGGAAGATAGATTTCTTGCCCAAAATAATTTTCTCCTCAAAGACAGCCTGCATCCAGTGACTTGTTCTTTACAAACTACAAAATCCCAACCTCTTGCCTCAATCTGGAATTTCTTAGAAAGGACATCCCAGCTTCAGAGGTTCTCCTTGGGATGAGCTTAAGTATTGGTTGCAACTGCTATTGCATTTTAACTTTTTCTTCTGTCCAACTCTACTTCCATTACTCTCAGGTGTTTTGATTTGCATGATTTCTTTAGGTATTTTTTTTTTCCCAAAAAGCACTCTTCAGTAAAACTCCTGCTTGCAAATGTCAGTCTCTGAGTCTATTTCATGGGGAATCTGACGTAGAACTCCTGTTACTAAGAACCCCTGACAACATTTGGTGGGGAAGCTAGACAAGCAAAGATATAATCAACAAAGAGTGGGAAAGTACAATATAAGAAGCAGTGATCTGATCATATTACTGCAGACCCAAAAAATGCGGGGGAATAAGTACATTACCTGCTCTGTACTGGTGCTGGGGGTTGGAGGTGATTAAAAACTTTACCCTTTAGACCTGGTATTGCTAATCTAGCTGCAGTCAATAAAATTGACATCAGCAGTTGGAGTTTTCTCCAAAATGCTGCTGCTGTTGGACTCCATATGCAGAGGCACACATAGGCCAGTTGATTCTTTGGGAGATTTGAACCTACTTTTGGTCTGAATTTCATTTGAAGACATAGTTTAAACCTCATTCCTTTGATACACGTGTCACCATCAAGCTTGAATACCCAAATTTCTTCAGCCTTTTACAATTCTGGGCATTGAAAAATCATTGGCAGGGTTAATCTTCTAGGTCTCTGGAACTGAAATGAGGATGGGAATACCTTGGTTTTGAAATAGGGACCCTCTCTTCCACCATCACACATTTTGGTCAGCAAGTATAAATCTTTCTTCTATAAACCTCACAAAGCCTAACTCAATATTTTTAGTCCACTTCATATGCTAAAAGGAACTTCTGCATTTATACTTTAAAGTTATTATTATAATTTTATTTTCTAATAGCTTTAATTTGGGGAAAAGATAAATACCTGTAGTTTTGAATACATTTTGTTTGCATGCCAATGTTAAATAATGGATGACAGAGAGATAAGAAAACCACATCACACTCCTTTAAGATTTCTGAGGTGCTATTAACTCTGACTCTAAGTGCAGGACATAAGTCTTTGAATCAGTAGCTGATACAAAATAGAAGTGAAAAATTGAATAAGGGAGGTCAAATAATTTTGAAAGAGTGAATATAGACCTTCATTATCCAATAATGTAACCATTAGTCACATATAGCTATTTAATTTAATATAGAAAATAATTAATTAAATTTAAAATTTCAGTTTCTCCAGTCACACTAGCCACCTTAAAAATGGTCACATCCGGCTCCTAGCTACTGTATTGGAAATTGCAGATATGTGACATTTTTATCATCACAGAATGTCTGTTGGACAACATGAAGCAGATTCTGAGAGTTCATGAAATAATTCCATGATTTAAGGTAGTGAGGTAATAAGCTATGTACCATTTTAATGACTGAATAAAAAGTGAGAAAGATAATTTTTTTCAGGAGAAGGTTGGTTTTCTACAGAACAGGAATGTTTGGAAAGAAAATTCCCTTCCTGGAAACTGGGAAATAAGTCCAATGCTTAAGAAAATCAATCTCTGTGGAAATTGAGGTGGCAGATCAGAACCTGAAGACCCCAGTGCACCACATTAGACAACTGTAAATAGTACATTAACATGTGATGCACACACACACACACACACACACACACAAACGCATCTTAGATTTCTGTTTCTATATTGATATAAAAATAATTTAACATCAATGAAGGACAAATCCAATTTTTTAATTTATTTTATTACCTAAATAGTGTCCTATTTAGGATATTAAAAGGGATGTATTTTACCAAATTATGATATACAAAGATTAATTAGAAAAACACTTATGTATTTTTTCAGTCAGTTGAACTACATTTTAATGGAGTATATTTCTAATTACTAATGCAATTTGGACATGGTTATTCTCACCAAAACAAAAAAAATTAAATTTAATAGTTGTAAATTAATGCAATTTATGTGACAGGTTTGTATTTTCAGCATTCATTTCAAAATAAATAAATGTAACATTTGTTACTACTTAATAAACTCTGATTTTCATGGTAAAATGATTAAATCTTGTCTGATAACCCAGTTTTATTTGAAGTGTATGACATAATTTTAATGTTCAGAATACAGCGATTACATGAAGCCTGAGCATTTTTTTAACCTATTGAGCATTAATAAAAATGATCTTAGATATTATTGTTTGCCATAGTCCTCCCCCTTAAAAACTCCAGAAAATGTGGGGGTGTTAAAAAAAGAGCAAACAAAAAAAAAAAACTACTTTCCTTTGGATAAATGCCCAGTGGTGGAATTGCTGGACTATACGGTAGTTCTATTTGTAGTTTTTTGAGGAATCTCTGTACTGTTCCTCAGAGTAGTTCTACTAGTTTACATTCTCACTAACAGTGTATGAGTTGTCTTATATCTGTATTCTGTCCAACATTTGCTGGTTTTTTTTTTCCTTTTGATGATAGTCATTCTAATTGGAATAAGATGATACCTCATTATGGTTTTGATTTGCATTTCCCTGATGATTAGGGATGTTGAACTTTTTAAAATATATTTATTGGACATTTGTACGTGTTCTTTTGAGAAATATCTGATTAGATATTTGCCCATTTTTTAAATCACATTGTTTGGTAATATTTTGCTGTTGAAATATTTGAGTTCCTTGTCATATAAATGAACTGTTGGATGAGTACTTTGCAAACATATTTTCCAATTATAGGGTGTCTTTTCACAATGTTGTTTCCTTGGCTTTGCAGAAGACCTGTAGTTTAATATAATCTTATTTGTATATTTTTGCTTTTGATTCCTTATTCAAAGAAAATATTCTCTTAGAAGAATGTCCTGAAGCATTTCCCCATTTTTTTCTAGTAGCTTTATCATTTCAGATTTTAAAATTAGATCTTTCATCCATTTTGGGTTGACTTTGTAGAGGGTGAGAAGTGGAGGTCTAGTTTCATGTTTCTGAATATGAATTTCCAGTTTTCCCAGCATCACTTATTTAAAAGACTACAGGTTCCCTAAAAAGTGTTCTTGCTACCCTTTATAAAAATCAATTGGCTGTAGATATGTAGATTAATCTCTGGTTCTCTACTCTGTTCCATTGGACTATGTGTCTGTTTTTATACCAGCACTATACTGTTTTGGTTACTACAGCTTTGTGATTGATATATGTTGAAGTCTGGTAGTGTGATGCCTTAAGCTTTGCTCTTTTTTGCTCAGAATTGCTTTGGTGATTGGGGATTCTTTGTAGTGCAATACAAATTTTAGGATTAATTCTATTTCTGTGAGGAATGCCATTGGTATTTTTACCAGGATTATGTTGAATTTGTAGATTATTTTGGGAAGTACGCTTACTTTATCAATATTTATTAAGGCTTCTGATCTATGAGCATGGGGTGCCATTCTATTTGTTTGCATCCTCTTCAATTTCTTTCATCAGTGCTTTATAGTTTTTCTTGTAGAGGTCTTTCATCTCCTCTATTTTTCTGATACAGGGCTTTGCTCCCAGGCTGGAGTGCAATGATGAGATTTCAACTCACTGCAAGCTCTACCTCCCAGGCTCAAGTAGTCCTTCCATCTCAGCCTCTCAAGTAGCTGCCACCATAGGCTCATGCCACCATAGGCTCATGCCACCACACACAGCTAATTTGTGTGTGTGTGTGTGTGTGTGTGTGTTTATTTTTTGTAGAGATGGAATTTAATCTCATTGCCCAGGCTGGTCTCAAACTCTTGGGTCTCTTAAAGTGCTTGGATTACAGTAAGGAGCCATGGTACTTGGCCTTTACTTTTTAAATATATATTGTAAAAGGGATTGCCATTTTGATTTCCACTAGTTTCTTATACATGTATAGAAACATTACTGATTTTTGTATATTAATTTTGTGTCCTGCAACTACACTGAATTCACTTATTGGTTCTAGAAGTTTTTTGGTAGAGTCTTTAGTTTTTTTCTATATATAAAATCATGTCATTTGCAAACAGAGAAAATTTCACTTCCTCTTTTCCTCTTTGGATTTGCTATTTCTTTCTCTTGCCTAATTGTTCTTTCTATAACTTACAGTACTATGCTAAATAAGGGTGGTGAAAGTGGGCATTCATTTTTTTTTCTCAGTTCTTAAAGGAAAAGCTTTTAGATTTTCCCAACTCAGTATGATGTTAGCTATGGGTTTGGGTCCACGATAATATGGGCCAACAATAATATATGGCCTTTGTTATGTTAAGGTACTTTCCTTCTATACTTTATTTATTAAGGGTTTTTTATCATGAAAACATGTTGAATTTTCTCAAATGCTTTTTCTGCATCTATTGAAATGATCATATGGTTTTTATTCCTCATTCTGTTGATGTGATGTGTGATATTTATTGATTTGCATATGCTGAACCATACTTGTATTTCTGGGATAAATCCCACTTGGTCACACTATATTATCTTTGTGATGTGTTGTCGGATTCAGTTTTCTAGTATTTGTTGAGGATTTTTGTGTCTATGTCCGTCAGGGATATTGGCCTGTAGTTTTCTTTTTTCACTGTGTCCTTGTTTGGTTTTGGTACCAGTAGTATGCTGGCTTTGTAGAATGAGTTAGAAATAACATCCTCTGCTTCAGGTTTTTAGAATAGTTTGAGAAAAATCAGTATTAGTTGCCCTTTAAAGATTCAGTGAAGCTCAGTGGTGAAGCCATCTAGTCCTTGACTTTTCTTTGTTGGAAAGCTTTGTCTTACTTTTTAATCTCATTACTTGTTATTGGCCTGCTCAGGTCTTCAGTATTTCAAAGAGACATCTGCATGGCAATATTTATTGCAGCACTATTCATAGTAGCCAAGATATAGAATCAACCCACAGGTCCAACAACAGATGAATGAATTTTAAAATGTCATATGTATATGTGTATATTTATATATAAATTATATATATAATTTAAACATATATATGTATATATATAAATAAAACATATATATATACACATATACAGTTGAATACTATTTGGCCATATAAAATAATAAGATCTTGTCATTCCTGGTAGGGTGGATAGACTGGAGGACATTATGTTAAGTGAAATAAACGAGGAATGGAAAGTTAAACACCAGATGTTCTCGCCCATATTTGGAAGCTTAAAAAAAGTTTGATCTCATAGAAGTAAAACATAGAGTAGAGGATACTAGAGGCTGAGAAGGATGGGAAAGGGGAAGAATAGAGAGAGATTTGTTAAAGTATACAAGTCACAGTTGGACAGGAGGAATAAGTTCTAGTGTTCTACATCACCGTAGAATGATTATAGTTAGCTCTCTTACATTATATGGTTTCAAACAGCTAGAAGGAGGATACTGAATGTTCCTAACACAGAAAATGATATATGAATAAGCTGATGGATGTGCTAATTACCATGATTGATCACTATATATCATTATATGTATGGAAACACCACAATATACCCCATAAATATGTACAATTATTATGTGCCAATCAAAGCCAAAATAAAGAATAAAAATAAGATAAAATAAAATAACATATATAGAAAAAAGAGAAAAGGAGCCAGGAGTCAACTAGGAAGGGAGAGAACTCACCTCATTTTCAAGCATCTGAAGCTGGTCAGGAAAGGAGAGAGGGTAGCAAAATGATAAAAAAATTGTCAAAGAACATAAAAGGGAGTTTGCACAGAAAAGAGAAAAGTGAGCACAAGAGAATTTTTTTTTCATAGAAGGGGATATTATTGCAGGTAAGCACTGTGATAAGCTAAAGTTATAATGCAGGGTAAACTGCTAAGAATAATAGTGTGTGATTTCTACAGCCAATTACTGAAAGTGAAATATAATCATTGCTATATTTATATTACAGGTTAAATTTTACTATGACAAATAAAATATAGGAAAGGGATTTGCTTAAAATGTAAATGCTCTATTCATATGAGAAAGGGTATGGAGAGATGAGCTCAGAGCAACACTAATTCCCATCTCCAAGCTTCCCACCCCCAATGAATCAAGTGGCGCTCTGCAGAAGCTCTGAAGAAGGAAGACAGGTTTTTGTTAGATACCAGATGTGGAAAGTGGAAGAATCAAGAAGTTGAAGACAGAACAAAGGCTCAGGATGCAATTCAGAGAGGGAGCACAGTGACCTAGAAAAATAAATTAGGCAGGAACCATTATCTTTACTAAATGTGCCTTGGGGTAGATACTTGCTTCACAATGATGGCCCTTTCTCTGGAAAAAGCCCTAAAATGAAGTAGAAAATCTTTACTGGGCCATTTCTACATAGTATGTGCCTACTCATCTGATGATAGATAATGATCCTGACACAGACAACTGATCTGAAATGGACAAAGTTCTCTCTCCCAACAATTCTAAAATATGGAGGCAGAGAAACAGACAAATTGTCAATTTTTCATTCTGTTACTAAATGTTTTCTTGATGCTAAAATCTTTGAATAAACTCTAGTTCCTTTTTTCAGAAACCTTGGTTATTCCACTATTTCTTTAACTCTCAATGACATAAAAAATATTTTTCTATTACACTCATTTTTTTTTCCTTAAGCAATTCAACCTTGGTTTCTGCTGATAAATCCAAAAAACAAGAAGCAAACAAACAAGAATTTCAGAGTAACAAACTATTCAGTGCTAGAAGGAAATAAAAGCTGCTTGAAATTTTTTAATTAAAGCTTTACTTTCAATCAGATTTTTCAGTCTCATAGGTGTAAAATGTGATTTCAGTTACTTTTAAAATTAATTTCAAATGTTAAATTTGGAAGTATGAACAATGTATGACCAATGTCTACAAATATGGGAATTTTTGAAAAGCTTAATGTGATATCATCAGATTATCAATAATTCAGGCAACAACAGGCTAGTCTTAATAGCCTTCCTTCCTTCCGCCGACCTTCTTTCTCTTTCTTTCTTTTGTTTAATTTTTAGAGATAAAGTCTCACACTGTCACCCAGGCTGGAGTGCAGTGGCACAATCATAGCTCACTGCAGTCTCAAATTCCTGGACTCAAATGATCCTGTCACCTTGATCTCCCAAGTAGCTTGGACTACAGACATGTGCCAACACTCCCAGCTAATTTTTAAATTTTTTGTAGAGGTGTTGTCTTGCTCTGTTGCCCAGGCTGGTCTCAAGCTCCTGGCCTCAAGTAGTCCTTCTGTCTCTGCCTCCCAAAGTGCTGAGATCACAGGTGTGAGCCACTGCACCTGGCCTAATTAAATTTTCCTTTTTTATTATATTTATGATACATTATTAGACTTCTTCACCCTTTGAACATTTCCATTTGAATGGCTTCCATCCTTCCACAACCACAGAGTAAACCAAAGAGGCTTTTAACAAAATAAATTAGTTTCATTGGTTAGATCATTCTGATCTAAAATATACATACATGATGAATATTTGTTTCATACAAGTATTTTCAGTAAAGTGAATGATTGCATTTATTGCTATTATACAACTCAACCAAGAGATGCTAATTATTTCTAATTTTCTGGGAGATGTGTACCCTTCCCAATGACGTGTAATTTTATGTAGGTTAAAGGACCTTCTATTTATACTCTCTTCGCCTGTTTCCACTCCTTGTCTTAATAAAGTCAGTAACTAACATACTCATAGGCTAATTGACATCAGCTTTAACACAAAATAAATGCATTCTATGCATAGAATTATAGAAATTCTAAGAAAGGACATATAAATATTTGCATATACTAAGGAAGTATAATGTAATTAAATGTTTAGATTTGCCTTTAATAACGACATCTATTAAGTGAAATTCGAACATATTAAGTACCTACATATTTTGGGTGATGTTCTAACGGAAGAGATCTTCCAGCAATAACTTGTAAGAAATCAATGTTTGTAATTTTTGAGAAAGTTTTATGGTACTAATGGGAAAAATATTTCTAACTGGCATTTCAAAAAATAACCCAAAATATGTGATCCCCAATTAATATTCCAATATATGCATTAACACTGTTCTTTCTATGTGCTAGTGCTTAATGATTATTCTAACTGAAATGTATAGATGGAAGAGTAAAATAATATAAAATACCTATATCTAATTCATTATTTAGAATGTAAGAACATTAAACTGTACTAAAAATGGTTTTTGCTATCAGAACAGTGCTTAATATTGAATATAAGAAAACATGATGACTTGATATATATACATATACACACACATACATATGTAATGTACTGAAATATAAAATATATATAATTTATAAAATGTTAATGACTGTAACTTTAATTTGTATGTTCTCTTTAAACTTTCTTCAACCATCTGATGCATTCTTATAAGGCTATATTTACATAATATCATTACAAATAATTTAACAGTTAAAGTAGTCAACTATTACATTTATATAAATTTACATGATAGCAAATAACTGATGTCAACTTATTTCACTGAATTAGGCTGTTGAAGTGCTGTAATCATATCATAAGTATTTAATTAGATCAAACACAGACTACGGTCATTATGAAAATTAAGCAGAAATGATTTCCTTTGTATGTATGAAAGAAAGAGCAATATGTTTAGATTTGTATCTCACCTCTGAAATTGGTGTACTTCTATTCCATTTGCATTGCTCTATTTGCTTCAGCAGAACATATACAACAGTACATATACATATACATATACATATACATATACATATACAGCAGAACACATATACAGCGGGTCAATTATGTAGTATAGTACATAGAATATTCCAAACTATATGATGGTACAAAATGGGCTTTAAATATACTCCTTCTGTGTTTAAGGATTTTGACCCTATATTTCCATGTTAGCAAACCACAACATATCAGAGAGAGTTGCCACTGGGACCAATAGAGCAATCCTTAGCTGTCAGATGCTGCAAGCCCACTGACCAAATATTCTTTACCAAACTGCTAAGATTTATGGATCTAAGTTTTGAAGTCTGTGTGTTACATTATCACATATTCAGCAGCTTCCTCAAAACTGAGTTCAGAAACAGGAAGCATGTCTGACCTCATTTAGCAGTCTTTCTGACACTGAAATGTGATGAGCTGACAGCACAGGAAACAAATCATATTTTGGTGTTGGACAGAAACAACACTCAGTGAAGACATTCTGGTTACACTTAACATTTTTCAGTTCCCTTTATCTCTGAGCATTTTGAATGCTACATATTCTTCTGAAGGACAAGTAATAAAAATTGTAAGAAAATTTTAATTTTTTTTTTCAAATTGTAGAGACTCAATAGGGCAGAGCAATGAAGAAAAAAGAAAGCCTGTGGCTAATTATTCCAAAATTACATTTGCAGTGCAAAATTCAATGTTCTTTAACATAGTAGCCAGGCATCTGATGGAAAGGAAAAAAAATTTTGCCTTGTAAGCTTCAGCATTTGAGGACCAGTGAAAAGACAAAGTAGGTTAGCAGCTCAGGCTTCTCCAAATGACTAATGATAATATCAGATATATTTTAGAAGGAGATATCAATGTTGTTAAAGCATCTAGAGGCTCATGAGCCCTTTTACTGAAAATACACAAAGAAAGGCAATAGTTAAGGTCACCATTCACTGTGCATACCAAACAGCGTAATGACATGGACGATTGGCAGCTTCAAACATTTTATCAAGCAGGAAAAATTGAATTAGTGAGAACAAGAATACCGTGAAGCATCAAAAACCAAGAGGAATAATTTTAAAATGCTAGACTAGCACATTTTGAACATCAAATCCTTCACCTTTTTACCCAGACATATGGGAATGGTGAATTCATCACAAACACACTGTGCATTAGTTTCTTTTAAAACTGGTTAGTGTTTGATTCTGCTACGTAACATTTCTAACTGGTTAGACTCCTTAAATATGCACAATCCTACAAGTTTCCTTCTGTCTACAATTTTTAATTGGATAGTGGAGCCACAAGACTGTTGGGGGTAATGATCTAATACACTGAAGAGGGGACATACAATAAAAATTTGAGGGAAGAAACAAAAAAAATATATTAACCAGCATAACAATCAGATATGGTAGAAGAAGAGAATCTTTGACAAGGGCTGATGAATAGGACAAAGGAGAGTATCATCTCCTGTTGTATTATTTCTTTTTTATTTTTGGCATGGAGTCTCGCTCTGTTGCCTAGGCTGGAGGGCAGTGGCACGATCTCGGCTCACTGCAAGCTCCGCCTCCTGGGTTCATGCCATTCTCCTGCCTCAGTCTCCCGCGTAGATGGGACTACAGGTGCCCGTCATCACGCCCGGCTAATTTTTTGTATTTTTAGTAGAGACGGCGTTTCACTGTCTTAGCCAGGATGGTCTCGATCTCCTGACCTCGTGATCCTCTGGCCTCGACCTCCCAAAGTGCTGGGATTACAGGAATGAGCCTCCGCGCCCGGCCTCCTGTTGTATTATTTCTTTTAAGGTATAGGTAATTTTTGCATAAACGAAATATACCTTATTATTGCACGTTTAGAACTATATTTATAAACAGTCTTAACTGCTTTAGGAATTAACAATTTTAAAGAATTTATTATAGAATGCATTAATTAATTTTAAGCAGCTATTTTACATACATTCTGTTTAAACTATTTTGTTCAAGAAATGAAGAAATCGATAAATATTAAAGAAAAAAATTATATTGAATTTTTTCTTCTATTTCTATATTAGCAATTTAAACATTTTCATCTCAGTTGCTTTGTATTCATTTTGTTCACATATATTATTTGAATTTGTAGTGTAGATAAATTACTATAACTTTAGGGTTTCCATTTCTTTAATTTTACTATAACACATCTTTGTAACTTTATTATAAAAAAATACTATATTATGTCTTCTTTCTTTTCACTTTTTTCATTATTCCCTGAAAAGCAATTTTAATACTATTACTATGTAGTGTGTACTGTTTTGAACTATAATATACCATTTAGCCCATATCTATCTTCATTTCTGTTATATGTAATCCATTTTAATGTTGCTTTCATCCTGATAGCATAAATGCTCATAGGTCAAGCATGCTCATACTTCATACTTTACCAACAATCTTCTTTCCGTTCAATGGATAATCATCACTTTAAGAATTCATGATTCTGGAAAAAAAGTGGTCTTTCAAGAAGATACATCCAGTTTAAAACTGTAAAAATTAAGATCCCAAATATTTGTAGATACATGGATTTAATCCAGTAGCGTACATTTAAAAATCACATATATGTATATATGGCTCTTAACTTACTAATTTTTATGTTATTGTTGTCTCTTTTCTTTTGTAACATGGCAAACCTTTAAATACTTTGTAATAAGTATATTTTAATATTAATTAGATGTCATATGTTCCTGAGATCTTACTCTTATCCAAGTTATACATGTAGCCAGTACTAGTAGTCCCATAATGCAAATTATCTTAATCGACAAACTCATAATAAATACTCATATATTACATAAACAATGTTGCTAATTTCTAAGTAGCAGGGACTTGGTTTTCTCTTGATTAGAATAATCTAGACTATGCTACTCTATGCTAATGAACAATATCAAGCAAAGCAAATGGTTATCTATTGCTCTTGTAAATTCTGCTCTGGATCTGTGCAATTCTTGAGAGCAATTCTTCCATGCAGAGACTTAACAATCCAAGCTGAGTAACTTCAGTGTTTCCTTCTTGGGCATTCTCCACTATCTCCTTGGCAAGAGAGGCAAAAACCTGGATAACTGATCTTACTGCCTCAGTTCAGAGTTATCTACATTACATCTGCTAACATTTTTTTGGTACAGAATTTGCCAAAATTTTATGCAATTTCAAGCAAGGCTGAAATACAGATTTTTTTGTTCTTTTACCTATTTTGAAAAACTCTGTCTTCTAATTTGAATACTGAGTTTAATAACACTAATAAAATTGAAGAAATTTTTGGATTTAGACCTTTCAGTTTGTGTTCTGTCTTTTTTTAAGAAATTAGTTTCTTATTTCATTTTTCAAATTATTTGAATATCTTTTAAAGTAAACTTTATTGATTGGCCTTTTAACTGTACCTATTTACATTAGTTTTAATCCAGAGATTACTATACATATTTTTAACTTTTCTCAGTTTTCTTGGAATATAAGTGAACTTGAAACTATAAAGGTACATTTACCATCCCTGCCCCAATCCAAATTCTTCTTTATGGTTAGGATATGATGTAAAATATCACTGAAAATATTATATTCATTGTTCTATGTCAACATAGATATTATAATGAAATCCAGAGGAAAATATATTTTTAATTTACCAGCTCTTTCCCAGAGCTGATACTACTTATTCCTTCATAAATATCAAAGTTTCGCACCATCATCATTTTCCTTCAACATGAAAAACAGTTTTCAGTATTTTTTATATTGCAGATCTCCTGGCCACAAATCCTTATTTTCGTTTACCTGAAAATGCTTTTATTTATTTCCATTTTTAAAGGATATTTTTTCTGCCAGACATTAAATCGTGAGATTAGAATTTATTTCTTTCAATACTTTAAAGATGTTTCCTCACCATTTTCTGGCCTCTATTGTTAATGATGAGAAATCGGTTCTCGTTAGAATAGTGCTTCTCCAGTATATAATGTAATCTTTCTTCGGATAAGTTCAAGACTTTTAATTAGTCTTCGCTTTCCAGTATTTTAGTATAATGGACCTGCGCATGGTTTCCTTCACATTTATACTTCTTGATGTTTTCTAACATTCTGGAATATATAGACTTATGTTTTTATAAAATTTTGAAAATTTGGGGTCAACATTTCTTTTCTGACCCATTCTCTTTCTCTCTTTCTACGGAACTCAAATTACACACATATTGGAATTTTTGATATTGTTCTATAGCTTGCTGCTGCTCCATTTGTTTTCAATCTTTTATCCTTTGTTTTTATTGAACTATCATCAAGTTTGCTGATTATTTCTTCTGACATTTCCATTCTGCTATTAAGCCTATGCAGTATTGTTTATAGTTAAGCTATATTATAACTTTCAGTTTTAGAATTTTCATATACTTTTATGTTTTCAAGTTCTTTTGTCCATGTTTCCCATCTTCTCACTGATTACAAGAGCATTTTTCTTTATCTCATTGAGAATAATTATACAGCTGTTTTGAATTCCATTTTGTGATAATTCGAAAATGTAAAGATTGATTTCCATTATTCTATTTTCTCTTGAAAATGAGTTACATTTGCCTGGCTCTTCACATGTTAAGTAATAATTTGCTTGTATCCTGAATGTTACGTTGTGGAAACTTTAGATTATACTCCATTTCTCTCCCTGGAGCATTGACATTTTTGTTTTAACAGGCAATTAACTTGGTTGTACATAAACTGAAAAATTTATGTTTTCTACAGAAACTCGTATATTTGTTCAGTCATTTATTTATTTTAGATGGGTTGTTTTCAGTCTGCAAAGATGGCACTAGGGTCAGTCAGATATTTGTATAACGTTTCTACACAGAGGTTTTTCTTCCTCTCCTCTCTGTTTTCTAGGGTTCTCACCATACATTCTGATGGAAGTGGTTGCCCTAATTTCTGTTCTATTCCTCTTCAGTTCAAAAAGACTGTGAGTCAGCAAAGTTGTGGCCACAAAACAAAGGATAACTGCAGCATGTCCACAGGCATAGCAAAAGAAAACGAAACATAGAAAGAAAGTGGGGAGATTATACCACATGCTGATCCCTTCCCGTTTCTACCTTTTTCTAGAATCTGTCTCCTTTTGATTACATTCCAAAGCCTGTAGGTAGTTTGTTATATTTTTCTAGCATTTATACTATAGTTATCTACAAGAGTATTGGCCTACTAAGAACTTACTGAGCCATTCTGAAAGTAGAAACCAGTGTAGACCTCTATGTTTACAGAAGGGAATAAAAATTGGAAATTGATGAATAATGGTGTTATTGTCTTTCAAAACTTTGTTCAGTTTACCCTAAGCCACTCTAATAGAAGTGCTGGAGTAGAAGTTTCTTTTTAAAATAAATTGCAAAATGAAGTATTTTTTCCACTTAACATTTGGTGAACTGCACTAAAATAGATCTTAAATAGACCTGTGTTATATTAATACTCTAAAAAGACAATGAAACATAACTTTTATTTAAAAACTCACAGATATTTCTTAAAGTTGATAATTGAATTCATTAAGTATCAGTATATAAAATGTTAGATCAATACCACACTTTAATGTGGCAATTAATGTACTAAAATGTGAGAAACTTTAATATATAACCGCTTGAGAGCTCATTTCAACATTTTTTACTACAGAATTAGAACAGAACAAATTCCTTCTGGTAGTAAGCCAGAAACTCAGAAGAAGCATGGCTTTTTCTTGGAATGATGTAGTACAAATGACTTCCTTAAGACACAATAATTCTCAGATACAAACACTGAATATAACTGATGAAAGGGATAACCACAATTTTCTTTTAGTTTCCAAAAATATAAAGAAATAGTTTTGTGCAAATGAAGTCAACCATGACGTAACATCTGTGGGATGATAGTGAAATGGGTTATTTAACTTGTTATTAAAAATGAAATGTATATGGTTTAATATAGCAAATACCTTCAACCTGGCCTACATTTGCCCTGCTGACTACATATACTAATATCTGACTATCTTTAGTCTGGAATTCAATTCACTAAAAATATCTAAAGCAAATCAAATTGAGAGACAAAGTGCAATGACATGTTACCAATATAAAATTAATGAACCTAAGTTAGGTTTTTGAGTATGCTAAAAATATCCATAGGGCAAATAATACTTTAACAAAGATTAAATCTGCATTTTAAAAATAAACGTAAACTTTATGTTACTTTTTAATCATTTCCCACACCTCAGAGTTTCCCAAGGCTATGTATTTTGATTAATTGCTTTGCAGTATGATTTTATTATAGTGATAAACTTTCTATTCACAAAAGGGAATTTTAGAGTAAACAGTCATGAACCTGAGAACTAAATGTAATAATTAAGAGACATCTTTACACTTTGGGGATTTACATCTACTAATACATTATTTCTGAAAATGGCTTAATCAATCTTATAGTCTTTATCTATGTTATTTGGTCTTAGTTTATACCTCTTAGTTCATGGGATGTAAATTCAGTTATTGCAAGAAATTTATTCTTTTTTTTTTTTTCAGATGGAGTCTTGTTCTGTCAACTGGGCTGGAGTATAGTGGTGCAATCTCGGCTCACTGCAACCTCCGCCTTCTGGGTTCAACAGATTCTCCCACCTCAGCCTCCCGAGTAGCTAGGATTACAGGCACATGCCCTCACACCTGGCTAATTTTTTTTGTATTTATGTTAGAGATGGGGTTTCACCATGTTGGCCAAGCTGGTCTCGAACTCCTGGCCTCGAGTGATCCACCTGCCTCAGCCTCCCAAAGTGCTAGGATTACAGGCTTGAGCCACCGTGCCCAGCCATTGTAAGAAATTTATTCTAAGACATTTATGAGACCTACTGAAAACAACTACTAAGTTGATGAAAAAGTATTTGCAGTTTTTGCATTACTTTTAATGGCAAAGACCACAACAACTTTTGCACTAACCATATCTCACACATACATACATACACACACACACACACAAGAGAACACATTCATACACATGTACATAGTGGCAGAACGATTCTAAGATGGCTATCAATGATTCTTATCTTCTAGTATTTCAAAAAAGGAACCATGGAAGTCCAGGCCACAGCAGGTCAGTGCTTCCCGTGCCTATATTCAAAAAGTCTTCAAAATCATTGCAACCTAAGATCTAGTATTCCTCCTCATATTTCCTTCATCATTGTAGTTGGCAGAATAGTGTTTTAATCCTCAGAACATTTCATATGTTATCTTACATGGCAAATGGGACTTTGCAAATGTGATCAAGTTAACGACTTTGAGATGGGGAGATTATCTCAGATTATCTGGGTGAGCCCAATGTAATCACAAGAGTCTTTATAAGAGGAAGGTAGTGGGATCAGAAATGGTAGTATATGTGATAATGGGACCAAGAAGTTGGAGTGATATTAAGAGGAGTCCATGAGCCATAGAATGCAGACATCCTTTAGATGCTGAAAAAGGCAAGGAAACAATTCTCCCCTGAAACCTCTAGAAGGAATGCAGCCTTACCAACACCTTGCTTTTAGACTTTGACCTCCTAAACACTAAGAGAAAAAAAGCATGTGTTATTTTTAACTAATTAGTTAATGGTAATTTATTATAGCAGCAATAAAAAAACTAATTCAGGCAGTAATTACTCTAGCTGAATAGGTATATATAACCTATTAAGTAGAAATTCTATCAAACTTCTCTGTCCATTAGACTACATATCAAATGACACATATTAGAATTTCTGTAGCAGAACAGTGTAAGCATCAAAACTATAAATGTATATTAAGTTCATCAAAAAAATCATGAATTTTGGAATGCCCATAAAGTGAAATGGTAGAAATTAAATAAATATAACTATACCATTAGTACAGTCAACAACTTAGATGAATCTAGCAAGCATCATATTAACATTTTAAGCAAAGGAAGTCAGGTTCAAATAAGTAATACATAACTCTATTTTTAAAGAATACTTTTAGAAACAAAAATAATTTCTGGTAATTTACAATTTTAGAAGTTGGTATAATAGTTACCTTGCTGAGTTGTTACTGACCAGGAAATATCACAAGGAAACTTATGGTCGGTTCACTTTGTGTAACTTTATCAAGCTGTGTACATAATTCATGTGCTATTTTTGTGTATGTTTTACTTTAATAAGGCATTTACTTTTTTAAAAAAACTGTAAGACCACTTATACCAAACAATACTCTCTAATCCCTAATTAAGAGAGTTGAAGGAAAATCTTATTACACGAGATTACCTCGGTTTGGGCACAGCATCATGTGGTAGGCCATCCCATACACATGGGCTCTGCATTACTTACTTGTGTCTGGTTCAATCAAGTATGACCTGGAGAGCCAAGGACTCAATGCACCCACAGGAAGTACTGCGGGTAGGAAAATTTACCTTACAAAGGAACTGCAGGATGTCTGATTAGAAATTTGATTATGATGTTTCACTACAAGAACCTCATTATATAATCAGAATATATGAGGGCAATCTAATTTGATGATCTAAGCTTTTGAAAGGAACTTTTTAAAGCTTTGCAACCCTAATTAAGGTGGTTTGGAAGCAATAACTTTAATGTTGATCATTAAGCATGACACTAGATGGTAAACAAGAGATACTGAGGAGCCTAGAAATCCCTGCTGTTATTTCAAAAGCAATACGTTTGAAATAAAGTCATTGGGATGAAGGTTCTTCTGACAGGACAAGGTGAGCTGGGAGATAGGTAATATTGCCTGTCAGAATAAATTGTCTTGTTTCCCTTTGTGTAGCTTAATTATTGATTAGGTCTCACATTTAATGTCCATTTTTACATTTTTCTAGATCTCAGTGATCATCATGCCTAAAGTTTACTTGTACGAACTAGAATTAACTGGAGAAATAGAAAAAAAATGATGAATTTCAAATATTATCATTAAATTCATTGCTCATAAAATCATAAAATTATGTTTTATTTACAAAAAAGATCACATATAATTAGCTGAACTACAATTACTGTATATTATTATGTTAAACTGTAAACAAGTTTTTAATGGAATGCAAAATTAAACTATTTTTATACTCCTTAATTAAATAATAGAATCCTGAAATGGTTAAAATGAATGGAATGTGTAATTGTTATCGCTAATTTTCAATATACTTATTATAAAACAACACTTATCTGTTTTTTTTTTTTTTGGAGACAGAGTCTCGCTCTGACACCCAGGCTGGAGTGCAGTGGTGCAATCTCGGCTCACTGCAACCTCCACCTCCCAGGTTCAAGCGACTCTCCTGCCTCAGCCACCCAAGTAGCATGCACCAAAACGCCAGGCTAATTTTTTTGTATTTTTAGTAGAGACAGGGTTTCACCATGTTGGCCCGGCTGGTCTCAAACTCCTGACGTCGTGATCTACCCACCTCGGCCTCCCAAAGTGCGGAGATTACAGACGTGAGCCACATTGCCAGCAACAATATCTATCTTTTAGTGCATTTTCTAAACAGAATTCAAGTTTGGAGGTAATAATTTTTTATTGGAAGTTGTTACATAGCTACCAAATTACAATAACTTATTGATAACTATGACTATGTGAACATTTTGGGACACGAAGAATCTGTAGGAAAAACAGGGAAAGTAGCCAAATCATGTACCATAAGTCGACTTGCTCAATGGTTTCAGAATCTTTGTACAACTATTCAAGCAATAGATTATACCTAGCTATGAATGTTATGTTCAATCAACAATATGTATGAAAATTTTATTACATTCATTTACACATTCTAAATTTTAATGAATGTATTCTTTCAACAAGTAATATATAGAGCACAATTTAGATCATGGTAAAATAACTTATACTGGACTATCCCTTCACCTTAAACAATTGTAAAACAATACACAATATATAGGAGATACTCTTTTCAGATATTAAACAATAGCCAGTGAAGGACTGCTGTTCTTGACAGAAGGGAAAAATGTAACGTGAGACTCACATTTTCCCTGGCTTTCTGCCTGGAGTCACATTCTAGGGGAAAGTGGAGAGCAAGCAAAACAAAGTGCTTTCACTTAGTAGAGAAGGCAGAAATCAGAATTCTGTGCTGCTTACGTAGCTTCAACTGATGAGGCAGAAAAGAAAAAAACGAGCAAAATGAGGACTCAAAAGTCTGCACGGCCCTGGTCCATGATTGATCCAGCATATGCAAGGTGAATTTTCATAACGTATAGCAGAGTAGCTGCCACAGCACTGAGAGCGGAATAGAGACACAACACAGTGAGCAGAACAGGAAAATGTTGGAATTCTGGCTCAATCATGGTAGGCAAACTTCACCAAAGAACTTGGTCACTTAGCTGAGACTTCAGAAAGAATAAGTGGTCAGAACTGTACTCTATAGTAAATAATATGCTCTAAGACCAAGAGAAAATAAAAAATACATCAGCTGTAACAAATAATAAATTAAACCTAAAATGATCAAGAAGATCTGCTATTAATTAAGCTGCCTGCGAGAAGAAAATTCAACACTATTAAATGTGAGTATAAAACTATTCGATGTAACTTGCAAATTTACAGATTTCAGGGGTATATACTTATCTCCAAGCTCATCAAATTGTAAATGTTAAACGGGTATAATTTTTCATATGTCAATCATACCTCAATAAAGCATTTTTTAAAATGTGCATCATGAAACAAAATTTATGAGTTATGTGAAGAAGCAGAAAAATGTTACATAAAAATAATTCTTTTAGTTAAATTGATACAGACTCTCTGGGAACTGAAATATTGAAATTAATGGTTAAAGAATTTAAAATATCTATTTTAAACACGTTTAAAACTCCTAAGGAAAGATAATATGAGTGAACAGATGGGGAATTTCAGAAAACAATAAAGCAAATATAAATAAATAAATTAGAAACCAGTATAAATTCAAGAAGTAAGTAGTATATATCTGAAATGAGTATTTATGGGATAGATTTAATAGCAAAATGTAAATTGAAGGAAAACAGGTCAATAAAGGTTGTCCTAATCTAACATTTGAAAAAAACTGATAACTGAAAATTTCCTATATTGGTAGAAAACATTAATACATTTTTATAGTCAGTGAAATCTAAATAGGATAACAATGACAAAACACATATTATAGTTTACCTTATAAACCAGGAGTAAAGAGAAAAGCTTAAATGTTGCCAGAATAAAAAAGTCACATTACATAGAGAACAGTGATACAAATGATAACTCCTCAGAAACAGTGGAGGCCAGATGACAAATAAATAGGATTTTTAAAGTGCTAAAAGAAAAACTAACAAGCAAAAACAATAAAATCACTGCCAATCTAGAAATCAATGCCTGACAAGATTATTCTTTAAAGAGAAAGTAAAACAAACATATTTCCTGACAATTCAAAGATAAATGTATCCCCAATAAATCTGAATGCTAAAGAAAAATGTTCAAATGAGATCTTCAGGCTGAAGGAAGACATATCATGTTCTAACAGTTTACATGAAATGGAACAATATTGATATTAAGCATATAATACGTTAAAGACGCCTATTGCAAACCACAGTTGATCCGGGTGTCCAATAGCATAAGGCAGAAGCAATGGCAAATCACATCGGAGATTGGATTATGGAAAACTGCAGATTGAGTCTTTTGAGATCTTGCTCTCTCTCTTTCAGGATAGGCCAACAACCAGGTCTTGAGGAAAGTTAGGCAGCCTTTGGAAAGGCCCACAAAGTGAGAGACAGAGGATTTTTTCTATATATATATACACATATATATATATTTTATTATACTTTAAGTTCTAGGGTACATGCGCACAACGTGCAGGTTTGTTACATATGTATATATGTGCCATGTTGGTGTGCTGCACCCATTAACTCGTCATTTACATTAGGTATATCTCCTAATGCTATCCCTCCCCCTTCTCCCCCACCCCCCAACAGGCCCCGGTGTGTGATGTTCCCCTTCCTGTCTCCAAGTGTTCAGAGGATTTTGAACAACAGTCAAAAGAAATGGAGGTCTGCTAATGATCCTCTGAACAAGTTTGGAAGGAGATTCTTCAGCCCCATTTGAGCTTTGAGATGATCGCAGCTTTATCTGACAGCTTAATTATAGTCTCATGAAAGACCCTGAGCCACAACTACCCATTTAAGCTGCTCTTGGATTCCCGTTCCTCAGAAATTCTATGAGATAATGTTTGTTGTTTTTTAATTGCTAAGTTTAAGTGCAATTTGCTTTATAGTGATAATAACTAAGACATGAGAGTAGATTTCATAACATAGATAAAATGGACAATTTCCTTAAAAGTTACAAACTACCAGAGCTCAGTCAACAAGGAATAATCTACATCTTTCTATGTCTGTTAAAGAAATTTAAAACATCAAATTTGAAACTGGAAAGTAGTGTATTTTAAACTGAATGACAAAAAATCAACCTCAGATATCCAAATATATATGCTGCAACTAAACCATCACTAAAATAAAACTATATAGCTTTCTACTTTTATGTTAGAAAAAAATAAGGGCTTTAAATTCAACAATTTAAGATTCTATCTTAAGAAATGAAAAAAAGTGAATTAGCCTAAAGCAAGCAAAATAAAGGAAAAAATGAAAAACAGAAATAATCAAATATAAAACAAAATAACAATATAAACAAATCAATGAAACCAGAAGTTGATACTTTGAGAATATCAATAAAATTAATAATGCTCTTGCCTGACTGATCATGAAAAGCAGACACAAATTTTCAGTATCAGGAATGATAGAGGTGACATCATTAAAGATACTACAGACATCAAAACGGATAATGTACTAGTTTTGATAAAGTATTTTACATCTGTTTATAGATATTTCCCATCTAAATCAAAGATCTGAGTAGCACAGCATTCAATTGTAGAAACACTGATACTTGTGGAATGTCACTTGGATTATCTCAGGAAGAGTTTTTACATAAAAAACAATGTAATAACATTTTATTTTTATTGATCTATGCTATAAAGATTCAAAAAATGTGTTTCAATTTAATTAATGAAATGTAAGAACGTTTCCAGTATATAGAACTAATTAGTTTTAATAATTATAACAATAACAAAATGTACATTTCTTATATCATTGGACCATAATAAGTCTAAGAAAAACTGGTACATTTAGATTGGTATCTGTAGAGCATATCATATCGTTGGCATGATATATATGAGTTCAATAAACTTATGTTGCATAAAGATTTCCAGTAAGCAGATTTAAATATTGTTTATATTGTAGATTTTTATAAATAATATTTCTAACTTGTTCAGAGGGAAATCCTTCTCATGATAATACTTAAAAGTTGTATAGAACAATATTCAATTTAAGCTAAAAATATAAAACAAAATTTATATGTTCAACAAAATTACATAAAAACATTGTCATATTATTCTTTTAAGAATGCCAGTTCAATTAGCTTTATGGAATCATAACTGAGGACATATGCTCCTTTTTCTTTCAAGCAACTTTTATGGCCAAATATACGAACAATATTTCTATTCCTCGTTTCTTGATGTGGCATTATGGCTTTCAAATTTGGATATTTTTATGCACGCTACACTAGTATACTCTCCAAAGAGAATCCTGAGGACATAATCAGACACTTCTGCTTAATGGGTTGCCCAACTTGACTTTTTTAGGCTGAAGTTGATGGCTCTTTTAGCAATAATATTAAATAGATAGTAATTTGTTGACTTGAATAATTTATCTTTGATTGTATTACTTGACTTCCAGCCATGATCATCATTTTCATTTTTTATGGAGGTATATTTTTTCATTTAATCTTTCAACACTTTTCCTTATAGCAATACTTTTTATATTACCAGCACTTTGCATATATCAGTTTTTATTTTGTGGCTGAGGAATAGTACTCAGTCTGCAACAGTGACCAGTAACTTGCATCAGTGTCAAACACAGTATCTCATAATTACTTGGTAATATATGGCAAGAGTGTATTGAAATTGTTTTAATAACAATTGTGTTTTATTTTTTATTTATGCAGGTTAAGTTTACTGGAAAATTCAACACTAAGTACTTTATATTAAAATAGAAATAGATATTTTCATGCCTTGAGTGTTAGAGGGGTAAATTTGAGAAGTACCAGTATTAAAATTGAGAAGTATAAACAGAATATCTGTAAACACTTTTAAATTAGCTATTAAAGGCCTATCAAATCAAAAGCTATTACATAATGTTTTAAATTATTACAGTGCCATAAATCCGGAAGATAATAATTGTGCAGTTTCTGGCTTATGAGACAGATTCAAGTAGCTGTTTTGGTCTGTGTCATAAGAGAAATGGGAGATCACCAAAAAGATTGAAAATGAAAAGTGACATTATTGAATTCATATATTTTAAAAATTATTCATCTGGATCTTCGATAGAGAAGATGTACTATATTCAGTGGGGTATAGAAATATAAGAATAAAAGAAAGAAACACAGTTACTTAGTTTTCCTAGTGATGCAGCCATAAGTTAATAGTAGCTATGGGCTAGGACAGTGTTTCTTAATGTGTGGTCCAGGGACTTGTCGGGGAAGAGGATGAGACACTTCAATGAGTCCAGTAGATCAAACTTTTTTTCATAGTAATATAAATATAGGATTTACCTTTCACTTGTAATATCTCACAAGTGTGCA
Source organism: Homo sapiens (assembly GCF_000001405.40). NCBI lineage: Eukaryota > Metazoa > Chordata > Mammalia > Primates > Hominidae > Homo > Homo sapiens. Next base: position 32,555,893 of record NC_000004.12, on the reverse strand, counting down.
GTGGAGTTTGCCAGAGGCAATATAACATATGCTATTCTAAGGAATGAAATGCAGGCAAAAGCCATGGGAATGCAACTAACTATCTTCTAAGTCAGAACAAAGGAATTTGTAAAAATGAACAATAAAGCCAGCCGGGCACAGTGGTTCATGCCTGTAATCACAGTGTTTTGGGAGGCTGAGGCAGGCTGATCACTTTAGAGCAAGAGTTCAAGGTCAGCCTGGCCAATGTGGTGAAACCCCATCTCTACTAAAAATATATATAAAAAAAAAAACCGGTGTGATGGCACATCCTTGTAATCCCAGCCACTCGGGAGGCTGAGGTAGGAGAATTGTTTGAACCTGGGAGGCAGAGATTGCAGTGAGCCCAGATGGTGCCACTGCACTCTAGCTTGGGTGACACAGTGAGACTCTGTCTCAAAAAATAAATAAGCAATAAAATAAAATAATGACACTTTTCTCACTTAGTTTTGTTTTGGTAAAAACAGTTCCCAGAAAGTGTGATAACAAGGAGTGAGTCTATTATTCCTACTTATACATTAATACATTTTTAAATTTTCAATTTTACATTACAATATGGTACGTGTCAGTAGATATAACCAATAAACAAAGGTTATTGAGGATCCTCAATAATATTTAAGAGTATATAAAGATCTTGCACCTGGAATGTTTGAGAATGAATGGACTAGGAGTCTGGCATCTATAGGATGACCCTCATAATTTTAACCTGCTAATTCATACAGCTTTAAGTCTTACTTCCTGAATTCCCTCAGCTTCTATATACAATCACAATAATTTATGTTAATTCTATATTTATTTTCATAACTATACAATGTATAGTATTTTCAGAGTGATCAGATCAAATACTTGGGTTTGGCACTCTCAAATTTTATATCCATTCCATTCCATTCTATTTGAACATTGGAAAACTAAATTCTAAATTTCTCACTATGGTGAAGATTAGTTTGTTCAACCAAATCCATTCTCCCATTTTTAATAGGAATATAAGGCAGTAAATTGTCATGAGAAATTAATGAAATTGAAAATAAGATATCAATGGAGAAAACCAACAAATTAGAAATTGGTTCTTAGGAAAGACCAATAAAATTAGTAAAACCTATAAACAGGCTAACTAGGAAAAGAGAAAGAACATAAGTTTAAAAAGTCAGGAATGTAAAAGGGAACATCACTACAGATCACATGGACATTGACAGGATAATAATAGAAAACTATGACTAACTTTATGTCTACAAATTTTATAATTTAGACAAAATGAAAAAATACTTCGATAGACACAATCTACCAAAACTCATACAAGAAGAAATAGGCAATCTGAATAAACCTATATTTGTTAAAGAAATAAGTCAATAATTAATAGCCTCTAAAAATAGAAAGGTTCAGACCCAGACATGTTCAGTTGTAAATTCTGACAAACATTTAAGGAAGAAATTTTGCCAGTTCTCTACATTTTCTTTCACATTTAGAATCAGAGATAATACTTCCTAACTCATTTTATAAGGCCATCATTATCCCAATACTAAAACAGGCAAATATATTACAAGAAAAGAAAACTACAAATATCTTTCATAAACATAGATGCAAAAATCTTCAACAAAATATTAACAAACTGAATCCAATAGTATATGAAAACAATTATACACCATTACCAAATTGTATTTATCCCAGGCATTCAAGCCTGGTTAGACATTCAAAAATTTATCAACAAGGCTGGGCGTGGTGCCTCACGTCTGCAATCCCAGAACCTCGGGCGGCTGAGGTGGGTGGATCACATGCGGTCAGGAGTACAAGACCAGCATGGCCAACAGAGTGAAAGCCCATCTCTGCTAAAAATACAAAAAAAAAAAAAAATTATCCAGGTATGGTGGTGTGTGCCTGTGATCCTAGGCACTCAGGAGGCTGAAGCAGGAGAATCGCTTGAACCCAGGTGGCAGAGGTTGCAGTAAGCAGAGATTGCACCACTGCACTCCAATCTGGGTGACAAAGCAAGACGGTCTCAAAAAAAAAAGAAAAGAAAAGAAAAATTGATCAACAAACTAAAGAAGAAAAATTTTATGCTTATATCAATAGACACAGAAAAAGCATTTGGTGAACTGCCATACCCATTTATAATTAAAAATTCTCAGTAAATTAGAAATAGAGGAGCTCTTCCTTAATTTCATAAATGATATCTACAAAAATCTTACAGCTAGCATCATACTTAGTGGAAACCAGTAGCTTTCCCACTAAGATCAGGAAAAAAGCAAGTGTATTCCTTCTCACCATTGTTTTTCAACATCCTGTTGGAAGTCTTCACTAATGCAATAAGAAAAGGAAATTAATATATATACATAAGGAAAGAAAAAATAAAATTGTTTTCACTTCACAAGTGAGATGACCATCTATATAGAAATTCCCAAAGAATCAACAAAATAAGATCTGGAAATAATAACCAATTACAGCAGATAATCTTGCAAGATGAAAAGTTAATACAAAAAATGTAAATTGCACTTCTATATATCAGTAACTTACAAGTGGAATTTAAAATTTTTAAAAATACCATTTACATTATTACTCTCTCCAAAAATAATATCCTTATGTAGATATTTAAGAAAATATTTATACAGGAAAACAATAAGACTATGATAAAGTAAGCAAAATAAAACCTATATAAATGGAGAGAGATTTCATGTTCCTGGATAGGAAGGCTCAATATTATCAAGATATCAGCTCTTCTCAAACTGATTAACGTAATTCCAATCAAAATCCTTGCATATTGTTTAATGGATATTGATGTACTATTTCTAAAATGTATAGGAAGAGGCAAAAGAAAGAAAGAAAAAAAAAAAAACAGAATAGCATTCAAGTCTTGCCATAAAGCAACAGTAATCAAGACAGTGGTTAAGGACATTGGTTAAAGAATAGACAGACTAACAAAACAGAATAGAGAGCTCAGAAATAGACCCACATAAATGTGGTCAACTGATCTCTAACAAAGAAACAAAGACAATACAATGTAGAAAAGATAGTCTTTTTAAGAAATAGTGCTAGAACAACTTGTTATCCACATGGAAAAAAAAAAAGAGAATCTAGACACAAGCCTTATATACTTCACACAAATTAACTCAAAATAAGTAACAGATCTAAATACAAAATACAGAACTATAAAAACTCCTGAAAGATAATGTAAGAGAAAATCTGGATGAACTTGCGTTTGGTGATGAATTTTTAAATGCCACCAAAGTCATTCTTCCTGAATGTAAGAATTGGTAAGTTGAATTTTATTAAAATTAGAATTTTCTGCTCTGCAAAAGACACTGTCAAGAGACAAAAAAGACAAGCTATAGACTGGGGGAAAATAATTGCAAAGACATAGCAGATAAAAAGCTGCTATCGAATTTATATGAAGAACATTTAAAATTAAACAGTAAGAACACAACCCAGTTAAAAAATGGGCCAAAAACCTTATCAGACACCTCACCAAAAAATATATACAAATGGCAAACAAGCATATGAAAAGTTACTCTACATTATATGTCATAATTAAAACAATAATGAAATAGCACTACATGCCTATTAGAATGACCAAAATCCAAAACTAACAACATCAAATGCTGGTGAGAATATGGAGCAACAGTAACTTATTCATTGCTGATTGGAATGCAAAATGATACTACCACTTTGGAAAGCAGTTTGGTGGCTTCTTACAAAACTAAACAAACACTTATAAGAGAACTAAGCAATTGTGTTCTTTGGCATTTACTCAAAGGAGTTGAAAATTTATGACTACAAAATAACCTGCACATGGCAGCTTTTTTAATGGCAGCTTTAGTCATAATTGCCAAAGCATGGAAGTAGCCAAGTTGTCCTTCAGCAGGTGAATGAATAAATAAACTGTATACATCAGGCAGTAAAAAAATAGTGGTTGCCAGTGGTTAAAGGAGTAAGGGGGCTAAAACTATGGCACACAGAGAATCTTAAGACAATGAAACTACTCAGTATGATACTGTAATGGTGGATACATATCATTATACATTTGTCTAAACCCACAGACTACATAAAACCAAGAGTGTATCCTAATGTAAACTATAGACTTGAGATGATAAATATGTGTCAATGTATTCATCAATTACAATCAATGTATCACTCTTGAGAAGCAGTTATGTTCATAATGGGGGAGACTATACATGTGTCAGGGCAGAGAATATGTGGAAAAGCTATTCCTTCTGCTTAATTTTTTATGTTAACCTAAAATGTCTCTATGAACCAGAGTCTAATTTTAAAAAAGTATATATAGTGAATAAAACATGAATATACAGTGAAGAAAACATTATTTCCTGAAAAACAAACTGTTTAACTATCATATTTGGTCTAGTGTATCAGTTAGGAAGACAGAAATCACACTGCTTATGCTAGCGATGATAATTTATTATGGAGGATTGTTTCAACAGATTTTGAAGTTGAAAGGGAAAACTCAGGTAATATAGCCATAATAAGAGCAGTAAGGAGCTTATGTCCACCTATCACATTTCTTGCTAATGTGATATTTATGCCAATCAGACCATTACATTTTATCTGTATCCTTGAAATAAAGTAACCTTGCTGAGACTTGGCTTAGTGTTGCTCATTTGTTTCCACTTTTCCAAGTACATGGTGTGCAATTTCAGTATGGATAGACAAAACTTCTTTTAGTTTAGGACTTGTCTTTGAAAAATATCTTAATTTTGTTCTATTCAATTATACAATAATATGCTTTTCTTCATTGAAAATTTCAAAAAATAAAGATGTTGATTCTTCTTTAGTTACCTTGCAAACTACCATTGAATCTCTTTTAACTTTGTTCATTTCTGCTACTTGTCTTATGTGTCTCAATTTTAGCCTTTATCTTAACTTCCTTTAAATATCTTTACATAGAGTTGAAGAAAGTAATAGAAAAGGAAAGACTCCATGAGAACACACCTAAGCACAGGGAGGAAAATGGTTCAGGGTATGAGTCTCAGGGAAGACGTTCAATGCAAATTCCTCACTCTAAGGTAAGGGACCTCCTCATTATCTTCCTAACAAGATTTTAGAATTTTTATAGACCAGTACTAGCTGTGAAACTCGCATTCTTTCTCTTCTCATGCTGAAGTATTTATTGCCATTACCCTGTCCCTGTTCCACCAATATACTATGCTGTAGTGGAGAGAGCAGGACTCTCTAGGGAGTGTGAGGCAACTAGGAACTGGTTGTCTTCTTAGTATATGGATGTCTGTATCAGGGGAAGACACATATTACCTGTTATAGATATAACCACTAATTCCAAGTCTTTGAGTGTGATGACATGATTGGGCAGGGTTTTTGTTTGTCTTATTGAAGGAGCATAACTGAGTGTATATTTCAAACAAAATAAACAGTGAAAGACTATCTGTAAATAATAGATATTATATTACATATCTCAATTATCTACAAGTCAATTTCTGTTCATTTCTGAGGGAAGATTATATTCTCACTCCCAGTAGATATTAGCATTATCTTTGCATATGTTAATCAATGAAATATGGATGAAAGATACATTTATTATCTAAGTAGAATTTTCAAGACCCAGCAAGTAATCTGGCCATTTTTTTGTTGTTGTTTTGTTTTGTTTTTTTCTCTGTTATAAGATTGGCAATGATTACTGCCATGAGATTTGCTTTAGTGCATATCTAGTGAGGACAAAATTGAAATTTTATTAAGTTGTTGAAAACCACTGAGATTTGGGGGTTAATTTTTACTATAACTCACCTAATCTATCATTTTCTAACTGATATACTTTTCATTCCATTCTGTATACAATGCTTTCTTTTGGCATTGAACTATATCTAGACAAACCGTTATTATTCACTCATGTACCCTTTTCCCATGGTTCCAAGCTTCTGAGACTTTTATATTACTCTTTCATTCTGGATAACTATTTACTGCTAATTTTGTCTGAGGTTAGTTGCAGATTATACTTCTGTTTATCATTTCTGTGGATGGAAAATTGCCGGGAAGGAAAGTGTGCAGAAATGAACTTACTCCATTATTTTTGTAACCTATCTTTCACTCAAGGTCATCGATTTTCTTAGAATATGGTTTGCCTATTGTCTTTCTAAGAATTTTCCTATTAAAAACTAAAATAATAATCCATCATCTATCATTTTAAAGTTTGGTTTGTCTGAGTTTAGAATTTGTGAAGCAGTGTGACCAGAAAGTCTAGGTTTCAATTCATTTTTTCCTAACCTTCTACAAATGTCTCATGTGTCTTCAGTTCAATTTACAAATGTGAATAATTTTTATCTAACAATTCTAAAGTATGTAGTTTTGCTTCCATAAGAAAAACACAGTTATGCATTCATATTTTGTTGGTTTATAAAATGTTCATTTCACTGAAATAACTTTGATGATAATATAATAGCACTAATATTTGATACAAACAGACCTGATTTGGATTTGCATTCATTTAACCAATGCAGCAGAGAAATGACAGACTTTTTTTTTAAAGTAGTCTATTATTCATGAAACATATCTTTCTATGAACATTAGTTTGTATATTTCATAGAGAAAATTTTCAAAAAAAACATAGCTAAATACAACTAAGAGATGGGCATTTCAAAGAGCTATTTACATGGAAATATCTATGTCAGGACATTAAGAATGCATGTCTCTGAGTAATAGAATTTTATGACTTTCTTAATATTTTGTTTTTTGTGTTTTTCTATGATTCCACATTCAATTTATATGTTATTCTTATTCTTAAAATTTGATCATAAAAATAGAATATCTGTAACTTTTATGCTTTGGCCAAAGATTTTAACCTTTCACTTAGATTTTAATCTAGAAAAAAATTAAAATTAAGAATATTAAGTCTTTCTTGTTTCTTCATTTCATTTATTTTACAATTAAAATAAATTATTTCTTTTATTAATAATTTTGATTATTCCATGTCATTAAAGAAGTATTATGGAGGCTTCATACGTGATAGTCCACTATATACATAGTGTCTTGTCTCTTCATGTTTTCTTCTTCTAGCCCTTAATATGGCTTGTGTTATACCTTAGCTCACTTTAATTATTAATGTTCTTGACATTTGTATATAGATATATTCCACATATTACAATTTCTCTTTTTTTATGCACCATCATAGATCCAGCTCAAATTTCTTCCCTTTTTAAGTTTTTCCTGGACCCCTTGGGTAAAGGCAGACGCTCCCTCACTTTTGTATTATTTCTTCCATTTAGCCAATAATTATTTGCCAATCATTATTATTCCTGTTTTGGTCCATTCATTCAGTTAATTGGTGCAAATAAACCACAGAGCCAGAGGTAGTATCTTCATGGAGTTTATATACCAATATACGAAACATACATTTGGAAAAATGCATAAAATTGCATTAGTGATATGGATAAAATAAAGATTTTAGGTAATAGAAATTAATTGAACTGATCAATTTAAATTTATAATGCTCATGGAAATATTTATTTTCCATTTCTTGTTTGCATTTTATATTTTTGACTTGTGCCTTTTGCCTTTTTCTCATTACCTCTATTAGTCCAACTGGTTCCCTCTAATTTTCCTCCCCCACTACCTCAATATAAGTGGCAAGAATCATTATGAAGATACAGTATAATTATATTAGTAGCAGACAGTCTGTGAATAGATAAGTAAAACAATTTTTAATCAGTGCTGGATATTATTTATTTCAAATTATGACTATTTTCATTTGAGACGCTTGGAGCTCAAAAATATGTTCACTGTCGTATTCACAGACCTGTGAACTGTGAAAATAATCCACAACTACCATATGTTAAAAGGACTATTTAAGGTGACACATAAAATTTACTTATTTTTACAGTTTCCTTCTGCCTTATTTTATAATAAAAATTCTACATTGTTCAACCAGCTTTTAATTATAATTAAAATCAAGTGGCATTGCTATAATTATTCAAAATATATTTTGTAGGTTTTTCTGCAGCCAGGGACAATACCCCGTCATCCAGATGCTGTAGTGGGAGCTGAGTATTTAAACTGAAGACTGAGCCTAACTGGTTCTGAATCCAAAACCAAGGTCTAAAATGGGCCAAGATGGGCCAGGAGAGCATACACAACAGTATGCTGGATAAATAAGAGAATTCTAAACATTCCTAGTAAATATATATATATATATATATATATATATATATATATATATGAATTCTAAACACTCGTAGTGAACATATATATTTATGTTTAGATAATATATATTCATATATATTCATAAGGGAATATATATATTCATAAGAGAAATGGCTCAGTCATATGAGTTTAAATCTAGCGTGTCTGAAAATACTTGTATTTATTCCTAAATTGAGCAATTCTTGCTCTTCTTATAGTAAACACAGATAGTTAACTACCCTCTATTTTTTCCCCTGCCTTCTTACTAACAAGTACCTGGAATTTGTTCAGAGCAGCAAAGTACTCAGAAAAAAAAAGATAACAACAGGATATTCCAAAGACAGAATGATAAATAATTTATGTATACATTTAGATATAGAAGCAGATGTGAATTTCAGTAACCTGTGGCTCCTGTGGTTGATATTTTCTGGCAACTTCTAAAACCATTATTTCACATTAACATTAATTTTAGCCTTTAATAATACTTCACATCATTATTTATTTTGAAAGCTTATGCAGTTAATGATTACTGGGATTTCTTAATGGTTCATTAAGAAAATTTTGCTTAATACAAGTTATTATACTTGTATTTTCAAGGCAATGGTCAAGATACTGAAGGCTATATAAAGATTCCCATTTTGTAATATCACCGTCTAACTTGTTTCGAAGCATTCTAGTGTAACTTATCACTTATCCAGAATTTTGTATTTTTATTAACATTTATTTCTAACTAATTAATAGGCTTATCACATTCAGTTTGTCTAAACAATTCCCAATTCCAAAACTGTATGCCTGTAACATTCTAATATTAATTCCCATGCTTCTCCACTCTAAGTAAATGGAACCAGCCTCTACCTAGTTCAAGCCAGAAACCTGGAATTTATTACTTTCTCGTCTCTCTTTGTCTCTCTCTTTATCTTTCTCAATCTACACATTTATTAATCCCAATTATTACTATTTTGAACCCTGAGAAAATATATTAGTCAATCACCCTTTAACTTGTGTATAAAATTAATAATTTAACAAACATTTATGACCACACATTGATAAATTGGCACTGCTTGTTTGATAGACCATAGTGATGGTCTATCACTATAGTGATAAGTAGTGATGATGGGTAAAAAGCCCAATATTTCTGGACTTTCACATTTTAGAAAGGAACACACATAGTAAAATAAGCACAAACAAAAGTTGCAGCTGTTATTATAAATCTTATCTCAACAATAGATTTGCATGCAAATTTTTATTTTTATGATTTAAAAATTATTTTCAAACTTTTTACACAAGAAAATGCACATTGCAGAATACATGCATTTTCATTTGATGACACAAATATATGCATCTCAAATAATTAAAGATATGTATCTAGGAAATTTAAAGTAATTAAAAATATTAAACATAACTTAGAAAATTACTGTTACCTTTCCACAAAAAGCCTTCTAAATGATTTGAGATTTTTTTTGTAAGTTAATGTTAATAGAACCACAAAGAAATATAAACTCATGATTCACAAGAATAGTGCCTGCCTAGAAAAAAGAAGAGAGATGGCACTCTGAAGTGAACTGATTTTATTATATGTGGTACTTTCATTAGGCATTTCTGTAGCAGCTCTCAAGCAGCACAATTAAAGAAAATCGTACCTTAATTTTTTTAAAAAAGGAGTATATTTTCTGGCAGGCATTCAATTTAAGTCAACAGGGACAAAAACTAAATGCTTAAAGATTTTTTATTATTATAACAACTTATGATCATTTCTACCTTGAAAATTGATGTAACATTTATGTTCCGTACATGTTTTTCTATGCAAATAAAATGATTTTGAATTCTTTATTTTTCATAAATAGGCGAAAAAAGTTGCATAAAATGTGCTTTACCTAATGTCATCTGAATTTGAAATCAAATACATTTAAATTAATTAATTAGATCCAGTGTCTTTCACTCTTGTCATCCACAATTCAAATTAATATTTTGTTGGTGGCACTCCTGAGACACAGGCTGGGAGATCAGGGTTTGCTTCCATGCAGGTTATAGCAACCCTCTCAGGCAAAACATATTTCAATGAGTAAGAGAAGCAGGATTTGGCAGAAGCAATAATTGAACTGTAATGCAATTGCAACATTATTTTTTTCAACCCTATAAAGAATTCTGAAGCCAGAATGATCTTTCCAATGTGTCCTAAATTAAGACCAGCCAGCCAATCCTTTATATTTCCATATTAACCAATCATTGAATGTGGGCTGTTTGGGGAAAGAAGGATGTAGTAGCTCATTTTCACACTGCTACAACAAACTACTTGAGACTGAGTAATTTATAATGAAAAGAGATTTAATTGACTCACTGTTCCACATGGCTGAGAAGAGTGGACGGTGAAGGGGAAGCAAGGCATGTCTTACACTGTGGCAAGACAGAGAGTGACAGGGGAGGTGCCACACTTTTAAATCATCAGATCTCACTATCCTGAGAACATCATGAGGGAAATTGCCGCCATAATGCAATCACCTCTCATGAGATCCCTCCCTTGACATGTGGGGATTACAATTTAAGATAACATTTGGGAGGGCACACAGAGCCAAACCATATTATTCTGCCCCCGGCCCCTCCCATATCTCATCCACTTTTCACATTTCAAAACACAATCGTGCCTTCCCAACAGTCACCCAAAACCTTAATTCATTCCAACATAAATCCAAAGTCCAAGTCCAAAGGACAAAGCATGTCCCTTCCGCCTATGATTCTGTAAATCAAAAACAAGTTACTTATTTCTGAGATACAGTGGGGGTATAGGCATTGGGTAAATACACCCATTCCAAAGGGGGTAAATTGGTCAGAACAAAGGAGCTAGAGGCCCCATGCAAGTCTGAAACCCTGAAGGGCAGTCATTAAATCTTAAAGCTCCAAAATTATCTCCTTTGACTCCCTGTTTCACATCCAGGGCATGCTGATGCAACAGGTGGACTCCCAAGGCTTTGGGCAACTCTGCCCCTGTGGCTCTGCAGAGTACAGCCCCATGGCTGCTTCCAAAGACTGGTGTTGAGTGCCTGTGGCTTTTCCAGGAGCATGATGCAAGCTGTCAGTGGATCTAACTTTCTGACATCTGGAGGACAGTGGCCTTCTTTTCACAGCTCCACTAAGCAGTCCCCCAGTTGGGAATCTATGTAGGGGCCTTAACACCACATTTCCCCCTCCACACTGCCCTAGTTGAGGTTTTCCATGAAGCCCCACCCCCGCAGAAGACTTCTACCTGGACATGCAGGTGTTTCCATACATCCTCTGAAATCTAGATGGAGACCCTCAAAACTCAACTCTTATCTTCTGCATACCCTCAGGCACATGGAAGCTACCAAGTCTTGTGGCTTGCACCCTCTGAAGCAATGACCTGAGCTTTACTTTGGCCCCTTTTAGCCACAGCTGGAGCTGAAGTGGTTGGGAAACAGGGCACCATGCCTCGAGACTGCACAGAGTAGTGGGGCCCTAGGCATGGCCCACAAAATCATTTTTCCTCCTAGGCCTCTAGGCCTGTGATAGGATGGGCTGCCATGATGATCTCTGAAATGCCCTGCAGACATTCTTCTCCATTCTCTTGGCTATTAACATTCTGCTCCTTGTTACTTATGCAAATTTCTGCAGTTGGTGCCTTGAATTTCTCCCCAGAAAATGGGTTTTTCTTTTCTACCACATGATCAGGCTGCAAATTTTCCAAACTTTTATGCTCTGCTTCCCTTTTAAAAATAAGTTCTACTTTGAGACCATCTCTTTATGAATGTATATGACTATATGCTTTCAGGAAAAGCCAGGTCACATACTGAATGCTTTGCTGCTTAGAATTTTCTTCTTCCAGGTACTCTAAATCGTCTCTCTCAAGTTCAAAGTTTCACAGTTCTCCAGGGCAGGGGCAAAATGCTGCCAGTCTCTTTGTTAAAGCATAACAAGAGTGACCTTTATTCCAGTTCCCAATAAGTTTCTCACTTCTATCTGAGACCACATCAGCCTGGACTTCCTTTTTCATATCCCTATCAGCATTTTGGTCAAAACCATTCAACAAATCTCTAAGAAGTTTAAAACTTTCCCACATTTTTCTGTCTTCTTCTGAGCCCTCCAAACTGATCCAACCTCTGCTCATTACCCAGTTCTGAAGTTGCTTCCACATTTTCTGGTGTCTTTATACCAGTGCCCCAAACTTCTGGTACCAATTTTCTATATTAATCCATTTTCATACTGCCTGAGACTAGGTAATTTATAAAGTAAAGAGGTTTAATTTACTTACAGTTCCCCATGCCTGGGGAGGCCTCAGGAACCTTAAAATCATGGCAGAAGGTGAAAGGGAAGCAAGGCATGTCTTATACGGTGGCAGAGGAGAGAGCAAGAGTGGAAGTGCCACACCTTTAAACCAGCAGATCTCATGAGAACTCACTCACTATCATGAGAACAGCATGCGGTAAACCACTCCCCTGATCCAATCACCTCCCACCAGGTCCCTCTCTCTACATGTGGGGATGACAATTCCAAATGTGATTTGGGTGGGCACACAGCGCCAACATATATAAGGGGATAATTTTTCATATTAGTGCTCTCCAGCTGAGAACATTGCTTACTGGGGAGCTTCAGCAGTCAGGCACCAGTAGGTGACATTTCCAGCAGTTTTGGAAATGAAAGCCTTCTCTATGCAGAAACTCTGGATAGCACGTATTAGCATCTTCTACAAGGTAAAGTCAGTAAATTCTAGAAGTAACACCTAAATTTATGCTGATTGCAATATATATATATATATATATATATATATATATATATATATATATATATATATCATGAAGTTGTATCCAACCACAGTCATTAAGATAAAATGTTTTTTAAAAATTCAACGTAATAAACCATTTGAGGTTGACATAACAAAAATGGTGCATGATAAGCTTGTGAAATCTTTCTCTCAATCCTTCTTTTACAATTTTTTTTATGAACAGTTGACTAAAATGCAATCAATTCACTTCAGATTTTTTATTGAAGAGAATTGCAGCTTCTTTACACACTTATTAATTCTTAAATTTGAGCCTAGTTGTTACTCCTGGACATATTGTCAAATGCCCTGATGTCTATCATACAGGAATACCCAGTCCTAGAGCTTAGCTGGTTGCTAAGACCATCAGAACAGCCACTGGATTTTTTACTAAGGTGAGATGGTTAGTCCTATCAGCCAAGAGTATTAAAAGTCAGTGATGGAATCCTAGCACTACTTTTAGAGAACATTGGTTACTGGGTCACTGCTATTGATTAAAGAGAAACATATCAATTACCAAATCCAAGAGTCCAGAAGGGGCCTGAGGTATAAGACACATCCAGGACTAGAGGATCTTAAACATGACAAAATAGGTGATAGCCAAAGTAAATTAAGAATTCTTGAGAAAACTAAAGCAAATAAGCTTAAGATGGCTATTTGTAATTTTCATTGATTTCTCATATTTAAGCATGTATTCAAGACATACACATAGGTGGAATGTATTGCGGCTGCTGTATGCTAAGAAAATATAAAGCCGTCTTAAGCCAGCTGTAATACCACATGTGTGACAGTGCCTATCTACTAGATTTTCAGATTTTGATTTTTTGAGACATGACCTCCTGCCCCCTCACACATATCTGTATAAAATAAGACACTCAAAATAGAAATTAACCAAATAGAGGAAGTTGTTCATAATTTGCTTGAAGTTTGTTACAGTGGGGTTAGGAAAGGGAATATTTTGACCTAGGAAACTTTAGATAGTGTTAACAATGTTGAACTACTGTGAAGGAAGCAGGATCCGAGTCATGGCATATGAAACAAACAATAAAATTTATTAGTAATTTGTTTTAGTCCATTTGGGCTGCTATAACAGAATATCATAAAATGAATGGCTTATAAACAATAGAAATTTATGTCTCACAGTTCTGAGGGCTGGAATGTTCAACAACAAGGAGCTAACATATTTGGTGTCTGGTGAAGATCTACGTTTTGGTTCATGCATGCTCACATGGCTAAAGGGGATGAGGTAGTACTCTTGGGTCTTTCTTATAAGAGTGCTAATCCCATTCATGAGGCTCTGCCCTGATGAGCTAATCATTTTCCAAAGACACCCATCTTCAAATACGATCACATTGAGGATTAGGTTTCAACAACGAATTTGGTGGAGGGGGCACAAACATTGTCTATAACACTCTTCATCAAAATATATATTTTTTACTATGTGCAAAAAACTTGAGAAGCCTAAATGTAGTTAATTATGTTTAAATGCTAGAATAAATGTTACTCATTCGAAGTAAAATATGCATTAATGATCTAATATTAACTAAAATATTTTAGATTTTTGATTTTTATAGCACATGATTAATTTCTATAAAAATAATAGAAAGTATAAATGCTTAAGATTTGATAATATGTCATTGTTTATCATGGCTTATAAACAATTTTGTTTGTATACCTTTCCTTGAAATACATGGAAAAAAGTCTTCCTTCATTTGTCTCTCGTACGCGATGCAATAATACTTCCTCACACATATGAAGTCTATATTTTATGGATAATTTGTATGCATTAATTTGGTATCATATGTTCATTATGGAAAGAAAGTCCTATGAAGGCAGAGGCTGAAAATTTTTAGTGGGTATATGTTTTTGTTTTGTTATATTTGCTTCTCGGCCTATATGTTTCATATGATTCTGATTCTAGTTATGATAAGACCAAAGTTTGTCCAGTGAAGTTATGCCATCTCTTTGGCTGCAATGTTTGGTCTGAGGTTGTGTATTTGATCCAAAGTGTAATGATGAGATTTATATGAGAAATCCTATTAGCACTAACAGAAAAAGTCCTGCTCTTGCTACTGGGAATGTAAAACTGTGACTATTTAAGCCTGAGAACCAGGGCAGGAGAATTATAATAGGAGAGCCATGCTAAAAGCTTCCTGGTAATTTTTGAACGGCTAAGCCTAAAATCTCCTCTTTTAGAATCCTCAATTGCTTGAACCAAAGCATTTTTTTTATTTGGTTCAGTTAATTTGCACCTAAGAAAATCCAAAAAATTAGTATTTTATTATCCTGTTGTATCCTAAGGGTAATAGAAAGAAAACAAGAAAGAGATATATTGAACACTACCAAAAATGTTTGGAGTCCAGTCTCACACAGAGTATATATGGATGGATCATGGTAATTACATAAAATCTCACACAGATAATTGCAAATTGATTTTACTTTGATTAATCTTTGTTTTCAAAGCTCATAGGGCCTCCTCAGCAAATTTTAGAGTCATATATTTTATATTTTCTTTGGAGTTAAAGTTCTATACTTCAGTTTTACATAGTGAAAAGTATTTATCTCTTAAATTATCACAAATATATATAACTATTTTTTGGAAATTAAATGCTAATTAATACTGAAAATAAGCAGAGACAACACTATATTCATTGATATGCACTGTAAAAGCAGTAAGATATAAATGGTTCCTAATATTTTAGCATTTGGATTTTTAACATTGTTTGCACATATTATACATTCTATTCTGGCATGATGTATACTCACATAGGAATAGAATTGGAGGTGCCTGTCTTATTCCAAGGGAGGTATAAAAATGTAAATAATTTTTTTTTACTATCAATGTTTCTGTCCAATTCAAGAAAGTCATTTTTATGTTTGAATTCTGAAAATGAAATTCTTACTTGGGGAAATAATACTTTTTTTTCCTAGAAAAACTTTTTCTAACTATCTGAAGAACATCCTTCAAAATTATGTCAGACAGTGTTCTCGTATATCTTAATATATATTTTTAAATATAGTTTGGCTGCCTAGTGGAATATATGCTTTAAATTATTTTTTCATAATTTTGAAGATATTGTTCCACTGTCTTCTAATATGACATTCAGTGTTGAAAATAACATAGATAGATGGATAGATAGATATTAACAAATACATATATCACTTTTATTGTCTCTATATAGATTAACTGTAATTCTCCCCCTTTAAGGATATGTAGGATTTTCTGCTTTCCTGAGTGTTCAAAATGTCTGAGAGTAAAGTTTTTCCTTAATTTCTGATCCATTCTCATCTCGTATTGAGTGTTAACTTTACATTTTTCTCTCTTGTCTCTTTTTCTTTCTATTAGGCAAATGTTGCAACTTCTAAGAGTTCTTTTCCGATTTAGAACTTTTTTGCATAAATTCCATGTTCATATGCCTTTATAACCTGCTCTTAGAATATTCCTCAACTTTGTCTTCTAGCTCATAATATGCTTCTCTACTGTGTCTATTATATACTTATTTTATCTATTATGTTATTACTCCATGATCACTTTCAGTTTATCTAGTAACTGTTCATTTATCTATTAACTCTATTTCCTGCAACTTTTCTATTTTTCCTCTTTTATGATGCTGACTTTAATATCTCGTAATTCTTGGTTATATGCTCACTTTGTAGTTGAGTTGTCCTGGTCTATCTTTCCTTTTTTTTTTTTTTTTTTTTGAGACGGAGTCTCGCTCTGTCGCCCAGGCCGGAGTGCAGTGGCGCGATCTCGGCTCACTGCAAGCTCCGCCTCCCAGGTTCACGCCATTCTCCTGCCTCAGCCTCCCGAGTAGCTGGGACTACAGGCGCCCGCTACCACGCCCGGCTAATTTTTTGTATTTTTAGTAGAGACGGGGTTTCACCGTGTTAGCCAGGATGGTCTCGATC
Source organism: Homo sapiens (assembly GCF_000001405.40). Classification (NCBI taxonomy): domain Eukaryota; kingdom Metazoa; phylum Chordata; class Mammalia; order Primates; family Hominidae; genus Homo; species Homo sapiens. Next base: position 32,539,065 of record NC_000004.12, on the reverse strand, counting down.
TCCTGACCTCGTGATCCGCCCCCTTCGGCCTCCCAAAGTGCTGGGATTACAGGCGTGAGCCACCGCGCCCGGCCTGGTCTATCTTTCTGTTGAATCTGCACAGTCAGTCTAGGCATGTGTGGGATCAGAAGAACTGCTAGTTGTTTGCTGTGTAAATGGAGAAGAGTCATGGCATAGAACTGAGTGGAATACTTCATTCCATACATAAACATTGCCAGAAGCACAGAAATTTTTGGCCCTTTAACCCAGGGTACCATATCCTCTGCTCTAGGTAGAAGCAAACCCCCATTCTTTCCCATTCCTGCTGCCTCTCCCAGGAAGAATGAAAAAGGATGTACATAAATCAACCATTCTAAGCTTCTACAGTAATCCCTCCTAGGTCACCTTGTGATTATATGCTATATAACTGGCCCATAAAAACAGAAAACTGGTCAGGTAGGAATAAACCATGAAGTCAAAAATGTGATATTAATTTAGGGATTACCATTTCACCAAGAAAGAAAGTTTACTAGCGCTAACCTTTTAAAGAAATAATCAACAAATAAAGACTGGAAACCATTTCCTGGATTTTCTACCTGGCGATCTTTAGTAACTCCTTCTATGGAATATTAATTGGTATAACGGGATAGAAGGCAGATTTGGGCAGGTCAAGGAGATAATTATAAAAAATTACTTTGGAAATCAAGTCAGCAAGTATAGATGGTGTTTTTAAGTGATTGAATAGGAAAGGAGTGATTTAAATATAGATCTGTAGATTATAGCAGGCATTTTTTGTTCCTTATCCAATAACCATTTTCACCTTCTGTTTTATAACAAAATTTGATGTTTATCAAGGAAGCTGTGGTTGATAAAGCTCTAAGAAGGACCTGATATCTTTACACTTGTATAATTCCCCCTTCTTTGAGTGTGTGCGAGACCTGTGAATGTGATGAGCTATCTTTCCCTTGATTGTGATTGTGTTATATGTCATTGTCAACCTTAAGGTAGACAGATCATCTAGGTGAGACCATTGTAATCACATAAGTCCTTTAATAGCAATGAGTTTTCTCCAGCTGGTAGTAGAAGAGGAAGTCAGAAAGATTCAAAGCATGAGAAAGATTTGACATTTCATTGCTGATTTAAAGATGGAGGAGCGCTTGTGAGAAGAAATGTGGGTTGCCTGAAGGGGCTGAGATACATTACCAGATGACAGCTAGTGAAGAAATGGGGAACCAGACCTCTAATCACAAGGAACTGGATTTTGGCAGCTACCAAAATGAGCTTGGAAGCAGTTATTCCACAGAGCCTCGAGATAAGATTTCCACCTGGCCAGTACACTGATTCTGGTCTTGTGATACCCTAAACAGATAAACATGTTGATTTCCCCCAGAATTCTGACCTAAATAGATATGAGCTAATAAATGGATATTGTTTTGGCCATTAAGTTTCTGGTAGTCTGTTATACAGCAATAGAAACTAATGTATCAGCAAGGTTTCTAGCTAAAATGTCTATCCTTCCCAGAACCTTTCATTTGGAGGTGGCCATAGGAAAATATCTGTTAACTTTTAATATGTAGGTAGAAGTCTTTTTGAGAAATCTGGAAAAAACTTTGGCTTTTTAAACATAGGCTTCATCACTTTCTTCCTTTTCATCCCTGACATGCAAAAGTAGAAATGATTGTATGTGGCCCGTCTTGTAAAGATGAGGCAACAAATATGATGGCAAAAGTCAACATAATAGGGACATTAGAATTAAAAAAAAACTCTTTAAAAACTGGACTGATGATACAATGAATGAAATACAATGTTAATTTTGTAATGATTTTATCAAGACTCCTGGTTATGTGAGAAAATACATTTGATCTCTGTGTATAAGCTACTGGAGACTGGTATTTCAATAATTAGCATCAAATGTAATTATCACTAATGTGAGGGTGAAGGGACATTTTAAAAGTAAGTTTAAATTTTTTTTTCTTTGTTTATTGGGGCCAATAGATAAGGAACATAAGAACCTTTGTAGGCTAATATTGGTAAAATGTATATGATCACAGGCTAAGAGAATGAGGCTGACAAAGTTAATTTATAAAAGGATATGAAAGAGAGTACTGTAAGGGTTAAGTCAAAAACAGAGGGTCTGTGTGTACTGAACAAAAAAAGTTATAACTATGCTTTAATTTAGGTTTGCAGGTATGGGATGAAGCTGGAGATGGGAAATAAATGCCTAATCACTCTAATTATCAGATTAAGCAGGACATAATGCCTTTTGCTGAATGTGATGAAGATTGGAACTTGAGGAGCTATTAGAATTTTGCAATAATTGATAAGATATAAAACTGAGATATTTAAAGAAAAGTTTTAAATAAAACCTGTTAAGTGGCTTGATATTTACAAAAGTTCAAAGGCATATTTTTTTGAAATATTGGCAGTCTGTAGTGAGGTAGGTTTTTTTTTGCCAGCAATATTATGGAATCAAAAAATGGAAACAAATCCTGAGAATTGGGAAACTGGTCACTACTGAGTGATTGAGGACTTTTTTGTTTGTTTGTGTAAAAATAACTCCACTGGGAAGAGACAAAGAAGTGGTAGAGTAATGCATCTCTTCCAAGCTCAGGAAAATGTGTTGAAGACCAAGAAAAAAAAAGAAGAAAATAGACGAATCAAGCAACTTGAGCAATGTTACTCAAAGTGTTGTTCATATAGATCTGCATCTGCTTTATTGAGGGTGCTTTGCCCCTTTTTTAAAGCAACATTATTAGGACATAATTAACATACTTGTATCTCTTCCTTAGAATGTTTTCATTTGTGTTTTTCCATGTCGTGCTATGTGTTACTATTTTATTCCTTTTTATTGCTGAATGTTATTTTTTTTAATTGATATCTCACATTTTATTGATCCACTTGTCAGTTGTGGGCATTTAGGTTGTTTCAGCCTCTTATCTATTATAAATAAGACTGCCATAAATATTCATGTACAAGTTTTTGCATGGATGTGCTTCTATTTATCCTGGGTATACCTAGGAAAGAAATTCCTAGGTTATGTGGTAACCCTATGTTTAACATTTTGAGGAGCTTCCAAACTAGTCACAACAGAAAAATACTAATGAAGTTTCCAGTTTATCTATATTCTTACCAACATGTACTATTATCAGTCTTTTTATTATAGACATCCTAGGGGTGTAAAGAGGTAACTCATTGTGGTTTTGGTTTTCATTTCCCTATTGACTAATAAGGTTGAATATCTCATGTTATTGATGTATGTTTCTTGGCTGTTTGTATCTTTTCTTTAGAGAAACATTTCTTTAGAAACTTTTCCAATTTTTAAATTGGTGTGTTTATCTTTTTATTTTTGAGTTGTAAGATTATTTATATATTCTAGATACAACTTCTTATGAGATATATGATTTGCAAATGTATTTTAGCCTATGGCTTATCTTTTCACTTTATTGATGGTATCATTTGCAGAGCAAAAGTTTTTAACTTTGATGAAGTTCAATTTATGTAGTTTTTAAAATTAGTTTATTCTGCTTTTGGTGTTATATCCAAGAACACACAAAGTATTTGTTCCTATTTTTTTTTAAAGTTTCATGGTTTTAGGTTTTACATTTAAGTCTATGATCCATTTTGAGTTAATTTTGTATTTTGGAGTGGAAAGGTACCACTTCATTCTTTGCATATTCGTATCCAGGTGTTTTATATAATTTATTTGAAATTTATTTTTATTTTTAATTTTTGGTGGTACATAGTAAGTTTGTATATTTATAGGGCACATGAGATGTTTTCATACAGGCATGCAATATGAAATAAGCACATCAAGAAGAATTGGGGTATCCATCCCCTTAGGCATTTATACATTGAGTTGCAAACAATCCAATTAAACTCTAAATTATTTTAGAACATACAGTCATTATTGACTATAGTCATGCTATTGTGTTATCAAATATTAGGTCTTATTCATTCTTTCTTTTTTTTTTTGTATCCATTAACAATCTCCACCTTCCCTCCAGTCCTCCACTACTTTTCCCATAGGATCTGATAATAATCCTTCTACTCGCTATGCTCACGAGTTCCATTGTTTTGATTTTTAGATCCCAAAAATAAGTGAGAACATGCAATATTTGTCTTTCTGTATCTGGCTTATTTCACTTCAGTTCACTTCAATGACCTGCAGTTATGTTCATTTTATTGCAAATGACTAGATCTCATTATTTTTTTATTGCTGAATAGTACTCTATTTTGTATAAGTACCACATTTTCTTAATTCGTGTATCTATTTATGGAAACTTAGGATGTTTCCAAATCTTAGCTATTGTAATCAGAGCTGCAATAAACATAGGAGTGAAGATATCTCTTCAGTATACTGATTTCATTTCTTTTGGTCGTATACTCAGCAGTGAGATTGCTGGATCATATGACAGCCCCCTTTTTAGTTTTTGAGTAACCTCCCAATTTTTCTCCATAGTGGTTGTACTAATTTACATTCCCATCAAAACTGTACAATGGTTCCCTTTTCTCCACATCCTTGCCAGCATTTTTTATTGCCTATTTTTTAGATATAGGTAATTTTAACTGGGATGTGATGATATCTCATTGTAGTTTTGATTTGCATTTCTCTGATGATCAATGATGTTGAACACCTTTTCAAATACCTGTTTGCCATTTTGATTGGGGTATTAGTTTTTTTTCTATAGAGTTGTTTGAGTTTTTTATATATTCTGGTTAGTAATCCCTTGTCAAATTGGTCATTTGCAAATATTTTATCCCATTCTGTGAGTTATCTCTTCACTTTGTTGATTGCAATCTTTGCTGTACAGAAGCTTTTTAACTTGGTGTGATCCCATTTGTCAATTTTTTCTTAGATTGCCTGTGTTTGTGGGGTATTGCTCAAGAAATCTTTGCCCAGACCAATGTCCTGGAGATTTTTCCCAATGTTTTTGTGTAGTAGTTTCATGGTTTCAGTTCTCATATTTAAGTCTTTAATGAATTTTGATTTGATTTTAGTATATGATGAAAGATAGAGGTCTAGTTTCATTCTTCTGCATATGGATATCCAGTTTTCCCAGCACCATTTATTGAAGAGACTGTCTTTTCCCTGTTGCACACTATTGGCGCCTTTGTTGAACATAAGTCCACCATAAGTGTCTGAATTTGTTTCTGGGTTTTCTATTCTGTTCCATTGGTTTATGTGTCTGTTGTTACTCCAGTATCATGATGTTTTGGTTACTATAGCTCTGTAGTATAATTGGAAGTCTAATAGTGTGATGCCTCAAGCTTTGTTCTTTTTGTTCAAAATTGCTTTGGTGATTTGGGGTCTTTTGTAGTTCCATGTGAATTTTAGGATTTTTTTTTTATTTCCATGAAGAGTGTCATTGATATTTTTATAGGGATTGCATTCAATCTGTATACCGCTTTGGGTAGTATGGAAATTTTAGCAATAACAATTCTTCCAATCCATAAACATGAATTTTTTTTTTCATTTTTTGGTGTCTTCTTCAATTTCCCTCATCAGTGTTTTATAGTTTTCATTATAGAGATTTTTCACTTCTTTGGTTAATTCCTAGGTATTAAATTTTATGTGTGGCTATTGTAAATGGTATTACTTTTTAAATTTCTTTTTCACATTGTTGATTGTGGGCATATAGAAATGGTACTAGTTTTTTTATGTTGATTTTGTATCCTGGAACTTCGTTGAATTTGTCTATTAGTTTTAATAGTTTTCTTATGAAGTCTTTAGGTTTTTCCCAAAATAAGATCATATCACCTGCAAACAATGATAATTTGATTTCTTCCTTTCCAATTTGGATGTCCTTTATATCCTTCTTTCATCTGATTGGTCTAGCTAGGACTCCCAGTTTTCCATTGAATAACAGTGGTGACAGTGGACATCCTTTTCATGTTCCAGGTCTTAGAGGAAAGGCTTTTAGATTTTCTCCATTTAGTATGATACTAGCTGTGGGTTTGTTATATATGGCTTTTATTATTAAGGTACAGTCGTTCCATCCTCAGGTTTTTGAGGGGTTTTATCAGGAAAGAAGGTTGAATTTTATCAAATGCTTTTTAAAACATTAATTGAAATGATTATATGGTTTTTATCCTTCATTCTGTTGACATGATATATCATGTTCATTAATTTTTGTACATGGAACCATTCTTGCATCCAAGGGGCAAGTTCCACTTGGTGATGATGAATGATCTTTCTAATATATTGTTGGATTCAGTTTGCTAGTATTTTGCTGAGGATTTTTGCATCAGTATTTATCAGATATATTTCCCTGTAGTTTTCTTTTTTTGATGAGTCTTTGTCTGGTTTTGGTATTAGGGTAACATTGGCTTCATAGAATGAATTTGAACATATTCTTTCCTGCTCTATTTTTCAGACTAGTTTGAGTCTGATTGGTATTAGTTCTTTAAATGTTAGGTAGAATTCAGCAGTGAAGCCTTCAGATCCTGGGCTTTTTTACTAGGAAATTTCTTATTATGACTTTTATCTCATTATTTGTAATTGGTCTGTTCAGGTTTTGGATTTCTTACTGATTCAATCTTGGTAGTTTGCATGTATGTAGGAATTTGTTCATTTCTTCAAGAGTTTACAGTTTATTTGCATATAGTTGCTCATAGTAACCATTCATGATCTTTTATAGTTCTGCAGTATTAGTTGTAATGTCTCCTTTTTCATTTCCAATTTTATTGACGTGGATCTTCTCTCTTTTTTAAATTAATCTGGCTAAAGCTTTGTCAGGTTTGTTTAATTTTTCAAAAAAAACAAACTTTTGTTTCATTGTTCTTTTGTATTTTTTATTTCTATTTCACTTATTTCTTCTCAGATAAGTATTATTACTTTTCTTCTACTAATTTTGGGTTTAGTTTCCTCTTGCTTTTCTAGTTCTTTAGCATTTATTGTTAGGTTGTTTATTTGAAGTTTTTCGTCATTTTTTATGTAGGCAGTTTTAGCTAGAAACTTTCCTCGGATTTTTGCTTCTGCTATATCCAGTTTTGTTACGTTGTGTTTTCATTATTATTTGCTTCAGTAAATTTTCCAATTTTCCTCTTAATTTCTTGATTGACCTACTGGTCATTCAGGAAAATATTATTTAAATTTCAGCTAGTTACATAGTTTTCAAAATTTCTCTTGTTATTAATTTCTAGTTTTATTCTATTGTGGGCAGAGAAGATGCTTGATACTGTTTCAAGTTTTTTTAATGTTTTTAAGACTTGCCTTGTTACCTAAAATATGGTCTGTCCTTGAGAATGATTCATGTGCTGAGGAAAAGAATGTGTATTCTGCAGATCCTGGGTGAAATGTTCTATAAATGTCTATTAGATACATTTGGTTTATAGTTCTGTTTAAATTTGATGTTTCATTGATAATTTTCTGCCTGAATAATCTATCCAATGCTGAAAGTGGGGTGCTGAAGTCTCCAGTTATTATTGTACAGGGGCCTATCTATCTCTTTAGTTTAATAATATTTGCTTTACATATCTGCCTTCTCCACTGTTGGGCGCATATATATTTAAAATTGTTATATTATCTTGTTGTATTGATCACTTAATCATTATATAGTGACCTTGTTTATCTCTTTTTATAGTTTTTGTTTTGAAATCTATTTTTTCTGATATAAGTATAGTGACTCCTGCTCTTTTCAGTTTCCATGGATATGAATTTTTATATCCCAGTATTTTCAGTCCATATGTGTCATTATGTGTGAAGTGGGTTTCTTGTAGGCCACAGATTCATGCCTCTTGTGTTTTCATTCATTCAGCCTGTCTATATCTTATGCTTGAATAGTTTAGTCCATTTACATTTAGTGTTATTATTGATAAGTATGAACCGACTGCTGCCAGTTTGTTATTTGTTATTTAATTGTTCTTCCTTTTTCATTCTATTCTTATCTTCCTTTGGTGAAGATAATTTTCTCAGGTGATATGGTTTAATTTCTTGGTTTTTATTTTTTGTATACCCATTGTATGTTTTTTGGTTTGAGGTTGTCATGGAGCCTGCAAGTACTGTCTTATAACCCATTATTTTAAACTAATAACAACACTTTATATAAACAAACAAACAAAAAAGAAAAGTAATAAAAACTTGCCTAACTTTGTTCCCCACCATTTTACTTTTTGTTCTTTCTGTTTATACTTTATTGTACTGCATATGTCTTGAAACATTGTTGTAGTTATTATTTTTATTGGTTCATCATTTAATCTTCCTACCTAGGATAAGAGTAGTTTATACACAACAGTTATTTATTGCTTTTAGGATCCTTGCTTTATCCTTGACCTATGGGAGTTTGATTATTAAATGCCTTGAGGTAGTCTTTTTTGAGTTAAACCTGCCTGGTATTTTATAACCTTCTTGTACTTGGATATTGGCATCCTTCTTTAGGTTTGGGAAGTTCTGTGTCATTATCCCTTTGAATAAACTTTCTACCCCTATCTCTTTCTCTGCCTTCTCTTTAAGGCCAATAAGTCTTAGATTTGCCCTTTTGAGGCTATTTTCTAGATCCTGTAGGCATGCTTCATTTTTTAAATTCTTTTTTCTTTTTTTCTCATCTGTTTATTTTCAAAATAGGCTGTTTTCAAGCTCACCAATTCTTATTTCTGCTTGATACATTCTGCCACTAAAGGACTCTGATGCATTCTTTAACATGCCAATTTCATTTTTTAGCTCCAGAATTTTTGCTTTATTCTTTTTAATTATTTCTTTTTCTTTGTTAAATTTATCTGATAGAATTCTGAATTTCTTCCCTGTTCTTGGATTTCTTTTTGTTTCCTCAACACAGGTATTTTGAATTCTCTATCTGAAAGGTCACATATCTCTTTCTCCAGGGTTGGTCTCTGGTGCCTTATTTAGTTCATTTGGTGAGGTCATGTTTTACTGTATGGTATTGATGCTAGCAAATGTTCTTTGATGTCTGCGATATCTGAACATTAAAGAATTAGGTATTTATTGTAGCTGTCCTTCTCAGAAAGACTTTCCAGATATTTGAAAGCACTTGGGTACTGTGATCTAAGCTGTTTCTGCTTTAGGGGGTACCCTAAGCCCAGTAATGATAAGCTACCTAAAGTAAAGGGTAGAGTAACACAAGCACCCCTGTGGTCACCACCACTATGATTGTGCTGGCTCTGGGTCAGACCTGAAGCCAGCACAGCACTGGTTCTTGCCCAAGTCCTGCTGTAATCACTCCCTGGCTTCTGCTTATGTTTATGCAATGACCTGGGGCTCTATAATCAGCAGCTGTCAAAGACAGCCAGGCCTGTGTCCTTCCCTTTAGGGTGGTGAGGTCCCCCAGGTCCTGGATGAATCCAGAAGTGCCATCTGAGAGTCAAGGACCAGAGTCAAAAACCTTAGAAGTCTACCCGATATTCTATTATATTGTTGCTGAGCTGGCACTCAAACCACAAGATGCAGTCCTACTCACTCTTCTCACCCCTTTCCAAAGGCCAAAGAGCCTCACTCCATAGCCATCACCACCTCTGAAAATGAGGAGTACTGCCTGACTACCACCAATGTTCCTTCCCTTAAGGCCAGTGGTGGGGGAGGGATGGCATAGGCAATTCAGGACTGTTTTTTCCTATCTCTTCAATGCCTTTTTCAGCAATATAAAGTTAAAACCAGGTACTGTGAGTACTCACCTATTTTTTATTCTTATGAAGTGTTGTTTTCTGTGTAGATAGTTGTTAACTTGGTTTCCTTATGGGAGGGTGCAGAGTAATCAGTGAACATTTCTATTTCTCCCTCTTGCTCTCTACGGGATATTTTAAAAAGCTTTGTGTGGCAACACATTCCACCTGACAGAAGATCCCTCAGAGAAGGGTTAAATCATAATTTTTTTAACAAAATGATAAAATGATTCATATGCACACCAGAGCTTAAGAATGACTGGATTAGAGGTGTTCATTAGGCCAAACAAACAAATACCAAGTCAAGTGGGAGTGAGCATATGAGGAAGGGGGAAGATACAGCAGTTTTGTTTTGAAGAAGAAGATTTATTTCTATTTTGTAACATGGAGCCTATCTTTATGATGACAAGGTTCAAGGTGTGGCCGTGGGAGAGATTTTCTCAGTTAAGTGAAAATATAAGTCACTGTAATTGAGGTCAAAAAAGAGTGAAACCTTTTTTCTACCGTGCAAATGGACTCTAATGACAAAATGCACTGAAGTCTTCATATTATTTATAAATGTTTAATTCATCATAAAGGAGTGTACAAGTCAAAGTAGCAGTATCATTAATGTTTTTAGGTTCTTTCAGCACTAGGATATAAATAATATGTTTAATAAGAAATCAACCATTACCTTTTTATTCCTCTACTATCTATAGTGACATTCTAGCAAGTTGATGTTAAGATGTACTTTCAATGTCATTGAAAGTTACTAACTTCTGCCCAGTGAGCTGTGATGAAAAACTCTTTTTGATTGCTACATTAACACTTGGGCATCACATTCAGGCAGGAATATGGCAGGAAATAAAATCATGAAGAAAGGGAATCATGGACCAAAACCTTTAACAAATGTAGTTAGTAAAAGAGGAGGTCCAATAATTAATACTTTCCATCCCTTGAGTGTTGAACCAATTGAAGAATAAGAAAAATAAGACAGTTAGATATAAATCATATGTCTTTATTACAATATTGGAGAACAAGGCCTGTTTTGCAAGAAAGCAGAAACTTCAAATTGATTAATCCAGTTTGTCTTAGTCTGCTCTGTCAACTGTAACAAAATACCAGAGGCAGAGTGGCTTAAGTAACAGAATTTTACTTTTCACATTTCTAGAGGCTGGGAAGTTCAACATCAAAGGGCTGGCAGATCAGTGTGAAAATTCTAACGAATTATTAAACCATTTTCTTCCTTAAATTTATCCTTTAAAAATCTGGCATGGTACCAACTAATAGGCAATAAACAGAGACTATATTATATCTTAAAATCCTGCAAATTAACTATCACATATTATATATGAAAATCCTGCAATTCAGAGTAGTCCACAGGCCAGCAACATGCACATTATTTGTATTCTTAGGAGTGCAGAATACCTCATTTCACTCAAGAGTTAATGAATCAGAATCTACATATTAGTAGGATCACCAGGTGATTAACAAGTACATTGAAATTTGAGAAACATTAGTTTAGTGCATAGCACCTTCAAAATAGAGATGTCTTGCTTCTTTTTGACCCTGTAATGGACTTTCTAGCAGGTCTTGACATAAATTTTATTTTGAGCATATCTCCTCTTCAAGATGTCCTCAATGTTTCTACACAATATATTGGCCGGTAGTAACTGATGTCACACTCAAACTGAAGCTGGGAAATTACTTTAAATTTTGCTTTCCTTCTTTCTTTCTTTCTTTTTTTTCTTCAAAAGCCAGGTTTTAAGCCCTTTTTGATGAAACCACATTTTATAACTGTATCAAATCATTTTATTTATTTATTTATTTATTTATTTGAGATGGAGTCTCACTGTGTTGCCCAGACTGGAGTTTAGTGGCACAATCTTGGCTCACTGCAATTTCCAGCTCCCAGATTCAAGCGATTCTCCTGCCTCAACCTCCCCAGTAGCTGGGATTACAGGCGCCCACCATCATGCCCAGCTAATTTTTGTATTTTTAGTAGAGACGGGGTTTCACCATGTTGGCCAGGCTGGTCTTGAACTTCTGACCTCAGGCGATCCGCCCTCCTCGACCTTCCAAAGTGCTAGGATTACAGGCATGAGCCACCACACCCAGCTGCTGATTTTTAAATTAACTTTGTTCCCCTAAAAAAAACCTACCATTTAAAAAACCAAAACTACTTTAATTTTGCTAAATAGTGTAATCTTACTAAATATTGTGTTAGTTTTTAAAATTACAAATATACTACATGTTGACTGTGAATAGTTTGAAAAAATGTAACAATGTATAAGACAGAAAATAAATGTCATGCATTTTCCAGGCTTATTTTAGATTCAATTTTATAAAGGGCTACTTTTTTATACCACAAGTGCCCAAACAAAAGAAACCAGGAAAACATCTTGTTACTTAAAATATTAATAAAAATAGATAATGGCCACTATTAATTATATCCATTTGTTCTTTTATACTTAGGAAGATACCAATAAAGAAATTTCTCAGTGTCAGCGAAGTCCTATTCAAATTTTATTTTATTAGACAAGGTCATTATTAACTACGTCTTTATACAAAATTTATTGACACAGAAGATTTTTATTTTATATTGGTATGTGAAACTGGGGTTATAAAATCTGCACTACATATTTACACACATACACATTCACATTGACTTAAAAACACTCGTGCTTAAACATACACCTTCATATACATACACTTGAATATTACAGAAAAAATAAAAGAGCCAGCAACGATTACCAAATGAATCAATTGTGGATACTTTTTTATCCTCTTTATATATTTTTAAATGTATTTTCTGAACTGAACATAAATTACTACTGAGGTCAGAAACTAAAAATTAAATTATCTTGTTTTACTTTCATCTTTATTCATGTAGAAAGAATGTTAAGGCAAAATTTACAAACAGATATAAATATTACCCAGTACCAGTTTTTAACCCTTTGCCCTTGCAGAAATTCCTTTATTATAGAGGATAATATTTAAAAGACACTCTCCTATCTTTTGAAACAAAGCTGTATTTATTGTAATGTTTCACTGAAATATGTTAAAATATTTATGAAATAGAGAAGTCAAATCAAACAAAGTGATTCCTTAGTTATAAACCTTTTTCCTACAATTTCTTAGTATTTTTTTCCTGTCTATCTCTCATCTATTTGTTTATCTCCACACACATATATAGTTTAATTAAGGCAATGAAATATTGAATTAGAAATAAGAGATCAAGATAGTCAGAGGTTCTAATGTATTAACCTGATAAGATATGTTGAGAAAGTGAAATATTCTTGATGAATTTTAGCTGCCTTGCTTGAAAAAGAAAGACTGGAATCATCAGCCAAATGAAGATATTAGGACTCTATGTATTACACGCTGTTAGAGTTACAATTAAATAATGAATGTGAATTACTTAGCAAAGTGTTTGACACATGGAAAGTGTCCTAATTTTACTTAACACCATTTTCAATTCAAAAATTCTACTGATCAGTAACCAACTTTCTCTTCATTTTTCCCTTCTGTGTTTAATGGGAATAAAGTACATTTCTACAAATTATTCATTTGTGTTCTTTCCTTTCCACTTTCAGGTCACCGAAGGTACAGCAGTTAATTCAGCTGTTAACCATTTTAACCTGAGGGGTTGTTGAAACTAAATCCTCTTTTAAAGGCTTTCTAAGATTTACTGATGATTTCAAAATAGCTTGAGAATCAGATTAACTGAAACATTTCCTACTCATTTATTAGAAAACTGATGTCTGTAAAATGCTTCTTTGACATTGTGAACTTCTATCATCTCAGTTTTACAAAATGAATACTAAAGATTAAAACATGAAGGCAGATTCCTCCCAATTAGTATTTTTGCTCTGGAAATTCTCATTTCTAACTAGCATAAGGTTAATATGAGTAATGTCTGTCTTTGAAAATTACTTGTTCATGTTTTTAGGGGCTTTCCTTCTGTCTCTGCAACATTTTTAAACAAAAAAAAACCTTTCAAGCTCAAGAAATAAAGAAAAAAAAGCCTTATTATTCCAGTCCTTTTTTTTTCTTGAAAACATTGCAGAACTGCAGAGTAATAACTGATAATTTAAAATATGGTTAAAATTATGCTACATTGTACAAAATTAGAAGCTATTCAAACTCTCTGAGCTGCAGTTTTTCTATTAATCAATAAATTATTTACAGTTTTATCTCTAAAACACTATAACATATATCTCCAAGATACGTATTGATATAAAGAAATAAAGAAAAAAGCTCAAGAAATTAAAAAAAAACTTTATTATTCTGGTCCTATTTTTTTCTTTAAAACATTGCAGAATTGCAGAGTAATAACTGATAATTTAAAATATGGTTAAAATTATGCTACATTGTACACAATTAGAAGCCATTCAAACTCTCTGAGCTGCAGTTTTTCCATTGATCAATACATTATTTAGACTGATTTATCTCTAAAACACTGCAATATATGTCTCTGAGATATGTATGGCCATTTAGGTGGACTTTTCTAAAGCAGGCACTGTGTTTATTTAGCTAATTCACTTCTCGATCAACCAACACCTAGCTGTTTCTCATTATGTAACACATAATGAGACATATTATGTGTCTCATAGTAAATATGTTTCTCATACACATATTAAACACACTTTAAATAATAGACTTCAAATAAATAACAGACTTTTAATATACAAATGATAAAATTTTCTTTTACAAGTTTAATGGCATTTTGTTGTTGTTCTTGTTGTTTGGAGACAGAGTTTCGCTCTTGTTCCCCAGGCTGGAGTGCCATGGCGCTATGGCACTATGTTGGCTCGCTGCAACCTCCACCTCCTGGGTTCAAGCAATTCTCCTGCCTCAGCCTCCTGATTAGCTGAGATTACATGCACGTGCCACCATGCCCAGCTAATTTTTGTATATTTAGTAGAGATGGGGTTTCACCATGTAGGCCAGGCTGGTCTCAAACTCCTGACCTCAAGTGATCCACCCGCCTCAGCCTCCCAAATTGCTAGGATTACAGGCGTGAGCCACCACATCTGGTTTCATGACATTTTGAATAGAATTTTCCATATAAAAAGGACAAAGACTCTTTAGGAAGTTGGGACAGAATTAAGTCAAATTCTTAGATAATGGGAGATTTATGACTTGGGTAGGCAGATCAGTAGTAGTGCTTAGCTGAGCCACATTGGTGCCTGAGACAAAAGGAAAAATAATAATCCTGACTGTATTTATGGATTTATCAAATGATGCTTTACTTAAGGTGGATTTTTAAAATTAATTTTGGTGCAATTTTTTTAAATATTGCATGAAAATGTATTCATGCAGTTTTTTGAATATTGCATGGAAAATATTTATCTTGATTATGAGTTATTGGGGGCTTCCTCAAATTTTGTCTCCAAAGCAAATGTCTCAATCACCTCATTGTCTCAAACATGAGGGAGAGAAAGGAAGACAAAGATTTGAGGGAATACACAAAAGTATGTTAATACAATGAATCATGTAATCAGAGTGGCTAAAGATGAAAATAAACACATACAAGAAATGATAAACAAGGAATGACAGATAGTCAACATTAGAAATCTTGATGCAATTAAATATGCTTTTTGGAGTAGGGGTAATAGTAGAAGGACAGCTGAAAGATTAGGCAGTATTGGTTAGAATTTGGATTTCTTGAAATTAATATGTTGAAGGAGGTGAAGTTATTGGTGATTATAAAGGAAATGACTGGTGAAAAATAACTCCATGATACTAATTAAAATAGGAAATCTCTCCTTTATAAACATTGCTGGAGTTATACTTGAGGCTAACCAGCTATCCTGATAAGTTTTCTTAGTGTCTATTTAAACACAACAAGTTTTTGCATGATATAAAAATAATCTGAGCCTGCTTACATACTGTCTGATGTTGGGTCATATTGCTTATTAAGTGGCCGAAATATTTTTCAATTATTTGATGCTAAGATTTAATAAAGTAGATGAAATAAGAACCAGAATACAGTCCACAATCAGGTTCCACATTTATTTGGAAAAGGAGCTCATCTTCAAGTAATAATTTCTATAAACTATGGTTTTTAAAAACTTAAAATATAATTAGAAGTGATAATTTCTAATTATTGTGGTTGGCTTTTCCCAGAGTCTGTAACAGCTTCTATGATAAACTGTTATGTGCAACATAGTATGTTAACAACTGAATTAGAACATCCTGACCATATGTCTATCACTGCAGGCAAAGTCTAGGAGGATGGTGAGAATATAAAGACACAGGATAAGTTATCCTCATAATTACTTGGAAGTAGAAACTGATGGTTGACAGATAATAAATAAGATGTAAAAGTATTGCTTACAATGTTAGGAGATTAATAAATGGGTACATGTGTGAAAATATATGCAACACACAAGAATTAAAGCAAATAGCTTCAACTCAGAGAACTATATATACTTCACTAAAATTCTTCTTAACATGAGATCAGATATAAAATTTATTAATTCAAACACAAGAGCTTCAAACCATAAATCTGGGTGAGGTTACACCTTTTTAAAACTGCAAATTGAGGTTAACAGATCAAAATCAATTAGGTCTGCTAATCTGTTCACAAAGGTGTAAATTCTTAATCAGAATTTATTACAAGGCTGACAATGTAATTTAACAGCAGTACTTAAATCTTGATCAGACAATTCAACTTTCAGACTCCGGTCCACTTTTTCTTTTCCTTCTTCTTGAAGGAAATAAAAAGGCTCGATTTTAATGTTAGTACCGAATGACAATTATAATATTAAGTGTATATAATATATACAAAATGTTACATATAATATGTCATTTATGTGCTAAAATTATATTACTCAGTGTCAATTAGGATTTTGGTACATCTTATGAGAGTTGGCATTTGCTATTTATATTATCGGCATATTATTTTATCTTGGAATGGACCACATGGTAATTTCCCCTAAAATTCCTGTTTTTGAAATAATCTGAACAGTGATCTCGATTTTCTGTAATAAGGAGTACTTCAGAGGAGTATAGTACCTCTGAAATGCAGTCAGCTATACTTTCACCACTGTCACTGGCGAAGAAATTCTATCAGCCTCAAATTATTCAGCATAATGATTAGTCCCCATAGATGTTTTGATAATTATGCAATTACAATTATCTTCAGAAAGTGACATATGGAATATTTGTAATGGTTATCTTTGGAGATTAAAATTTTATGTTTTACTTTAAATCAACAGATGTTTATCTGGAGTCTATTTTAAGTGAAAACAATTTATTCAGAGTGGATATTGGTGGATACTACAAAGAATTCAAGTCTCATTTTGTATTGCCAATAAATTTCTGTCATTGGCTTACATGTGAGAACTTATTGAGAGGTGAAGCCAGCTGGGCTTCTGGGTCAGGTGGGGACTTGGAGAACTTTTGTGTCTAGCTAAGGGATTGTAAATGCACCAATCAGCGTTCTGTGTCTAGCTAAAGGATTGTAAATGCACCAATTAGCACTCTGTAAACACACACTAATCAGCACTCTGCATCTAGCTAAAGGTTTGTAAATGCACCAATCAGCACTCTGTAAAAACGGACCAATCAGCACTCTGTAAAATGGACCAATCAGCGCTCTGTAAAATGGACCAATCAGCAGGATGTGGGTGGGGGGGCCAGATAAGGGAATAAAAGCTGGCCACCTGAGCCAGCAAGGCAACCTGCTTGGGTCCCCTTCTTTGCTGTGGAAGCTATGTTCTTTCACTCTTCACAATAAATTTTGCTGCTGCTCACTCTTTGGGTTTGCACTACGTTTATGAGCTGTAACACTCACCGCAAGGGTTTGCAGTTTCATTCTTTAAGTCAGCGAGACCATGAACCTACTGGGAGGAACAAACAACTCTGGACATGACACCTTTAAGAGCGGTAACACTGATTCCGAAGGTCTGCGGCTTCGATCCTGAAGTCAGTGAGACCATGAGCCCACCAGAAGGAAGAAACTCTGGACACATATGAAGGAACAAACTCCGGACACACCATCTTTAAGAGCTATAACACTCACCTTGAGGGTCCACGGCTTCATTCTTGAAGTCAGCGAGACCAAGAACCCACGGGAAGGAATAAATTTCGGACGCAATATGACCATATGAGGAGAATAAACACGTGGAAAATTAATTGTATTAAAATTTCTGAAAATTGGCTGGGCACAGTTGTTCATGTGTGGAATCCCAGCACTTTGGGAGGCCGAGGCAGGTGGATCACCTGAGGTCAGGAGTTTGAGACCATCCTGGTCAATATGGTGAAATCCTGTCTCTACTAAAAATACAAAAATTAACCGGCATGGTGGTGGGTGCCTGTACTCCCAGCTGCTTGGGAGGCTGAGGCGGGACAATCTCTTGAACCCTAGAGGTGGAGATTGCAGTGAGCCTAGATTGCACCATTGCGCTCCATCCTGAGCAACAAGAGTGAAACTCCATCTCAAAAAAAAAAAAAAAGAAAAGAAAACGTATCTTTAAAAAATCTTAGAAATTGGATGTATGTGCTTTGTGTATTATTTGGTGTATTTTGTTGTACTTCTGGATAGAAACTTTGAAGTCAGTCTAATTGGGGTCTAAGACCCTTTTTCGCTGTATATTATGTATTTACTTGTGTTAATTTACCTAAATGCATAGGGTCTTGGTTGCTCTTATGTAAAATGTAGATTTAAATAAGGTATACTTGATTTTAATTAATTATAAAGTATGACAACCTGCTGTCAAACATGCATTCTCTCTAATTCTAGTGTATGTTGACTATGCTTTTAAAAATGATTAAACATACTGCACTTCTTTTGAACCTTGTATATGCTGTATCAAAATGTTTCCTCAAGCCCCACCTCCTATTAAATTGCTATTTATTCTTCAGAACTCAGCCAGGTTGCTACTTCCTCAGGAAATTCTTCCTTAACCTCTAAATTAAATAATATCTGCCACTATAAGTATTCATATCAGCATGTACATTTCAGCATTTTTCAAAGTTGAAATTATTCACTTACGCAATTATTTGTTTAATGCCTGTCTCCTGTACTAAAATGCCTGCCTCCTGTATTAAATTGCAAGTAAATGTTCAGTTTCTGTCTTTTTCCTCAGTATTTTACTCCCAACACGCAGCACATTGTCTGGTAAATAGGAAACGCTCAAAGCAAGCAAGTAAATCAGAAATTTTTCTTATGAGTAAAGTTTGAATGAGTGGTCTCTACTTTGCATTCATTAATTTTCTTTCCCCCTACAGTCTAACAAAAGATCTAGGAAAATATTTAAACCGCATAATTTATTATAAGATTTTATAGTATGTACTGTAGGGTAAGGTGTATGCCAGGAATTTCAGGATATTTTATAATCATAGAGCATCTTAGTATATTAGGTTAATATATCAGAAATAAAATTTTCACGATAATCTTCTGTCATACTTAAAGTACATATTCTATAATTAAATATTCACATTTTGTTAACACGTCTCGAAACGCTAAATAAAAAGATATTTTCTTAAAATAACAAAGAAAAACTTAAAAAATGCCAAGGGAACGCTTAATAACAAACCATTAAAGCTATTTGTATATTTTCCGGAATATAAGAGCTAAACAGAATGTTTAAATGTAACTATTAAAAACCAAGATATAAATTATTATTGTCTACCTAGAAAATCATATCCTGAATTTACCATTTAGCTGTATGACTTTAGTGAGCTTCAGAATTCTCACCTGTATAGTTTAACAAAACACATGGTTGTTTGAAACAAACAAAAATCTCATGAGATAAGCAACCTTAAAAACTACAAGATATAGTACATATATGCTTAGTAATAGAATGATTACATATAAGGTAATTCTCTAGACTAAAGAAATTGGAGGGTTGCTAAAATTTACTTTTGGTACTATGTTAAAGAATATGCCTAATATTGTGATTAGGCTACTTCCATTAAGACTTAATTCATTAATGTTAAGCAACTATATGACATATTTTTAGCATTTGCCTTTCAGTAAATTATTCTCCTTTCCCTTTAAAGCAGCAACTGGCCCTCTGGTAATTCACAGGGCGTAGTTGTCTGTCCCCAGAGATTACAACATGCTTCAAAAAATGCATCAAAATTCATCTCAGGTGTCTGCAATGCCGTATATGCTTTTCATTTTCAGTCACGATGTCATGCTTCAAAGGACAGCATAATAGGAATGCAGTTACTCCATGACAGCTAACAGCTCTGCTAAGAGAAACTTAGCCCTAGAAAAACATAAAAATCTTAACTCAGAGATGTGGCCAAGTTAAGCTCTCTTCATACCCGCCCTGAAACACAAAAAACAGTCTGAGGTTACTCAGCTGTGAAGTAACAACGCTGTTGCAAGGCGATCATTCAGCTTTCTTTTATTTTCCAGGGAAATGCATGTTGCCAAATCTAGTGGATTGAATAACAGAGACAAGAGACAATATCTGGAACAGAAAGTGTTCACATACGAAGCTAACTATAATGCTTTGGATGTACATAAGGAAAACCACAATAATTAAGTGTATTTTGTAAGACACATTTAATTTAGGTATAATAAGATATGTTAATACAGAGTACAAAGCTCTCAAAATACGTTTTGAAAATATTTTTCAAATTTGCAAACAATGATTTATCTATAAATCTATTTTATAGAGATTAGAGAATATTCAGTTATTACATTGAAAAACTTTCATCTTTTTAACAGATGCACTTTATGATGATTTTACTCTTCATATAAATGAACACATTCTTGAAATAATCTGCCTATGAATCCAAAATTGTAGCCTAACCTATGATAACACTGCAAACCTTTGTAAATTTGTATTTTACTAATTTACCATTATATTTATGGAAGTTGTGGGGTTTTTTTGATATGTACTTTAAAAGCCTAATAAACTCAAATGTTGACAGTCTTATTTATATTGAAAATTTAAATTTGTAGACAGTAAAAGAAAATGTATTTTAACTTATAAGTATACAGACAATTGAGATATTTAATTAAAGTCAAAGAGATTTAGGGTCTGAATTTACTGTAAAGAACATTGAGTTAAGAATATATTTTACACGTCCTTCGCCCACTTTTTGATGGGGTTGTTTGTTTTTTTCTTGTAAATTTGTTTGAGTTCATTGTAGATTCTGGATATTAGCCCTTTGTCAGATGAGTAGGTTGCGAAAATTTTCTCCCATTTTGTAGGTTGCCTGTTCACTCTGATGGTAGTTTCTTTTGCTGTGCAGAAGCTCTTTAGTTTAATTAGATCCCATTTGTCAATTTTGGCTTTTGTTGCCGTTGCTTTTGGTGTTTTGGACATGAAGTCCTTGCCCACGCCTATGTCCTGAATGGTAATGCCTAGGTTTTCTTCTAGGGTTTTTATGGTTTTAGGTCTAACGTTTAAATCTTTAATCCATCTTGAATTGATTTTTGTATAAGGTGTAAGGAAGGGATCGAGTTTCAGCTTTCTACATATGGCTAGCCAGTTTTCCCAGCACCATTTATTAAATAGGGAATCCTTTCCCCATTGCTTGTTTTTCTCAGGTTTGTCAAAGATCAGATAGTTGTAGATATGCAGCATTATTTCTGAGGGCTCTGTTCTGTTCCATTGATCTATATCTCTGTTTTGGTACCAGTACCATGCTGTTTTGGTTACTGTAGCCTTGTAGTATAGTTTGAAGTCAGGTAGTGTGATGCCTCCAGCTTTGTTCTTTTGGCTTAGGATTGACTTGGAGATGCGGGCTCTTTTTTGGTTCCATATGAACTTTAAAGTAGTTTTTTCCAATTCTGTGAAGAAAGTCATTGGTAGCTTGATGGGGATGGCATTGAATCTGTAAATTACCTTGGGCAGTATGGCCATTTTCACGATATTGATTCTTCCTACCCATTTATGCAGCCAAAAAACACATGAAAAAATGCTTATCATCACTGGCCATCAGAGAAATGCAAATCAAAACCACTATGAGATATCATCTCACACCAGTTAGAATGGCAATCATTAAAAAGTCAGGAAACAACAGGTGCTGGAGAGGATGTGGAGAAATAGGAACACTTTTACACTGTTGGTGGGACTGTAAACTAGTTCAACCATTGTGGAAGTCAGTGTGGGCATTCCTCAGGGATCTAGAACTAGAAATACCATTTGACCCAGCCATCCCATTACTGGGTATATACCCAAATGACTATAAATCATGCTGCTATAAAGACACATGCACACGTATGTTTATTGCGGCATTATTCACAATAGCAAAGACTTGGAACCAACCCAAATGTCCAACAATGATAGACTGGATTAAGAAAATGTGGCACATATACACCATGGAATACTATGCAGCCACAAAAAATGATGAGTTCATGTCCTTTGTAGGGACATGGATGAAATTGGAAACCATCATTCTCAGTAAACTATCGCAAGAACAAAAAACCAAACACCGCATATTCTCACTCATAGGTGGGAATTGAACAATGAGATCACATGGACACAGGAAGGGGAATATCACACTCTGGGGACTGTGGTGGGGTCAGGGGAGGGGGGAGGGATAGCATTGGGAGATATACCTAATGCTAGATGACACGTTAGTGGGTGCAGCGCACCAGCATGGCACATGTATACATATGTAACTAACCTGCACAATGTGCACATGTACCCTAGAACTTAAAGTATAATAAAAAAATAAAAATAAAAAAAAAATAAAAATGTTGAATATTGGCCCCCCCCCCAAAAAAAAAAAAAAAAGAATATATTTTACACATGAGTATATGGAGAAACGGAGCAAAGGTAATGTTCACAAAGGATTATCCTGCAGGTTACTACTGACAAATCAGTATCTGAAGATTATTCTTCCGAATGCCAGTATTCTACACAAAAGTGAATTTTATTATAAAATCTTTTTGAAAAGTACCTAGAATCAAGCCAATAAATTTAATATAGATGATTTGCTTTAATTATTTAAAAAGTAAATTTTATTAGAAAGACATTTTATCCCCCAAATTTAAGTTTTAATCCTGTGAAAACATGTGACAGCCATTCCCTTAGTCTAGACTGGAGGAAATTTCTTCATGGCAAAAGAAAATAAATGCAAACAAACAAAAATAAAGACAAAAGTAAAAGCCAAAAACACACCATCAATATTAATTTGGAGAAGTTTATTGAGTATTTACATATTTGTTTTGTTAAAGGTGAAGCAATACCAGAGAGAAACTGATTTCTATGCAACATATAATTCATAAAACGTATTTCTTATACAATTGTACATGACATAATAGAATTCCACATTAGTCCTTATTTTCAACATTCAAATATAATCACATATAAAAACAATATAAGAAAATGTTTATAGTGGAAAAAAAAGAAAAAGCATGGACTAAAAATACAATTTTAACTTCTTAAGCTAGCCAAGCATACTGCAAAATGAATATAATGCCAAGTCTCAGAAAAGCTAGTCATAAAAACAGAAGTTACCTTTTGAATTTAAATAGACATGTAGGAACTTATTTTTCTCATATTCTAAATTTCATTTGATATTTTTTGGTCCAAAATACCAATGTCAAAATTTGTCTCTCCGCTTGATTTTCATCAGTGGTTGATGAAATAAGAAAAATTTATACTAAATAAAAAACTTCAACTTCACTAGCAAACTCCAGTTTAGTATAATGAAATCTTTTCTTTGTTATGAAATAATCAAAATATTTTTAAAATTATACACTGACAGGACCGAAACGCATATTTGCCAAAAATGCATGAATTAGGCAAGAAAGAACATAATATTAAATTATAATATTAATATTAAAGATCATTTTAATAATAAAACAATCTTAAACACAACCCTCAGTATGAAATTTAATGTGCCAAAAACTCCATACTCATGATTTACTCAGTTTCCAATATAATATAGTTGATAACTTGCTTTTTTTCAATTTGCTGTGTTATCCGTCTATTTATTTACCTAGTTGAAGAGGAATGAATCAAAAGTTGAAGATGAACTGGCATCAAAAGTTGTTGACTTCTTAATGGTTACAAAATAAGAAACAGTATTTTTATGGTATGATTTACTTCACTTTTGGAATATTGAGTCTTGATTAGCAAATTTTAGAAATAAAGACCAATCAGAAAACTTTCAATAATGAGGGAGAAATTAAATTGTCAACATTACATTTACATCCTTTATATAAGATAATATGATGAAGTATTTATAATAGTTTCTTTATATTTAAAAATGTGAAATATACTTGATTACATGACTTCATAAAGCACAAAAAGGAACTTTTTAATATGACAGACAAGGAGGTTTTGGTACACATACCACAGAACTAACAACTAATGCCATCCAACTCTGAAACAGCTTCTTGTGATAATGACATTCCATTAATAGATTAAAACATGAATAATCTAAGTGACAATTTGCTCAATAATGATTAAGGAGGGATTCATGTATTGAAGGTATTTGATGTTAATGTGATTTTATGATTATATGTAATTTTATTATGTAATTTTAATATTTAATATTCAGAAAAATGTCAGATACGAACTATGTATCAATAACATAACATGATTTTTAAACAGCAATTACAAAGACAGATCATGAGAGAATTGTGGAAATTGGGAATGGGATGTTTATACAAATAATAATCTTTGAAAGTGATGAAGCATAATGTTAAAATGAACACCTGTGAATAAACTACACAGTTTACAAAGTAGAACGTTTGTTCTAGAGATAAAGCACATACTCCCTCTGTATGAGAAACAAACTTGATCTTCATTTTGGTACTACATTATTTATCCCGGTTGCACTCTGACCACTCTTAGATCAGTTAAGAAAGGCTTCTGCCCAAGGCACTACACTGGGAGAATCCTTCATTATCACAATTATTAAAGCAATAGGTTGTTTAAGACTCAATGCCTTTTTCTCTCGGGACACAGTCCTCAGTGCTGGTAAATTAAGACCCATAACTGAACAGCCACTCCTGTGACTAGCCCGGCTCAGGTCCCAGGAAATCACTTCATCATGTCTATTAAGTCTTTGAAGGAAAAAAAAATTACTAGCTCTGAATGTCATGTACTACCCTTACATAAAACACAGACAGTACTTCTGAGGACAGGGAGGACCTGAATGGTTGAAACAATTAGTTAAGGGAAAACACAATTTAATGAATGCATCAAATAACATGATTTGTATAGGTTATTCCATTAATATCATTTTCCAAGTGCTAAGCATGCCATTGTCTCCCTGTTTTGGGGGCATACTTGGTTCCATATTATGTAGGAATTAGTGTTGTATTCACCACAGATGCACGTTTTGCAATATTAAACAGTTCATGTCAATCTTTTTGTAGATAAAATTAGAGTCAGAGAAATACACAAACACACAGAGAGATTAGTAGAGTAACAACATAAATAACATTTGATACTGATTATTTGTATTAGTAGAGGTATCTAAATATTGTTTTAAGATATGATAACATTTTTACATAAGCTGTCACCTCAAAAAATTTATCTAGCTCAATAGTTTTCTTTTGTGGTTTTGGAAATCAGAAGCTGAATATTGTACTTCTTAATCTATTCTCCATCTCTCTTAACTTCTGTTTCTCATTTTCCATCTTCTTACCTTTCTGAGTTAAATTCTAGAAAACTTCATCACTTATGCATTCCAGCTCAGCAATTCTTCCGTTTTCCCTAACATGCTATGACACACATCTATTAAGTTAACATTAGTAATACTTTGTATTTCACACTTCTAAAAGTACTTAATGGTATTCTTGAAATATGCTTTCTTCTTTTTATGCTCTTTTATCCCCTAGTTATTTTTATTCTTTATTAATAAAATACATGTGGATATTTTATATCTGTATCTACCAAATCCAAGAACTGATTTAATTGCAACTCTATTAAATAATTTTTCCATTTCTCTATTGACTTACTCATGATGTGGTGGGTTTTTTTTGAATCTGTAACTAACTTAAAAAATAATTTTCCATTGAATTTAAATTAATGTCTTAGTTTGCAATCCATACTTTTACAAATTTGTGTAAAATTGAACTCAATTTTTTGACAGCAGGCTTACTCTTTGCTGCAACATAGCTGAAGATATTATTGTTTGTTTGTTTGTTTCTACATATTCATTGTATTAGATTTCTTATTTTCCACACCTAATAAAATGAAATGATATTCATCATCTTAAAATGCATAAAAATTTCAAAATAAGGATGCTAGATAAGCACTATTAAAAATCGCCTGTATCATGCCTGTAATCCCAGCACTTTGGGAGGCAGAGGTGGGCGGATCACGAGGTTGGGAGATCGAGACAATTCTGGCCAACATGGTGAAACCCTGTCTCTACTAAAAATACAAAAATTAGCTGGGCATGGTGGCGAGCACCTGTAGTCCCAGCTACGCGAGAGGCTGAGGCAGGAGAATCGCTTGAACCCCAGAGGCGAAGGTTGCAGTGAGTCGTGATTGCGCCACTGCACTCCAGCCTGGTGACAGAGTGAGACTCCGTCTCAGAAAAAAAAAAAAAAAGAATCCTGTAAAAATAATCTGAATTTACTGCTTAATAACTTTCAACTATTGCGATACCAGGTAGACCAATATATTTAAGACAAAAGGTTGCATTTCTAACATTTTATACTGCTATTTGTAATAACTTACACTCACCGTATTTTACAAACACTTTAATAATAGTGGAGCATCAGCTTGAGGGTTTTAAGTTTTCACTGTAATATAAGAAAATGTACTGAATTTTCAAAAACACTCAAAAAGATTTATACAAATTAACATTTGGGGAAAAATTATTTTTCTACTACTAAGAGAAGTTTGACAGAGTAGAACAAAAAGCTTGAGGTGAGGGTAATCATAGTTTTAAGGCACATAGACAAGAAAGGCGGTTTGTAACCTGATTAAAGAATGATCTAGTGTTTCATAGCACAATAAGGTGACTACAGTTAACAACAATTTATAGTATATTTGAAAATAACTAAAACAGTGGAAGGGGAATGTTTCTAACACAAAGAAATAATAAATGCTTGAAATGATGGACTTCCAAATTACTCTTATTGATCATTACACATTGTATACTTGTATCAAAGCAGCATCTGTACCTACCCCCATAAATATGTACAACTATTATATATCCATAATAAAAATTAAAAGGAATAATTATTGTTGATAAATCAGGAGAATCCTAGTATGTTCATGACTTCAATTTTGTTTTAAATGTATATTCTACTTGCCCATCCCCTTCTACCAATAAAGAGGAAAATAAGAAACAAGAAAAACAGTGATTCTTAGGAAATGGAGCTAGAAACAAGAAGATATCAAAAAATATAGTAACTTACTACTGAGTGCAAAATATTTGTAAAATAACAAGTTATTAGATTCCATAATAAATGCTTGTTAACTGAATTTATATAACTACGCATCTATTATATGTGCTACAACTCACAAATTTGCAGTTATAGGACAATTATCTACACTTTCCTTCTGTTTTCAGTGTTCCACAGAACATGACTTCTGATTTTCTTTGTTCCAAATGTAAAGAATATATTATTGATTGCTTCTAGCTAGTGATTAGTGATACCTATATATAGACCTTACTTTATTTAGTGGTGTTGTTTTGTGAGTCCCTAGAATATTGGCTGAATGGTTTTTCTAATGCTGAGTAATTTATTTCAATATTTTATCTCTTTATCATTGTATTCATTGATGTTGTTTATGGCTGTCTAGTATCAGTGGTTCTGAACAAATTCTTTACATAACTTCAAATAAAGTAGATATTTCTTTAAAGATAATGTTAACATAATGGGATTGATATATAGAGAAAATATCACTTATTAATTACTGGGAATGCATTTATAGGAATTTAAGAAATCTGACTCTAACTTAGGTTTCATCACTAATAGACTGTTGTCTTATTCCTAATGTAGTAGGGGTAGAAAGGTGTGATACATTTCCTCACTGATTGTAAGGCTCACTCCAGACACTTCTATAGCAAAAGAGAAGAGAATTAAAAATCTACTGAGTCAAAATTTTATGTGACATTGGAGATTTTAGGAATGAAGAGCAAAACACCAAGAGAAAACTGTTCATTTGGATGCTGAGATTTGATGAAAAAATGGATAGCAGTGTTGAAATGGGATTGGGCAAAAGAGTGTACAATCTAATGGTAATAGACCGAAGGGGAATCCAGCAAGGCCTGTTTAGAAACTTCTTAGACTCTTTGTGCAGCATTCTTTCCTTCTGGGGATAGGGTAGGATCCCTCTGGAATGAGGGTCTTATGACCTACTACCATACATGCTAGGTAAGAGAATTTCTTTATGGTTGTCTCCTACGCAGAAAGGAGTTAGAGGAGGTTTGGGTAATATCTCTAGGCTTTATGGCTTGCTTTGGGGAAGAAAGTTTCTAGTTTCCATTGACCTGCCTTGGAGAAAAGGAATTCTGTTTTCTATGACTTGCTTCAAGGAAAATGAGGGGCAAGACATGGGAAAAACCTTGGTCCTGAGGCTGCTTCTGAGGCCTTCTAGTATCCTTTAGTTCAAAGTATTCGATACACCAAAGTACTATACTTGGGATATCATTTTCTTTTTTTTGTTTTTTCTTATATATATATATATAACTTTTATATATATATCTCATATATATATATATATCTCATATATATATATATATATTTTTTTTTTTTTTTGAAACGGAGTTTTGCTCTTGTTGCCCCGGCTGGAGTGCAGTGGTGCGATCTCAGCTCACTGCAACCTCTCCCTCCAGGGTTCTAGCAATTCTCCTGCCTCAGCCTCCTGAGTAGCACCCACCCCCACACCCGGCTATTTTTTTGTATTTTTAGTAGAGATGGGGTTTCACCATGCTGGCCAGGCTGGTCTAGAACTCCTGGCCTCAAGTGATCTGCCCACCTCAGCCTCCCAAAGTGCCGGGATTACAAGCGTGAGCCACTGCTCCCAGCTGGGGTATCATTTTCTAATCCCTAACACTCTCAGAGTTTATGCATTTGTTTCACTCTATGTAAAAAGGTAACAATAGTACTAATTTTGGGAGAAGCTGTGAAGATTCCTTGAATATTATTTGAAAAATAGTTAGCATCATGTTTAGCCAATAGGAGCTGCTCACTGTGGAACCATTCATCGTAAATCAGACACTTTTAATACTGAATTCCTATAGGCATACCTATAGGAAATTAATACTGAATACTCAAAGGTATTCCAGGTATACCTATAGGTATTCAGTATTAAAAGTGTCTGATTTGCAATGAATTCAAGGGAATCAAATCCAAATACCAAAGAAACTCTTTATAACCAATATCATGATATAAAATCAGAAATTTATATCAAGGTAAAAAGAAAGTTTCAGCCCTTGTCATGGCATCCTTGAATATGATGATACAACTAACTAAGCATGGGTTTCAGGGGATACTGAGAAATGATTGCTATCATCTAGATATGTCTGAAGAATAGAAGACAAGTAACTGCAAAGCTGAACCCTGCTGTCACAGTGAATTCAGAAGACCTTCCCAGAACAAAAGATAACTTGCAACTTTTTTCCATGTATTCTAATTTGTCTAGTTTCTTTCAGATTGGCAATATCCACTCCACATCTGGAGAGCTCACATACAACTGGTGATGTACTCTCCCTCCTGAGGAGCTGGCATTCTCTCTAAGCCTCTTTCCAAGTTCCCTGACTCAGTGCTTATTTGCTTTGTGGAAGCCATTTTTGAATTTGCTGTTGTGACACAAAAGTGAAACTCTGCAGAGAATCAAGCTGAGCTTTGCTTAGTGAGAAGCAGGAAAACAGAGTATTTTTTTTTGTGTATCCTAAACTAAACAGCATGGTCTTAAACAAAGCTACTAGATCAACTAGTCTAATTTTTACTTCACAGGAGATATAAGACAGGTACCTATCTGTACACTTTATGTGTAGTACCTTAGCCTGAAGAGGGCCTTTGCTTTGCGGAATATAAAAGATGAATTGAAGTGGACCATCCAAAATTTTGCTTTTTCTCTTGGTGATCTATGTGAGTTAGGTGTCTGGGGTTAATTATATATCAAATGTGATGTAATCATAGAGGTTGTTGTTTATTCTCATTATGTGATAAGTATATGACATTATTTTCAATTTTAAGATTGAATTTAAGAACTTTTACTATCACACTATTAATTAGAAAGTGAATACATATATTATTGTACACTGATAAATTGTAAACATGCTCTTTGTGTCCCTCTAAAAAATACTGGTTCTCTGATGATTTACAGATTCTATTGAAGAAAAATATTTCAGGTCCTTGGATCATAAATTATTAAACTTTAAACCATACTGAACTTTAATTTGAGTAGTAGTTTTCAAAAATGAGGTTAAGAGATCTCTGTAGGACGCTGATTACTTTTTAGGGGATCTACCAGGCAGTCTTGACCTTTGGGGCATTATAATTCTTTTTGCATAATTCTTATGTATTTTGGCAGCATCCCTGATCTGTACTCACAAGATTCCAGCAGCCATCTCTCCTGTACCCCGACCTGAGGTGTGATAATCAAAAATGTCTCTAGACTTCCAAATAATCCCTGTTGAGAATCATAGAACTAAGATACTATCTTCCTTTTTAACTCTTATTCTCTCGTGAGTATACAGCGAAGTTTTTCAGAGGCCACATGATGTGTGATCTCACATCATATTATTTTGTTCATCTGAAAATGTTATTTTGCAGACTTTTATTGATTTTTAATGTAGTAAAATATATATAACATAAATTTTGTCATTTTAACCGCTTTTAAGTATACACTTCGGTAGCATGAATTACTTTCACAACTTTGTGAAATCATCAACTCTATTCCTAAAACATTTTCATCACTGCAAACAGAAACTTTATAAAAATTAAATATTAATTTCCCATCCCCCCTCCCTTCAGACTCTGGTAATCTCTAACCTACCCTATTTCGCCCCCTATGAATTTGCCTATTCTATATATTATTCATAAGTGGAATCATGCAATATAAGTTCTTTTGGGTCTGGCTTATTTTACTTTGCTTAAAGTTTTCAAGGTTTATCCATATGTAGAATTTATCAGAACACCATCAGTTTTTAAGATTGAGAATATTCCCTTTCATATAAAAATCACATTTTGATTAGTCATTAATATGATGATAGATGGTTGGGTTTTTTTTGTTTTGTTTTGTTTTGTTTTTACCTGTTGACTACCATGGATAATGTTGCAAAGAATGTTGCCATACAAGTACCTGTTTGCGTCCCTGTTTTCAATTCTTTTGATTATATACGTAGTAGTAGAATTTCTGGATAATATGGTGTGTTAGTTCATTCTCACACTGCTATAAAGAACTATGTGAGACTGGGTATTTTATGAAGAAACAAGGTTTAATTGACTCACAGCTCCACAGGCTGTTCAGAAAGCATGACTGGGAGGCCTCAGGAAACTTACAATCATGGCAGAAGGCAAAGAGGAAGCAAGCATGTTTTAACCATGGTAGAGCATGAGTGGGATGGGGGAGGTGCCACACACTTTTAAATGATCAGATCTTGTGAGACCTCCCCTGATTTGGGTGGGGACACAGAGCCAAAAGATATCATTCTGCCCCAGCCCCTCCCAAATCTCATGTCCTTCTCACATTTCAAAACAAATCATGCCTATCCAACAGTCCCTCAATGTCTTAACTCATTCCAGTATTAACTCAAAAGTCCAAGTCCAAAGTCTCAGCAGACACAAGGTGATATAATTTGGCTCTGTCCCCACCTGAATCTCATTTTTGAATTGTAATCCGAATTGTAATTCCCATGGGTCAGGGTAGGCACTTGGTGGGAGGTGATTGGATCAGGGGGGTAGTTTTTCCCATGCCGTTCTGGTGATAGTGAGTGAGCTCTCACAAGATCTGATGGTTTTATAAGTAGTGGTTTCCCCTGCACTCTCTCTGTCTCCTGCTGCATTGTGAAAAAAGTACCTGCTTCCCCCTCCGCCATGATTGTAAATTTTCTAAGGCCTCCCCAGGCATGTAGACTGTCAGTCAATTAAGCCGCTTTTCTTTATAAATTACCCAGTTTCAGGTATATCTTTATAGCAGCATGAAAACAGCCTAATACACAAGGCAAGTCTCTTCCACCTTTGAGCATGTAAAAAAAAAAAAAAAGAGAAGTTAGTTACTTCCAAAATACAATGGGGGTACAGGCATTGGGAAAATGCCCCTATTCAAAAAGGGAGAAATTGGCCAAAACAAAGGAGCCACAGGCCGCATGCAAGTCAGAAACCCAGAAGGATTGTCACTCAATAATAAAGCTCCAAAATAATGTCCTTTGACTCCATGCATCCAGGGCATGCTGATGCAAGGGGCCGGCTCCCAGGGCCTCGGGAGGCTTCAGCCCTGTGACTCTGCATGGTACAGCCCCTGTGGCTGCTTTTACATACTGGTGTTGAGTGCCTGAGGCTTTTCCAGGTGCAGAGTAACAGTTACCAGTAGATCTACCATTCTGCAGTCTGGAGGTCAGTGGCCCTCTTTTCACATCTGCACCAGGCAATGTCCCAGTGTGGACTCTGTGTCAGGGCTCCACCCTCACATTTTCCTTCTGCGCTGCCCTAGTAGATGTTCTTCATGAATGGTCCGCTCTTACAGCAGACTTATGCATGGATATCAAGGCATTTCCATATATCTTTTGAAGTCTAGGCAGACTCCCATACTCTTGCTGTATGCACAACCGCAGGCCCAACACCACGTGGAAGCTGTCAAAGCTTGGGACTTGCATCTTCTGAAGCCATGGCCTGAGCTATAAATTGGTGCCTTTTAGTAATGGCTGGAGCTAGAGTAGCTGCGATACAGGGCAGCATGTCTTGAGGCTGCAGACAGCAGTGAAGCTCTGGACCTGGCCCACAAACCACTTTTCCCTTCTAGGACTCTAGGCCTGTGATAGGAGGGGCTACCATGAAGATCTGGGAAATGTCCTGGAGACATTTTCCCCATTGTCTTGGCAATTAACATTTGGCTCCTTGTTACTTATGCAAATTTCTGCAGCCAGTTTGAATTTCTTCCCGGAAAATGAGTTTGTATTTCCTACCACATGGTCAGGCTGCAAATTTTCCATACTTTCATGTTCTGCCTTCCTTTATAAGTTCCGATTTCAGACCATCTAGTTCTTCACACTTATGAGTATACACTTTTAGAAAAACCAGGTCACATCTCAAATGTTTTGCTGATTAGAAATTTCTTCCACCAGATACCTAAATTATCTCTCTCAAGTTCAAAGTTCCACAGATCTCTAGGGCAAGGGCAAAATGCTGCCAGACTGTTTGCTAAAGCATAGAAAGAGTGACCTTTACTTCAGTTCCCAGTAAGTTTCTCATTTCCATCTGTGACCACCTCAGCCTGGACTTCATTGTCCATAACATTATCAGCATTTTGGTCACAACAATTCAACAAGTCTTTAGGAAGTTCCATCTTCCTACATCTTCGTGTAGGAACATTTCAACATAGTGGTTACCTTTTAGGTGAGAAGAGAGCATAGGCTCATAAGGTTTCTTGCAAGTTTAAAATTTTTGCTAATTTTCTACTTATTAAGTTATTTTCAGGTAGACAATTGCTACTAAAAATTATTTTAAAATGATTATAACAAAATAATTATTCAGTTGCAGTTGGAAATCTAGACCTCTGCTTCCCAATCTGATTGAGCATATAAATAAGCCAGTTATCTTGTTAAAATTTGGTTTTGATTCAGTAAGTTGTGGATACAATCTAATATACTGCATTTTTAATACATTCTCAAGTGAAACTCATGCCTTTAGTTTGCAATTCACACTTGAGTAGCAAAAATCTAGATCGCATTAAACAAAGACAAACAAAAACAGAGAGAGAGAGAAAGAAAATGAGAGAGAGATATTGGTAAGTAAATAGATTAATTAGCAGATACAGGAAATAAAACAAATATAAAAATGTAAATATGGATATATAGCCACATTTAAATCTAAGTTCACTTTAATTCAATGTTTGTATCAATGTTGTTGCATAGCATAGATGCATTTTGAGTTGGAACATATATTGAATCTCACATTTTTAGTTGTAAAAGTGTAAAATTACTTTAAACTGCCTTTGCCTTAACTTTATAATTGAAAACATAATACCTCCTTTTAGAGGACTTGTGATGATTAAGTACGATGATTTTCATAAAGCACTTAACATAATTTATGCCACTTCGTGTTATGGTGTGATAAATTATACTAATTATATTAAGCATTCATTATAATATGTCAACAGTGAATTATTTAATAGTTTTAAATAATATTCATAAAATATTTTTCTTTATATATTTTCTATTTTATGAGAAAATCATAGCAGTCAATTCAATTATGTTGAATAAACTAACTTTGCAATCTTGTATACTAGAATTCTCCAGAGAGCAGTAGGATTTATTCCTTGGTTTCTATTTTGTCTGAGAATGAAATCACCAACAAATACCAAAAAACAGTAATGTGGAACTATGCTTACACTTACATAAATTATTTTCCTAAAACCCTCCCAAAGCTTACAAGTGGTTTATGTAGATACAAGCAATTCCCACTTTACAACATTCTGGTATGCACAACTTTTAGTTACCATGGTCTAGTTAAATAACAGCAGTCCTCCAATAACATGGTTCGTATTTTATTTACCGTGGTACGTTACTCTGTCAGTAATCAGATAAAGTAAAAGCTTTGCTGTTTCCATCTAAAAATGAGTCGCCAGTTACATAAAGGAGAGGTGTGCATCATGGTCAGTGACAAATCATATCACTTCTACAGTCTGAAAAGATTGCTCCCTTTGCAGCTGTCATTCAGTCTATTCACAGACAGAAAAGCATGTAGTTTTGCTGATATTTTGCCTCATAATGTAAATACAAATTTGTCATTTTACAAAATGCATAATTTCAGTAGTAATTGAAAAGCAAAGATGAAAGTGCAGCAAAGAAATGAAAAAAAAAATGATAGTACTGGAAGAGAAATTTTAGAGTCAAAATGTAAATGGAGTCACAGAAAAGAGTAACAGGCTGGAATGTTGATACTGCTGTCTTTCCTTAGCCTATAGGGAAACATAGTGAAAGTGAACTTACCAATATAAATGAAGAAGGAGATTGTAACAAAAAAGATGATGTCTTAGAGGATGTGATACCAACAAACACTTCAGATTAAAAAGACTCTCAGAGATATTTCACCATATTGAAAGTGCAAAAGATTAAATGTGAGTGACCCGTATAAGCTTAGAAAAGAGTAAAATAATTTACACACAGAAAAGATGGATATTCCTCGTTAAAAAGTAATATAAAAATAAGGCAAACACTGTTCAAACTATTCCTGATAAGTTTTCTGCAAATAACTGAAACACTTTAATGTTTTAAACAAGAATGTACTAAATATTCTTGCCACTTTTTCTATTTTTTCATTTCTCTTTACAGCTTTAACAGATGTTAAAAGAGATTTTGATATTGTGACAAAAAATTGTTGATTATATAACATAATTTTTCCATTGATTATTAAGATAGTTTTCTACATTTTCAGCTTTCATTTATTTTATAGTTCCACATTACCATGCAAATAGATGGCCTGCAAATTAATACTGCAGATGATTCTTAGAACCAAACTTCTGCTTGTTTCTATTTTTGTAAGTTTCATTAGATATAAATCTTTCAATTCATTTTGACAGTCTTACATGCATAGATATAGAGGTATATTTTCAAACAAAATAATATAGTTACTACATTTCTAGATTTCTGAATTTGCTTATTTGTATTCCTACTCATATTTTTGTTCTAACCATTGATTCCACTGTGATGCTAATTCTAAGAGAGTTTATACAGTTTTCTAGTATAATTTGTATAGCTTAAGTAATGTTCACAGATGTTTAATTAGCTTCTTCAGAACTACATACTAAAAAAAATTAGGAATTCACTTACAAATCCCTTAGAACATTCAAATAATATGGAAGGAAAGCTCAAAATAGCCAGAAAATCTATAAAATCCAAACAGAAATCAAAGTTGCAAAAGATGAACATATGGTTAAAGCATATTGTACTCATCTAATTTGTGTGCCTTTGCTAACCTAAATTGTTTTAAGGAAAAATGGTATATTTTGAAAGAACTAGATCTGGAAATAGAAAGAACTAGATTTCCATATTCTTGCGTGGAGTCTTCAGGCACAAAAATAAAACATAACCAGACTTCAAATAACCAGGCGTCCATGATAATAAGAGCGAGAATTACCCTGACAGTACATGTGCTTTTAGCTTTATTGTTAAGAATCACCAGTAAGTGTTTCGTAGCAAAATAAGTAAGATTTTTTATTTATATTTCAGATGTGCTTCTTTCTTTCTGCTAGTAAGTATGTTTTAAAATATATGACAACTGCATTGAGTTGTAATTCATATACCATACAATTCAGCTATTTAAAGTTTACAATTTAATGGTTTTACACAAAATTGTGCAACATCAGCACAGTGAATTTTGCAGCTATCAACACAGTGAACTCTTTCATCAATGCAAAAATAAAATATGCATCCATTGGCATCACTCCCCACTTACTGCCAACCCCTGCCTGGGCAATCGCTAATCTATATTTTTATCTCTATGGATTTGCTTATTTTGGACCTTTCATAAAATCGGAATTAAGCCATACATGGTGTTTTGCCACTTGCTTCTGTCACTTGGCATAATGTTTCCAAGGTTCATCTATATTGTAGCATGTATCAGTACTTCTTTCTTTTTATTGCTGAATAATATTCCATTGGATGGATATGCTGCACATTATCAATTCATCATTTGATAGTGTTTTAGTAGTTTCCATTTGGGGGTTAATTATGAACAATCTTGCCACAAACATCTGTGTACAAGTTATTGTGTAGATATTTGTCTTCATTATTCTTAAGCATATGCTTAGGAGGAGGGGAATTACTGGGTCATATGATAACTATTATATATTTTTAACCTTCGGAGGAAGTGCTTGATTGTTTTCCAAGGGTGATTTACCACTTATTGTACAGCAGCCTATGAGGCTTTCAGTCTCTCCACAGTCTCACCAACACTTGTGAATATGTTTTTTCTTTTCTTTTATCACAGTGAGTGTAAAGCGGGAACTCACTGTGACCATAATTTATGTTTCCTAAATAATGACTAAAAATAATAAGCATGTTTTCATATGCTTAGTCACTTGTATATTCTTTTTGAAGAAATGTTAATTCAGATTCTTTGCCCAATTTCTATTTGGGTCATTTGTCTATTTATTTTTGAATTTTAAGTGTTTTTCTAATTCTATATTTATATAATTCCTTTAGGATATATTGTATTCACAAATGTTTCAACTCATTCTGAAATATGTTAATGTAGAATTGAGGTTATTGACCTAAGATCTTTTGTCCTGTTTAATATAGGAATTCAAATGTATAAATATCTTCTAAACACTGCTAAAGTTGAATTCCATAAATGTTAGCATATTGTGTTTTTATTTTCATTCATCTTATTGCATATTCTAATTCACCTTTTATTTTCTTCTTTGATCCATTAAGCAGAGTGAAACCTTTTTACATGTTTATGAATTTCCTAATAATCTTTCTATTATTAATTTCTTGTTTCATTTCCTTATGGCAAGGGAACATGTATTGTATAATTTCACTTCATTTCAATTTATTGAAGCTCACTGAATTATACCACATGGTCTAATCTGAAGTAAGTTCCATATGAGCTTGAAAAAAAAAGTGTAATATACTGTTTTTGGGCAAAGGATGCTATAAATGTCTGTTAGTTTCAGTTGGTTTATAGTGCTGTTTATGTCTTCTTACTTTGATATTTTGCCTAGTTCTGCACATTATTAAAATTAGATTATTGAAGTTTCCAACTACTATTGTTGAAGGCTCTGTTCCTCTCTTCATTTCTGTCAGTTTCATATGGTTCATATATTTGTTTGAGATATTTGAGAACTCCGTTGGTTGAGGGTTTGACATTTTTATATCTTCATCATGGATAACATGTTTACAATTTATAAATATCCTTTTTTATCTCTGTAATAATTTTGTGTCAATTGTTTTTGTGAAATGTTAGTGTAACCACTTCAGCTTTCTTATGTTTTTTTACATGATACATCTTTCTCTATCATTTTACTTTAAACCAATTTGTTTGTTTGAATCTAAATAGTTTCTCTTCTAGACAGCATGTAGCAGGATTCTGTTTTTAATCCATTCTAACAATCTTTGACTTTTTCGGAAATGTTAATCCATTTACATTTAATGTTATATTTGATATATGGTTTATGTCTTCCACTTTTTGTTTTCAATATGTCTCTTTTTTGTTTTTGTTTGTTTGTTGTCCTCTTTTACTTTTTTTGTATTAGATAAATGTTTTTAAATAATTTTTTCACTGTATTTTGCGTTTTTTTTTTTTTTAGCCATTGTTCCATGGCTTACTATGTACCTCATAACTTTTTAGAATTAATTTCTGACTTATACTGTTATGGGCTGAAATGCATCTCCCCAGTATTCATATATTGAAGTCCAAGTCCCCAGTGAGAATATATTTGGAAACAGGGCCTTTAAAGAGGTAATTATATTTAACGAGGTCACAAAGGTAAGGCTCTAACCCAATATGTCTGGAATCCTTACAAGAAAACAGGAAACATCAGAGATGCACACACACAGAAAAAAGGTCATATGAGAACACAATGAGTATGAAGACCTCTGTAAGCCAAGAAGAGACATGTCAGGATAAACCAGCTTTGCTGGCACATTGATCTTGGGCTCCCTGCCTCTAGAAGTGTGACAAAATAAATGTATATTGCTTAAGACACTCAATCTGTGGTATTTTGTTTTGGCAGCCCTAAAAAAATAAGATACCAAATTCTAGTGAAATGAAGAAATGTTGTTCCTATATAGTTATTTTTATGCTACTATTGATATAC